>NC_000010.11:102718852-103021883 GCF_000001405.40 Homo sapiens | reverse complement strand
TATATATTCACACATACACGGCAGAAGTAATTCTTACCTCTAGGAACCAGTATTTTCTCAAAAATTTGCTAGAAAATATTTTGTTCAATGACTCCTGTTTTGAAACCATAGAGTTGTATTCTGGGGGAAAGAGTCCATAGAAAAAGGAGAACACCGACAATGTTGCCCTTTAACCCGGATGATTAACAATGAAGTCCAACTCTCGGCAGGACTCTGTTTCCTACAGCAGGAGTCAAGGGAAGCAGCAGAAGTCAAGAGGGAACTGTGGGAGCAAGACTATCACCCTACAGGTCTCACTCATTGTCAAAATCGAGCGAAAGCGCCAGAACTCTGGCGTTTCGGGTAAGACCACTCCTCCCCCTGCCCCTCAATACTCACAGCCTCTCCATTATTGTCTGTCTTAGCACCATCAGGACTAATTTCATCGACTCACCACAAGAAGCCCGGGACTCCAAGGCCATCCCTTATTTTTCAGCAGCCTTGGTGGTCTCCTCACACACACACATTCGACGGGACTCTGCTGAAGACTCAGGAATGCGCCGCATTTCTCTGGGAGGTGTGCAGTGCATTCTTCCAAGGTTCTGGGAATTCTACTCTCTTTGGTTTCCTTACATTCTCCACTCTGTCTCCTTCGTCAGGGAGGCTGTGGGGCTCCATTTAGCCTGTCCCTCCTTGCCCTGTGATCTCCAGTCGGTCAGCTGGGACAATCACGGGGGCTCACTTTTCTCCCAAGCACTGCCTTCTCTCCCGCCTTGCCTGTTGTCTAGTGTCTAAAAACCACTGTTTCAGGATATTCTGCATAGTTTCCTTGTTAAGGAAAGGGCATAAAATCTGGGCCCTGTTACTCCACCATAGGGAGAAGCAAAGGTCTCTTCTCATGTTTTATATTTTCAATCTTAACTTAGTCACTCTCTTCTATGATCACTCCATTGACCTTGTCATTCACAATTACTACAACCTATCCATTATCTCACTTCCAAACATCCCCTCTCCAGCCAATACCTATATCTTTACAGATCCCTCCTGTTAGTACCAATTCCAACAAGCCTTTGCCTGGTTTTCAATCCACTGTTCCTACACCCTCATGCGCCCTTCGCCCCTTCCCAGTCTAGCTTTCATTCATTCTACTGTCAATAATTCTAATCAGACCCTCAACTCCCTTTCCCCTCTCACCTCATCTTATTTGCCTGGCCACACCACAACCTGTCTTAAATCCAACTCACTACCTAAGAAACAGTATGAAATTTATACTTTTATCTTGTTTATTATCTTATATCCCACTAGAAAGAAAGTTCTACTAGGGCAGGGATTCTCATCTGTTATTGTTTATTGTTGTATTCCCAAAGCTTAAAACAATTATCAACCCATGGAAAATACTGATTAAATATTGGTTGAATGGATTAATTAATATAACCCAAAGCTCAAAACAAGAATTCAAAAGTGCTCATGCCTGTAATCCCAGCACTTTGGGAGGCTGACGCAAGCGGATCACCTGAGGTCAGGATTTTGAGACCAGCCTGGCCAACATGGTGAAACCCCATCCCTACTAAAAATACAAAAATTAGCTGGGCGTGGTGGTGGGTGTCTGTAATCCCAGCTACTCGGGAGACTAAGGCAGGAGAATCGCTTGAACCCAGGAGGCGGAGGTTGCAGTGAGCTGAGATCGCACCATTGCATTTCTAGTCTGGGTGACAGAGCAAGCCTCTGTCTCAGACGAAAAAAAAAAAGAACAAAAATGCAAGATTGAAAACCTGAAATAAAATGGCTAAAAAAGTCAAAATATAGAAATATTTTATAATTGCTATGAAAGAGTTGAACTCACTGACATACTAATAACTTAAGAAAAAAACCACACGAGTAACACATGTTCGTTGTAGAGAATCCATGGGGGAGTAATTTGGAAAACAATTAGAACCTAATGGAAAAATTGAAAATCATTCATAATACTACCTTTCAGACATTTTTTTCCAAAGTGTGTGTGTCTTACATATTTTTTTCACAATAATTACCTCTTTCACTTAAGTCTTGAAAGTCTCTTCATATCAATATAGAACCTTATTACGATTTTTAGTGGCTGAATAGTTCAATTTATGCATATCTAACAATTATGGCTATAGAACAGTGTATTTAAATTCCTCTGTGTTAGATATTTCCATTGTTTCCAATGATTCATTCTATCATATGTTTAATAGTTGCTCCTGGTAAAACTATTCCTTCCCTTAACCGCCACCTCCACAGGATTGGGAGGAGGCCACAGAATGCTACATGGTGAGACGCCTCCATCATCACAGGCTTTCCTCTCCCAGATAATCTGCATTAGCACACCCAAAGGCTGAAATACCTCCCATCTTTAAAAATGAAAAACTTCTCCATGTCCCCTATCTGGTTCCTGCTATCACTCTACTTTACTTCTCTTTACACCAAAAGCCTTAGGAGAGCTGTCTCTATTCACTGTCCCCACTTGCTCAACTTTCATTTCTCTTCCACATGCTCCAAATTAGTCTTGTCCAATAGAACCCCTCTTGTGATCTCCATGACCTCTCATTTTGCTAAATACAATGATTCTTAGCCCTCATCTTGTTCAGTATTTCATTACTCTTTTTTTTTTTTTTTTTGAGACAGGGTCTCACTATGTCGCCCAGGCTGGAGTGCAGTGGTGCTATAATGGCTTACTGCAGTCTCAACCTCCCTGGCTCAGGTGATCCTCCCAACTCAGCCTCCTGAGTAGCTGGGACTACAGGTGTATGCCACCACATCTGAATAAGTTTTTCTATTTTTAGTAGGGATGGGATCTCGCCGTGCTGCCCAGGCTGGTCTCTAACTCCTGGGCTCAAGTGATCTGCCTGCCTCAGCCTCCCAAAGTGCTGGGATTACAGGCGTGAGCCACTGCACCCGGCCGTAAATATCCTTTTAAGAAAGGAGTAAACAGGCCAGGTACAGCGGCTCACGCCTGTAATCCCAGCACTTTGGGAGGCTGAGGTGGTAGATCACAAGTTCAGGAGATCGAGACCATCCTGGCCAACATGGTGAAACCCGACCTCTACTAAAAATACAAAAATTAGGAGGGCGTGGTGGCTCATGCCTGTAATCCCAGCTACTCGGGGGGCTGAGGGAGGAGAATCACTTGAACCCGAGAGTTGGAGGTTGCAGTGAGTGCAAGAGGGAGACTCCATCTCAAAAAAAAAAAAAAAAAAAAAGGAAAGAAGAGTATATTTACCTTGCTTCCACCATATTTTCCTGGTTCTCCTTAGTGGAGATTCCACCTCAATCCTCTGTACTAGCTTCTCATTCCTGACCTCTAAAAATCAGAGCACTCTTGAACCTCCACTTTTGGATCTCTTTTCTTCTGTCTATACTTCTTCATTTGAGTAATGATCTCATTTTGTCTCAAAATTTTCATTATCTATCTGCTGGTGATCTTTTATGTCTCCCTCCAGATCATTCCTCTGAATTCTGGATTTATACATCCAATTGCCTACTTAGTATCTCCACTGGCTGTCTACCAAGCATATCACACTTTCTTTCTCTAAATATGTTCCTCCTTTAAGGAGGGGAAGGATGCATTAACATCTACCCAGTTGTTCAAGCCAAAAACCTAGGCCTCATCCTTACCTCTTCTCTTTTTCTATCCAGAATCTGATTTTTTCTCACCACCCCCATACCTCTACCCTCTTGGTCCAAGTCACTATTCTTTCTCCCCTGAATTACAACAGCTTACTGATCTCTTTGTCTCACCCTTGCTCTCCACAGTAAGTCCTTTGCAGAAAAGCCAAAGTAATCTTTTCTAAAGGGTAAGATTCTGCCACTCCCCTGCTCAAAACTCTCCCAAACCTCCCCACTAGAGCAGCTCGTGAGGATCTTTATGGTGCCACAGCCCACCGATTTTGGCCTGGCGGCTTGCCTTTTTTTTTTTTTTTTTTGAGACAGATTCTTGCTCTGTCCCCCAGGCTGGAGAGCAATGGTGCTAACTTGGTTCACTGCAACCTCCACCTCCCAGGCTCAAGTGATTCTCCTGCCTCAGCCTCCCGAGTAGCTGGGATTACAGGTGCCCACTACCATGCCCAGCTAATCTGTATGTTTAGTAGAGACAGGGTTTCACCACATTGGCCAGGTTGGTCTTGAATTCCTGACCTCAGGTGATCCACCTGCCTCAGCCTCCCAAAGTGCTGGGATTACAGGTGTGAGTCACTGTGCCCAGCCTGGCTTGCCTTTCTCTAGGCACTTCTTGCTGTTTATCAAACACAGTCCTATCCAAGAAGAGTCTTTGCTCTTCCTGTCTCCACTTCTGGAAAGCAATTCCTCACATGTTCACACTCATTATCCCCCACTTCATTCAGGTCTCTTCTCAAATGTCACCTCCTCACAAGGCCTTTGCTGACCACTATCTAAAACAGTTCCCCTGCCCAGTCACTATGCCCTTTCTCTGCCATACATACCACCTGCCAGCATCTGATGTTTTGGTTCATATTTATTTGCTTAGTCTGCTCCCCACTTAGATACTGAAACCAAGAAGGCAGGGACATGACCTGATTCACTGCTGTCTCCTCCATGCCTAGAACGCTGTCTGCCACATAGTAGACACCTAATGACATCCTCCATCGTACGTCTTCATGCATTCGTCTACTAGCTGTTAATAATCCATCTTTTGCCACTCCTCCAGAAGTTATCAGACCAGAACATTAAAACATTAAGTTATTACAAAAGATTTCAGACACGACGAACAGCGTAAAAGAAAACAAACATCCACGTTCTTACCACCAAGCTTAAGGAATAAAACCTTTCCAAGTATTGTTGGGCCTCACAAATACCTACTCCACTGAGAGAACTTAACACCAGACTTGAAGAGAACCTGAAGGAGAAAAGTGTTTGATTCACCCTTTTTTAACCTGGTTAAAAAAAAAAAAAGGAAACAAAACTATATGACAAAGTACCCCCCGCCCAAAAAAAAAGCCCTATGTTGCAGTGAGATTGGGGCTTTTGGATGGAGGAAACAAAAGGAAGAAACAAACAACAGGGCAGGAAGCAGCAGGGGCCAGCAGAGCGTCTGAGGAGTAACACCCAGGAAAGGAGGCTACGGGCAAGAGTGAGGCAATGTGAAGAACTGGCCTCCATTCGCTGTCTTCCCTATTGAATGCTTGAACTATAGAAGGATCATCAAGTAGGCACTGAATGATTACAAACGAAGCCTGGCTTCAAGACCAGGATCGAATTGGTTAATACACATCCAGTTACATCATAGAAAGTTTAGACGACACTGTAATTTAATCACACCGCTTGGCATGGCAGCATATATCAAAACTGGCAAATAAGTATTGCAAATGACACAGGAAACAAGCTTGTGGCTTGAAAATAAGTGGGGGGTAGATGTAAGGCTTGTCTGCTCCCCACTTAGATACTGAATCCACGAAGGCAGGGACATGACCTGATTCACTGCCGTCTCCTCTGTGCCTAGAATGCTGTCTGCCACATAGTAGGACTTAAATAAGTCCTTTAAAAATCTTTTCAATATTTTGAAATATTGAAATATTGAAAAGATTTTTAAAGGATTAAAATTACACTGGAAACACCATGACCCATTAAAAAGAGATCTTTTAGAGCTTTGTCACTAGAGAACCGTATCAGTAATCCAACAGAAAAATTTGATATGCAATGAAATCACTAATGTATCTAACAGTACCTAATACTATTCTACCACAAAAGCAACTGGCTCCATGGAGAATAGCTGATTCTAGCCTTGGGGGAAGCGGGGGGCTTGGGGGCGTGGGAATCTAGATGGGGCTAGATCTTGTTTCTGTCAGAAAGTCTACAAAGGAGCCAGTTTAAAGGCTCAAATGACAATCTGACAATTCAGTTAAGATTCATCAGTCTTAATGGTACTTAAAAGGGGAGAAATCTTAAAAGCTGTAAGGGGGCAAGTAGAGATTAAAATCCAGCCAGGCCTGGGGTGAGCTTAACTTTGAGCTTTTGTAATTCATCTACCTAGAGGGGCACCTTTCTGAGTTTTTTGTTTGTTTTTTGTTGTTGTTTTTTTGAGATGGAGTCTTGCTCTCTTGCCCAGGTTGGAGTGCAGTGGCATGATCTCAGCTCACTGGAACTTCTACCTCCCGGGTTCAAGCGATTCTCCTGCTTCAGCCTCCCGAGTAGCTGGGATTACAGACGTGCAGCACTACGCCTGGCTAATCTTGTATTTTTAGTAGAGATGGGGTTTCACCACATTCGCCAGGCTGGTCTCGAACTCCCGATGTCAAGTGATCCACCCTCCTTGGCCTTCTAAAGTGCTGTGATTACAGGCGTGAGCCACTGCAGCCGGCCGGGCACCTTTCTGTTAATTCACACAAAGGTACTATTTGTGCTAGAGATGGTCCTCGGTATGGAATTATGACATACATGAGTTTCCAATAATTTGTAAGTGTTATAAATCAATCCAAATTATTACATGAGTATTTATTAGACACAGTTCTATCAGTGCAAATCAGTCAGTAAAGACACAGTTTGAGTAGGGTCTGCAGAATTCCATTCCCTCTAGAGCAGGTAAGAGATTGTGGTCAAAAATTGGGTAAGCACAAGAGGTACAGGCTTGGACAATCCCACCACTATGAAAGAGCTTAGCCCAATAAATAAGCCTCAAAGTTATTGACCCAGTCCTAAATCTCCACCCCCAAAACTCTATAGCAGGTTCGAAATGGTAATTTTGTCCACCTTGGTTGGGTAAATTTGTAACCCCTGAATGAATAAATGGTAGTGATATATTTGTATAAGTTGTATTTAAGCAAGTGTAATCATCATTTTTGTAACCATTACACTCATGAGTATATGTTCTGGTTTTTCAAATGTTTAAAATTCTTAAGAGACTATTTGACTTATTAAAGTTATGTAGTTGATTTACTGGAAGAAGTTTGAAGTGCCTGGGGATATCAGATATATTAAATTTGTAAGCATGTTTTGAAATGTTTAAGGAATTCTAGTCAAGTTTATAATTTTTTTTTTTTTTAAAGACAGGGTAGTGCTCTGCCACCCAGGCTGCAGTGCAGTGGCACAATCATAGATAACTGCAGCCCTGAACTGCTGGGTTCAAGTGATCCTCCCACCTCAGCCTCCCAAAGCTCTAGGATTATAGGCATGAGCCACTGCACCCAGCCTGTAAATGGTATTTAATAGAGGAATTTCATCTGTCAAATGTAAAAGCGCTTGAGCATCAGTCAAAAAACAAGCAAATAGGCATTTTTAATATTAACACCCAACTAAATTTTTCAGTGAATTTTTAAGTATATTTAAGGTTTAAAGAAAAGTGGGCTTTTAAAAATCATAATTTTAATAAGCTAAGCTCTGACCAAAGCATAAATAACTCAGGAACTGTCTGGCATAGCAGAATCGAGGGCTTTGCTCCAAATTCTCACCCGCTTGACCTTAGGCAAGTTACTCGAATTTTTGTGCCTCAGGGTCTCCATTTGTAAAATGAAATAATACTATTAATACCTACATCAAGACCCTTGTGAGGACTGAGTTAATATATACAAAGCACCAAGAACTGTTATTGAGTAAATTGCAGGTGCTTCATCAATGTTAGCTAGATTATCACCATCGTTAGTATCACTGATACCACCTGCCAAGGCTATGCATACTTTGAGGGCAAGGACAACGTCTTGTCTTTACATGCCTAACATTTAGCATGCTGCCTGGTACCCAATAGGCATGCAATTAATATTGCCTGAATTTAACTGAAGAGTCTAAAATTCTAGCTATCAGGGTATGACTTTCAAGCTGTAATGCGTAAAGAGAACCAACATGACAAATGGCAGGGGCAAAGATAAACAGGCCAATGAAAAACAAGATTTTATACAGTCAGAAAATACTGTTTCTTACAATTTGGAATGGTTCTTACTTACTCTAGGAGTTTCTCAGGTCCTAATTGTCTTAAGGGAATTTCTACTGGGATTAGACGATGAGAGCTCATCTAAATCTTGACCCTAGATCTAGAATTACACAGATTTAATACAGAATTTGAGCTGTCCCTCCAATAAATTTAATCTAACACAGTTTACTCTAGAATTAATTACTTAAACTTTTTCCAGTCACCATAACTTGTTTCTGAACTAAAGTATAATACAACCTTAACTCATTCAATCTAGGCACCCTTTTTATTTTCCATTGCTCTTGCAATTTTCCAGCAGTTTACTCTCATTTGAGTTCATTACCAGTACTCCAGATGGAAACTTTCCCTAATAGGTTGTTCCATTCACAGCGATTTAGAAAGCACTGTTTGCGTCACAGTTTTCGGCTTGGATAAAGGGAGCTGTTACTTCAAACCCCATTTCTTCTTGGTGTCCTGCAGTCAGTCACACCTGAGCGCACCCAGCACTCAGCCTGCCTTCTACTAACGACCTTTTAAAGCAAAATGCTTTAACCCACCAGGTAGCAGATTTCCCTTCCTTCCAGTGCACAGTAAGTCCATGCAGGCTATAATTCCTTCAACAGACATCAAATGACTGCAGTAACAGTAAAAAATAATTCACAATTACTGAGGGTGCTCTGCGTGCCAATGTGTTTGTATATCTTAATTATTCCAAGAACTCGTGAAGAAGAGACTATTTATCCCATTTTATAAATCACAAAACAGACTTAAAAAGGAACTAACATTCCCTGGGTTTTTATCCTTACTTTGAAGGTGTCTGGATTTGACAAAAACAGTGTCCTTTTGTAGAATAGGGCCCTATGAATTATTATCCTCATTTTATAAATATTAAATATCAAAGATTATACAGCTAAGAGGCACACAGAACCAGAATTCAAGTCTGTCTGATTCCAAGATCCACACTGTAGCTTATTTTGCTATGTTACCTATTCAATTTTATGAAGGTCTTTTGCAGCACACTCTTCTACTCTCAGCTAAGGAATGAAAAAACTGCCTAAAAAGGCTTACTTATTTCATATGGTACTTCTTTCTATGTTTGAAGCAAGATAGGAAAAGGAAAGAGAAGGAAGGAAAGGCTATGGTAAACTTTCTCTCCAAAGATTTGATAGCACTGGAGAATGTTCAGTATCTTTGGATCTGATAGGGTCTAAGAAAGGGTTCAGTACTTAACCATATTTCACTATAACTCTAGCCAGTGTGGTACAGACTGTTGTTGTAGAGAAGAGTTTATTCACCAAACTATATACTGAAAATGAAAACTCATTTGTCAAGGATTAGATCACTCATATAGGCAATAAGAATTTGTCTTTAAAAAAAAAAAAAAAAAAAAAAGTCTTGCTCTGTTTCCCAGGCTGGAGTGCAGTGGTGCAATCTCGGCTCACTGCAACCTTCGCCTCCCAGGTTCAAGCAATTCTCCTGCCTCAGCCTCCCAAGTAGCTGGGATTACAGGCACCCACCACCACGCCTGGATAATTTTTTTGTATTTTTAGTAGAATCAGGATTTCACCATGTAGGCCAGGCTGGTCTTGAACTCCTGACCTCAGGTGGTCTGCCGGCCTCGGCCTCCCAAAGTGCTGGGATTACAGGCGCGAGCCACCATGCCCAGCCTGGCAATAAGAAATTCTTAAACATTATCAATGATACCTAGGAAATTACATAAAATCTCTCCTACATTGGTGGTGGGGGTGTTAACTAATATAATTTCATTGGAGGGCAATTTGGCCAAATCTACAAAAATTGCAAATGCAGGTATCCCTTGATTCAGCAATTCTACTTCTAGGAATTTATCCTACAGGGAAACTTACATAAGCATAAAATGATGTGTAAACAATGAAATTCTTTGTTGTACTGTTAATATCCTGTATTTCTGGAAGGATATACAAGAATAACAATGGCTGCCTCTGAAGAGTGTGCTGATCTGATAGCAAGGGGAAGAATTTTCACTATATACTTCTCTGTGCTTTAAAAATTGTATACATTAGGCTGGGCATGGTGGCTCACACTTGTAATCTCAGCACTTTGGGAGGCCGAGGTGGGCAGATCACGAGGTCAGGAGTTCAAGACCAGCTTGGCCAACATGGTGAAACCCCGTCTCTACTAAAAATACAAAAATTAGCTGGGCATGGTGGCGCGTGCCTGTAGTCCCAGCTATTTGGGAGGTTGAGGCAGAAGAATCGCTTGAACGAACCTGGGAGGCAGAGGTTGCAGTGAGCCAAGATCACGCCACTACACTGCAGCCTGGGCAACAAGAGTGAAACTCCATCTCAAAAAAAAAAAATTATACATACACACACACACACACACACACACACACACACACACACAGTGCAAGTATTACTTATGCAAAAGAAAACTAAATAACAGTTACCAGTTGCTTTTTGCATTTTCTTTTCTCACTTCTCTCTGACAATCATAATTCCTAAGCTTTTCATTTAATTCTTGAAGCATTTTTTATAATACACTGTTTCTTAGATAGCTTATTTTGCTTTGCCAATGGCCATGGAATGCTTTTATTTTTTGAGATGGAGTCTTGCTCTGTTGCCCAGGCTGGAATGCAGTGGCACAATCTCAGCTTACTGCAACCTCTGCCTCCTGGGTTCAAATGATTCTCCTGCCTCAGCCTCCTGAGTAGCTGGGATTACAGGCACGCACCACCACACCTGGCTAATTTTTGTATTTTTAGTAGAGACAGGGTTTCATCATGTTGGTCAAGCTGGTCTCGAACTCCTGCCCTCGTGATCTGCCTGCCTCAGCCTCCTAAAGTGTTGAGATTACAGGCATGAGCCACTGTGCCCGGCCGGAATGCTTTTATTAAGCAAAGAAGCAACTCACTGACACACACCTTTCCTCAGTATGTGCAGATATTTACATCTTCCACATGCTACGCATTGTGGTGGATGTTTGAAATAAAAAGATATATAGTCCCTGCTTAAAGTTATGTCACAATTACTACTTTTTTCAAAATGAAATTTTTTCCCTCTGATTATGAGAAAGTAATACAGGGTAATTGCTCTGAAAAAACGAAAAAGTAATATAAAACATAAGAATATAAATATCACGGCCAGGCACGGTAGCTTACGCCTGTAATCCCAGCACCCTGGGAGGCTGGGGGGAGTGGATCACCTGTGGTCAGGATTTCAAGACCAGGCTGGCCAACATGGTGAAACCCTGTCTCTACTAAAAATACAAAAATTAGCTGGGCATGGTGGCGGGCGCCTATAATCCCAGCTACTCCGGACGCTGAGGCAGGAGAATCGCTTGAACCCAGGAGGCAAAGGTTACAGTGAGCCAATATCACACCACTGCACTCCAGCCTGGGCGAAAAAGGGAGACTGTCTCAAAAAAGAAAATAAAAATCATGTTAAATCCCACTACCCTTTAACATTTCAGTGTTTATCTGTCCAAAATTTTTCATTTCATTTCTTTTTAGAAACAAAAATGAGGCCAGGTACAGTGGCTCATGCCTATAATCCCAGCACTTTGAGAAGCCAAGGCAGGTGGATTGCTTGAGCCCATGAGTTCAACACCAGCCTGGGCAACATGGCGAAACCCCATCTCTACAAAAAATTAGCCGGGCATGGTGGCACATGCCTGTAGTCCCAGCTATCTGGGAGGCTGACGTGGGAGGATCACCTGACCCCAGGAGGTCCAGGCTGTAGTGCGCCATGATTGCACCACTGCACTCCAGTCTGGGTAACAGGGTGAAACTCTGTCTCCAGGGGAAAAAAATAAAAAAAAAAAAGATGGTCATATTATATATACTATTTTGCAATGTACATTTTCCTCTTGTATATGAACATGTTTCTATATTACGTTATTGAAATGTTTTAAATTGTTCTAAATCAAATATGCATATATAATTAAACATCCCCCAACTTGTTCCAACTTCTTTTAGCAGTCTTTTGTAATTATTTCCATCTCTCTAAATGTTTCTACCATTATTTGACATGATATTTTAATAAAATAATCTGTATTAGTGAAGTTTAATACGTTCTTCGCAATTTTTGTCTCTAATTGTGAAAAAAAAAAAAAGTCTTAAATTTCCTCCATTTGCATGTGACAGCCACAAATCCAGTCTGATGCAGGTGTGCTGTACTAATATAAATACCTTAAGAGGAACAGCAATAAACAAGGTAATCTTCCAAACAGTCAACAGCTCTTGATTACTACTTTTTCTGGATATATCTCATTTAGACACTGTCTATGGACTTCAACTCACTACAGATGATTTTCAATATCTCCCACCCTCTGGTTCTCCATTCTCCCAATATACTTTTTTTTTTTTTTTTTTTTTTTTGGAGACTCAGGCTAGAATGTAGTGGTATGATCATGGCTCACTGCAGCCTCCCACCTCCTGGGCTCAAGCGATCCTCCTGCCTCAGCCTTCCAAGGACCTGAGACTATAGGAACACACCATCATGCTCAGCTAATTTTTAAAAATTTTGTAGACAAGTGTCTCACGGTGTTGCCCAGGCTGGTCTCAAATTCCCAGGCTCAAGCGATATTCCCACCTTGGCTTCCCAAAGTGCTGTGACTAAAGGCGTCAGCCATCATACCCAGCCTAAAATCTAGTTATTGAGCAAAATTTTTCTGGTTCAATCCCAATTTTTTAGTTAACTCAAATGTCATAAACCAACAAGAAATTTCTCTTACAGAGAATAATTTGTATAAGTTAGTTGTGTTTTCCGTTTTTTTTGAGACGGAGTTTCAATCTTGTTGCCCAGGCTGGAATGCAATGGTGTGATCTTGGCCCAGCACAACCTCCGCCTCCTGGTTCAAGTGCTTCTCCTGCCTCAGCCTCCCAAGTAGCTGGGATAACAGGCATGCGCCACCACACCTGGCTACTTTTGTATTTTTAGTAGAGACAGGGTTTCTCCATGTTGGTCAGGCTGGTCTCAAACTCCTGACCTCAGGTCATCCGCCTGCCTCGGCCTCCCAAAGTGCTGGGATTACAGGTGTGGGCCACCGTGTCTGGCCATTAGCTGTATTTTTAAGAACTCTCAAAGTGTCCCACAGTTGAGTATATCAGGTTGTCTAAACTGACAGGCATTTAGCTCATATTATAAACTATACTACAATTATAAATGGGAACTCGAAAAATCTTGTTTTACAAATGCTTGGGAATGTGCATTTCAGAGTCCATATTTGTAGAAGTACAGTATGAGCATTTGGGTTTTTTTTTTTTTTTTTTTTGAGACAGGGTCTCGCTCTGTCACCCAGGCTGGAGTGAAGTGGCTTGATCTCGGCTCACAGCAGCCTCCGCCTCCCCGGTTCAAATGATTCTCCTGCTTCAGTCTCCCTGGTAGCTAGGACTACAGGCATGTGCCACCACGCCCGGCTAATTTTTGTATTTTTGGTAGAGATACAGTTTTGCCATGTTGGCCAGGATGGTCTCAAATTCCTGACCTCAAGTGATCCTCCTGCCTTGGCCTCCCAAAGTGCTGGGATCACAAGTGTGAGGCACCACCCCGGCCAAAAGTTAAACACTTGAAACTCATTTAATTTCTGACAGAGTATTTCTAATCCAAAGCTAGTCTATACACAGTGGTGACAGCAAGGGTGGCTTCTCAAGTATACAACACATGCCATCACACAAGCCCCATGTTTGGAAGGGCCTGCACTTGGTATAAAGCTTTGCCACTGTTTTGAAATTCTTAATGTTTGAGGAAAGTATTTCACATTTTCATCTTGCCCTGGGTCCTACAAATTACACAGTTGATCCTGAGTGACAGTGAGGTACAGCCCCCTGCCCAATAGTAATTTGAAGCTAAGATAAATAAAGGTTTCTCTCTAGAATCAAACATGGAAACTGGTTTAAAAAAAAAAAAATCCTCCAGCAATCTAACACAAGATATTGTAAATATGTGACTGAAGAGATCCAGAACACAAACTCTACTCAGTGGGATTTAGGAGCAATTTCAGAGACATAGAGCAAAAATGTGATTATTTTAGTGAAGAGAAATTGTTGTGGGAAGTCAGGGACCCCGAACGGAGGGACCGGCTGGAGCCGCGGCAGAGGAACAGAAATTGTGAAGATTTCATTTTAATACGGACATATATCAGTTCCCCAAATTAATACTTTTATAATTTCTTAACGCCTGTCTTATTTTAATCTCTTAATCCTGTTATCTTCATAAGCTGAGGATGTACGTCACCTCAGGACCACTGTGATAATTGTATCTAACTGTACAAACTGATTGTAAAACAAGTGAGTTTGAACAATATGAAATCAGTGCACCTTGAAAAAGAACAGAATAACAGTGATTTTCAGGGAACAAGGGAAGACAACCATAAGGTCTGACTGCCTGCGGGGTCAGGCAGAATAGAGCCATATTTTTCTTCTTGCAGAGAGCCTATAAACGGATGTGCAAGTAGGGAAGATATCGCGAATTATTTTCCTAGGAAGGAATATTAATAATTAAGACCCTGGGAAAGGAATGCATTCCTGGGGGGAGGTCTATAAATGGCCGCTCTGGGAGTGTCTGTCTTACGTGGTTGAGATAAGGACTGACATACACCCTGGTCTCCTGCAGTACCCTCAGGATTATTAGGGTGGGAAAGAAACCCCACCCTGGTAAATCTGAGGTCAGACCGGTTCTCTGCTCTGGAGCCCTGTTTTCTGTTAAGATGTTTCTCAAGACAACATGTGTACCACTGAACATAGACCCTTATCAGGAGTTTGATTTTGCCCTGGTCCTGTTTCCTCAAAATCATGTGATCTTTGTTCTCTTGTTTGCCCTTTGAAGCATGTGATCTTTGTGACCTACTCCCTGTTCGTACAGGCCCTCCCTGCTTTTGAAGTCCTTAATGAAAGCCTGCTGGTTTTGCAGTTCAGGTGGGCATCACGGTCCTACCGATATGTGATGTCACCTCCAGAGGCCCAGCTGTAAAATTCCTCTATTTGTACTCTATTTCTCAGATCAGCCGACACTTAGGGAAAATAGAAAGAACCTACGTTGAAATACTGGGGGTGGGTTCCCCTGATAGAAATTTATTGGGTTATAGAACTTAAGGCCTCAAAAATTAAAATCATATAAATGGGCCAGGGGTGGAGGCTCACACCTTTAATACCAGTGCTTCAGCAGCTGAGGCAGAAGGATCGCTTGAGGCCAGGAATTTCAGACCAGCCTGGGCAACATAGCGAGACCCCATCACTATAAATGAATAAATAAATAAAATTATCTGGGTATGATGGTGTGCACCTGTAATCCCAGCTACTCAGGAGGCTGTGGTAGGAGGACCGCTTGAGCTAGAGGGGTCAAGGCTGCGGTAAGCTGAGATCGCACCATTGCACTCCAGCCTGGGTGACAGAGTGAGACCCTAAGTAAAAGAAGAACCAGCATTTGACAAAATTCAGTATCTGGCCATGATTTTAAAACCAAAAAACCAAAACCATCTTTTAGCAAATTTAGGAATATAAGGCCTTTTTCAATCTGATGAAGGGGAGCTATACAAAATCTAAAGCAGGCCAGGAGTGGTGGTTCACACCTGTAATCCCAGCACTTTGGGAGGCTGAGGCGGGTGGATCACTTGAGGTCCGGATTCAAGACCAGCCTGGCCAACATGGTGAAACCCAGTCTCTACCAATAATACAAAAATTAGCTGGGCGTGGCAGCAGGTGCCTATAATCCCAGCTACTTGGGAGGCTGAAGCAGGAGAATTGCTTGAACCCCCAAGGCAGAGGTTGCAGTGAGCCAAGATCCAGACACTGTGCTCCAGCCTGGATGACAAAGCCAGACTCCATCTCAAAAAAAAAAAAGAAAAAAGAAAATAAATCTAAAGCAAACATCACAGTTAATGGTGAAATACTGAAAGCTTTCCCCCTGCAATGGGAAATAAGACAAGGATATCACTATCACTCCTATTCAACTGCAGGTCCCAAACAGTACATTCCAGAAAGAGAAAGAAATAACCTCGGAAAGGAAATATATTAAACTGTCATGATTTGCATATGACACGATTACATTCACAAAGAAAATCCAAGAGAATCTATATATAACCATGAGCTTGAGCCCAGGGGTTTGAGACCAGCCTGGGCAATATGGTAAAACCCTGTCTCTACAAAACATACAAAAATTAGCTGGGCATGGTGGTATGTGCCTGTGGTCCCAGCTACTTGGGAGGCTGAGGCAAGAGGACTGTTGGAGACTAGGAGATCAAGGCTGCAGTGAGCTATGATCATGCCACTGCACTCCAGCCTGGGTGAACAAATGAGACCCTGTCTCAAAAAAATAAAGTAATATATACAATGAAAAATGGTAAGTGAATTTACCAATATTGTTCCATTAAAGGTTAACATACAAAAATCAATTTTTTTTTTGAGAGACGGAGTTTCGCTCTTGTTGCCCAGGTTGGAGTGCAGTGGTGCGGTCTCAGCTCACTGCAATCTCTGCCTCCCAGGTTCAAGCAGTTCTCCTGCCTCAGCCTCCTATGTAGCTGTGATTACAGGTGTGCACCACCATGCTTGGCTAATTTTTGTATTTTTAGCAGAGACGGGGTTTCACCATGTTGGCCAGGCTGGTCTTGTACTCCTGACCTCAGGTGATCCACCCACCTTGGCCTCCCAAAGTGCTGGGATTACAGGTGTGAGACACCGCACCTGGCCAACTGTACTTCTATATACCAGCAGCCAACAATTATTAAATAGAAATTTTAGAATGAAATCATTGACAATAGTATCAACGAATCATATACTTAAGAATGAACTAGCAAATAAAATCTCTATACAGAAAACTAGAAATATTACTGAAAGAAATTAGGCCAGACACAGTGGCTCAGGTCTGTAATCCTATCACTTTGGGAGCCGAGGTGGGTGGATCACTTGAGGTCATGAGTTCGAGACCAGCCTGGCCAACAGGGAAAAACCCCGTCTCTACTAAAAATACAAAAAAATTAGCTGGGTGTGGTGGCGCATGCCCATAATCCCAGCTACTCGGGAGGCTGAGGAAGGAGAATCACTTTAACCTGGAGGGGGGAAAAAAAAAGAAATTAAAGACCATTCAATAATGGAGGGCTATAAGCCATGTTCAGGAATTTGGATGTTGAAACACTAGTTCTTTCTCAAGTTGATCTACAGATTCAATACAATCCAAATCAAAAATCCAGCAGGTTGTATGTGGAAACTGATACCAATTATAAAATTTATGTGAAAACACAAAAGGTCCAAGAAAAGCTGAGACGATCTAGAAGAAGATATGTAAAAGTTTGAGCGAAACAGACTCACACACACCTAAACAAAGGAATCTCATGCACTGCTGTTGGAGATGTAAACTGAGACAGTAACTTTGGAAAACCATTTGGCATTCTTTACTAAAACCAAACACAAGCATATCCTATGGCCTTGGTATACTCAAAGTGTGGTCCACAGCCAGTCCAACTGGCTCCTGACAAATGCAGACTCTCAGGCTCTACCCTTGAACTACTGAAGCAGAATCTACCTTTTAACAAGATTCCCAGGAAACTGATGTGCACAATACAGTTTGAGAAGCACTGCCTTATGATCCAGCAATTCCACTTCCTGGCACACACTTATCAGAAATGCACACAGATGTCCACCAAAAGACATGTTCGAGAATATTCATAGCAACACTATTCATAATAGCTAAAAACAAGAAAACTACCTAAATGTTCAAAAATAGAAAGAATAAAGTGTGGTATAATCACGCAATGAGGCTGAGCATGGTGGCTCACGCCTGTAATCCAGCACTTAGGGAGGCTGAGGCGGGCAGATCACCTGAGGTCGGGAGTTCGAGACCAACCTGGCCAACATGGTGAAACCCCATTGCTACTAAATACAAAAAAATTAGCCAGGCTTGGTGGCAGGTGCCTGTAATTCCAGCTACTTGGGAGGCTGAGGTAGGAGAATCGCTTGAACCCGGGGCGGGGGTGGGGGCAGAGGTTGCAGTGAGCCGAGATTGCGCCACTGCACTCCAGCCTGGAGACAGAGCAAGACTCCATCTCAAAAAAAAAAAAAAAAAAAAAAAAAATTCATGCAATGGAGTACTACTCAGCAATGAGAATGCACAGTCTACAATACAACTCACAAATATAATGCTGTGTAAAAGAAATCATATCAGAAGAATACACCTTGTATGTTTTCATTTATATAAAGTATAAAAACAGGAAAAATTGATGTTAATGTCAGGACAGTGGTTACCCGGGGGGATACAGTAACTAGGAGAGAATAGTGTTTTAAAAAAAAGATAGAGTCTCGCTCTGGTGCCCAGGCTGGAGTGCAGTGGCGCGATCTTGGCTCAATGCAACCACAGCATCCTGGGTTTAAGTGATTTCCGGCTAATTTTTGTATTTTTAGTAGAGACAGGGTTTCACCATGTTAGCCAGGCTGGTCTCAAACTTCTGACCTCAAGTGATCTGCTTGGCTCAGCCTCCCAAAGTGCTAGGATTACAGGCATGAGCCAACGCACCCAGTTTATTTCATGACATGCATAATTCTACATGGATGGGAAAACCCATCAAGCTATATACTAGTAACTTTTTGCATACTTTTCTGTATACACGTTATAATTTAAAAGTTCACTTAAAAAAGTACTAGAAGGAGGGCTAGGTGTGGTAGCTTATGCCTGTAATCCCAGTACTTTGGGAAGCTGAGGCAGGCGGATTACCTGAGGTCAGAGGTTGGCGACCAGCTTGGCCAACATGGTGAAACCCTGTCTCTACTAAAACCACAAAAATTATCCAGGTATGGTGGCTCGTGCGTGTAATCCCAGCTACTCAGGAGGCTGAGGCCATGAGAATCGCTTGGACCCAGGAGGCGGAGGTTGCAGTGAGCTGAGACCATGCCACTGCACTCCAGCCTGGGCAACAGAGTGAGACTCCTATTAAAAAAAAAAAAAAAGATTCACACATGTTATAGCATGTATGCATACTTCATTCCTTTTTATGGCTGAATAATAGTCCATAGCATGGATACACCACATTTATTTACCCATTTACCAAATGATGAACATTTGGGTTGTTTCCACTTTTTAAGTATTATAAATAATGCCGCTATGAACAACTGCGTACAAGTTTTTATGTGAATATATGTTTTTCTTTCTCTTGAGCATATACCTAGTAGCAGAATTGCAGGGTCATATGGTAAATCTATGTTTAGCATTTGGAGTAACTGCCAAACTATTTCAGAGCAGTTAGACCATTCCACATTACCTCCACCAATGTATAAGGATTCCAACCAGCCAGGCGCAGTGGCTCACGCCTGTAATCCCTGCACTTTGGGAGGCTGAGGCAAGTGGATCACCTGAGGCTGGGAGTTCGAAACAAGTCTGACCAACATGGAGAAACCCCCTCTCTACTAAAAATACAAAATTAGCCGGGTGTGGTGGCGCATGCCTGTAATCCCAGCTACTCAGGAGACTGAGGCAGGAGAATCACTCGAACCCAGGAGGTGGAGGCTGCAGTGGGCCAAGATCACGCCATTGCACTCCAGCCTGGGCGACAAAAGCGAAACTCTGTCTCAAAAAAAAAAAAAAAAAGATTCCAGTCTTGTCAGCCACATCCTCGCCAGCCCAGGCTTGTTATCTTTTTCTATTATAGCCGTCCTAGTGAGTACAAAGTGCTGTCTTGTAGTTTTGATTTGTATTTCCCATCTTTTCACGTGCTTATTGTTCATTTGTACATCCTTGTTAGAGAAATGTCTATTAAGATCCTTTGCCCATTTTTAAATTGGATTGTCTTTTTACTATTAAGTTGTATCCAGAATAAAGAACTCTTACAGTCCCTTATCAGATATAATCTGCAAAAATATTCTCATATTCTGTGGGTTCTTTTCACTTCCTTGATGGTATCCTTTAGGAGCAGAAATTTTTAACTGTGATGTCCAATTCATCAATTTTCTTCTGTGGTTGCTTTTGCTTTTGGTGTCATATCTAAGAAAGCTTTACCTAATCCAAAGTCATGAAGGTTTATTCCTGTTTTCTTCTAGGTGTTTTATAGTTTTATTATTTATTTATTTATTTGGGAGAAAGTCTTGCTCTGATCACCCAGGCTGGGGCGCAGTGGCAGGACCTCGGCTCACTGCAACCTCTGCCTCCCGATTCAAGTGATTCTCCTGTGTCTCAGCCTCCCAAGTAGCTGGGATTACAGGCATGCACCTGGCTATTTTTGTATTTTTAGTATACAGGGGGTTTCACCATTTTGGCTAGGCTGGTCTCGAACTCCTGACCTCAAATGATCCACCCACCTCAGCCTCCCAAAGTGCTGGAATTACAGGTATGAGCCAGCGCACCTGGCCTGTTTTATAGCTTTAGTTCGTACATTTAGGTCTCTGATATATTTTTAGTTCATTTTTGTGTAGGATATAAGGAAGGGGTCTATTTCCATTCTTTTGCATGTGGATATCCAATTGTCTCAGCACACTGTTTTGTTGAAAAGACTATGAGAATGAATAGTCTACAAATAGATAAGCTCTTTTCTTTCCTCCATTGACTCATCTGGCATCCTTGTGGGGCTGGGATGGGGCAGACATCAATTGACCATAAATATTAGGGTTTATTTCTAGTCTCAATTCTATTCCATTGATCTATGCTTATCCTTTGGCCACTAACACAGAGTCTTCATTACTGTAGCTGTGTAATAAGATTTTTTCCCCCAATTTTTTGTATTGCAGTAAAACATACATAAGATTTACCATTTTAACCATTTTTTTAACTGTACAGTTCAGTGGCACTGAGTACATTCACACTGTTGTACAACCATCACCAACACCCATCTCCACACCTCTTTTAATCCTGCAAAACTAAAATGCATTCAACAATTTCCCATATTCCCCTCTCCACAGCCCCTGACAACCACCCTAATACTTTCTATCTCTATAATTTTGACTAATCTAAGTTCTTCATATAAGTAGAATCATATAGTAATTGTCTTTTTGTGACCGGCTTATTTCACTTAGTATACTATCTTCAAGGTCCATCCATGTTGTAGCATATGTCAGAATTTCTTCCTTCCTAAAACAGAACATATTCCATTGTTGGTAAATACCACATTTTGCTTACCCATTCATCCACTGATGGACAGTTGGTTGGCTTCTATGTTTTAGCAACTGTGAATAATACTATTATAAACATGGTGTACAGGCCAGGTACAGTGGCTCATGCCTGCAATCCCAGCACTCTGGGAAGCCAAGGAGGGCAGATCACTTGAGGTCAGGAGTTCAAGACCAGACTGGCCAACATGGCAAAACCCCATCTCTACTAAAATACAAAAATTAGCTGGGCATGGTAGTACATACCTGTAATCCCAGCACTTTGGGAGGCCAAGTCAGTGGATCATTTGAGGTCAGGAGTTCGAGAACAGCCTGGCCAATATGGTGAAACCCTTACTCTACTAAAAATGAGCCAGGTGTGGTGGCACGCACCTGTAATCCCAGCTACTTGGGAGGGAAAGGCACAAGAATTGCTTGAACCCAGGAGGCCGAGGCTGTAGTGAGCCGAGATTGCACCACTGCACTCCATCCTGAGTGACACGGTGAGATCGTGTCTCAAAAAAAATAAAAAATAAAATAAAATAAAACACACACAAAAAAATCAAAGGGGTGTACAAATATCTCTTCAAGACACTGCTCTATTTTTGGCATATACTCAGAATTGGAATTGCTGGATCATACGGTAATTCTATTTTTAACTTTTTGAGGAGATGCCACACAGTTTTCTATAGCAGCTATTCCATTTTATTTATTTATTTATTTATTTATTTATTTATTTATTTATTTGTTTTTGAGACGGAGTTTCGCTCTTGTCACACACGCTGGAGTGCAACGGCATGATATCGGCTCACTGCAACCTCCACTCCCCAGGTTCAAGCGAGTCTCCTGCCTCAGCCTCCCAAGTAGCTGGTATTATAGGTGCCTGCCACCACACCCAACTAATTTTTGTATTTTTAGTAGAGATGGAGTTTCACAACATTGGCCAGGCTGGTCTGGAACTCCTGACCTCAGGTGATCCATCTGCCTTGACCTCCCAAACTGCTGGGATTACAGGCATGAGCCACCATGCCCAGCTATTCCATTTTAAACTACCACTAACAGTGCACAAGGGTTCCAATTTCCCCACATCTTTGCCAACACTTCTTATGTTCTGTTTTTTTGACAGTAGTCATCAGAATGGGTCTGAGGTAACATCTTATTAAAGTTTTAATTTGCATTTCCCTAGTGATTAGTGATAAGAATCTTTACATGTGCTTATTGGCCAACAGTAAATTTTGAAAGTTTTTTCAAGACTGTTTTTAGCTATTCTGTGTCCCTTGAATTTCCACATGAATTTTGGGATCAATATGCCAACCTCTGGTGCGGAGAGGTGGGGGGGGAAGGGCAGCCTGGATTTTGATAAGGATTGTATTAAATAGGTAGATCTGATAAGCATTGCCATTTTAAAAATAGTCCTCTAATTCATGAATCCATGAGTCGACAAACACAGCTTTCCATTTGAGTCTTTAATTTCTTTTAATGTTTTAGTTTGTAGAACACAAGTTTTGAAATTTTTAATTAAATTATTCCTAAGTATTTTATTGTAAATAAAACTCTTTTCTTAATTTCATTATCAGATCCAAGTGTATAGAAATATAAGCAATTTTTGGCCGGGTGCAGTGGCTCACGCCTGTAATCACAGCACTTTGGGAGGCTGAGGCGGGCAGATCACAAGGTCAGGAGATCGAGACCATCCTGGCTAACCTGGTGAAACCCCATCTCTACTAAAAATACAAAAAAAAAAAAAAAAAATTAGCCGGGCAGGGTGACGGGCACCTGTAGTCCCAGCTACTCGGGAGGCTGAGGCGGGAGAATGGCGTGAACCCAGGAGGCGGAGCTTGCAGTGAGCCAAGATCGCGCCACTACACTCAAGCCTGGGAGACAGAGCAAGACTCCGTCTCAAAAAAAAAAAAGAAAAAAGAAATATAAGCGATTTTTTTGCCTGTAATCCCAGCTACTCGGGAGGCTGAGGCACAAGAATCACTTGAACCCAGGAAGCAGAGGCTGTAGTGAGCCCGGATTGCGCCACTGCACTCTAGCCTGGGCAACAGAATAAGACCCTGTCTCAAAAAACAAACAAAAAGAAATAAGTGATTTTTTAATATTGCTCTTGTACCCTGCAACCCTGCTGAACTCATTTATTAATGCTAATAGGTTTTTTTGTTTGTCTTTTAGTAGAGACAGGGTTTCACCATGTTGGCCAGAGTGGTCTCAAACTCCTGGTTCTCAAGCAATCCAACTGGCTTTGCCTCCCAAAGAGCTGGGATTACAGGCGTGAGTCACCCTGCCGGCCTAAACCTAATAGTTTTGTAGTCGATTCCTCAGCATTTTCTATATAGAAGATCGTGTCACCTGTGAATAAAGTTTTATGTCTGCCTTTCCAATCTTGGTGTTTACCTTATCCCTTCGAAGGGCTATATGTTATTCATTCATTATAATCACATTGATAATTTTAAAGACCTTGCCCAGAGACAAGCCTGTGTTTTTCTAGTTCCTTAGATTTGTTTACTTTAAGTTCGCATATATACGTGAAGGATCTGTAACAAAATACTCAGAAAATAATACAATCTAGAATACATTTGAGCTGCATTTGATAGTTAAAGAATGGAAAGTACTTATCTTTAACAGTATTGAATAGCCTGTCAATTATGCATATTGATGTGCTTAGCCAGGCCATTCTAATTTCCTCTGTCACCTACTAAATAAAGCCCAGAGGGGCTTCCCTGCTGTAGATACAGGTAAAACTGCTCTGCAAATAGAAGTATGCATTCGCTGAACACCCACACCACTGCCTGAAGTCATTATTTGCATTATGAGTAAGAAAAACACAAGTGTGGCTTCAGTCTAAGGGACTAATCCTGCTTTTACAAGCCAGAAAATAAATGCCCACTAATGTGGCATCAGAAGAGAGTTTGTTAACTCTAACTTAATCAGAGCCATCAAGAAACAGAAAAAAAAAACAAAAACACTTGAACACTGACATAAAGCCATAAATATGGTGTGTATCTAGTTCAGTGCAAGTCATGTTAAACATGACTTTTTATTCTCAAGGTGTTTGTTCTAAACCATGAAGTAATGTCAGTATATTCTTTTACTCTTGCAATGTTTAGAGTTGCTACAGATTATGATACAAAGCCATTTGTAAAAGGGGAGGAAATGAGCTATAAAATCATATTAGAAATCTAATGGGACTGCAAACAAAATTAAAATGTATCTTTCTTGCTTAATATTGTAGCTTTATCCTGTACATTGATTTTTGTTCTTAATTGAAGGACAGCTTCATATGGGACCTTATAATGGTAACTTTATATTATTTGGGTCTTTTTCTTAACTGCTTTTTATATAAATTATACTTTATAAATATTTTACAAATATTTTACAAACTTAGTTGGTCTACAGCATGTGACTTCCACATTTTAGACAAATGCTACATAAATATTAAAACCAAGAATCTAGACCTCACATCTGTCTTCCCATTATATTTATTCTTCAGAATTCGAAGCAAACTTTTATACATATTCAATATCCAGAAAGAGAAAACAGAAAACAGGAGAAAACTATCAAAATAATATTTGGAAAGAACATGCATCTTCAAACTAAAATGGCCTATCAATGGCCCGAACAGCAAGTTGTAAAAGACCTATTTCCAATCTTTCAAAATACTAAGATTCTGAAAAGCTTCCAGAGAAATCAGTCACCTGCAGTGGATCAAGAATTAGGATAAAACTGGCCTCCTCATTATTAAGACTGGATGCTTGCAGACAATGAAGCAATCCATAAGAATTCTCAGGGAAAATTCTCTTCAATCTAGAATTCCATTCTCATCCCAACTCTCATCAAATGTAGAGCTAAATGAAAGGACTCAGAAAGTATCCTTTCTCTTCACCTTCTTTAGGACAGTCCTTACTGACATGTTTCATCAAAATCAGGGAGTATGTCTAGAAAGGAGAGGATATGGGATCCAGGAAATAATCTAGGAAAGCAGTAATGGGAAGTCACAGGATGTCAGCTCTAGAGAGCAGTCAGCCCAGTTTGGAGAAACAATGTGCTCTAGGAGGAGGTTGGAGATGTGAGTGAATAGAATAAGAGAATGAATTATACAATGGAGAGCTTGAAAATAATTGAGGACATAACAAAGGCAAATATCTCGTGGAAGAAAGGCCATGAGAAAATAAATGCTGTACAAGGAAAGAAAGGTATACTACTAGGATATGAAGTGAACAATTTTTATGTAATTATGATAATGCAAATAAATTAACTTTTAGATTCAACCTATTCACAAATCAAAGTTTTTTGTTTTGTTTTTGAATCAGGGTCTTGCTCTGTTTCCCAGGCTGGAATATAGTAGGGCAATCACAGCTTACTGAGCTTCAACCTCCCACCTCGGCCTCCCGAGTACTAGGACTACAGGCATGCGCCACCATGCCCAACTGATTTTTAAATTATTTGTAGAGACAAGGTCTCCCTATGTTGCCCAGGCTGGTCTTGAACTCCTGGCCTTAAGCAATCTTTTGGCCTCAGCCTCCCAAGGTGCTGGGATTACAGGCGTGAGCTGTTGCACCTGGCCCAAAGAAGTCTTAATTGCAGTTATAAACAGTATGAAATTTCATCAGCCTTGATGAAGAAAAGGCCTTGATAATAAAAAGTGGAAAAAAAAGATGGCAGAATATAGGGATACAAGAGGGATGGCCAAATAAAAAGGTAGAGGCACTGCTGTTGTAACTACTGAAAGCAGAAAAACAATAGAAAAAAAAAAATGAAACCAAACCTTCATTCTTTGAAAAGATCAATAAAATTGATAAACCTCTAGAAAGACTAACAAAAAAGAAAGACATAATATAAATTACAACATCAGGAATAAAAAAGAGGGGAATACCATTACAGACCTCACAGATAATAAAAGGATAGTAGGATAATACGATAATTCTATACACACAAATTGGACAACTTTGATAAAATGGACCAATTCCTTAAAAACTCCAAACTATGAGGCCAGGCACGGTGGCTCATGCCTGTGATCCCAGCACTTTGGGAGGCCCAGGCAGGCAGATCACCTGAGGTCGGGAGTTTGAGACCAGCTTAACCAACATGGAGAAACCCCATCTCTACTAAAAATACAAAATTAGCTGGGGGGAGTGGTGCATGCCTGTACTCCCGGCTACTCGGGAGGCTGAGGCGGAGGTTGTGGTGAGCCGAGATCACGCCACTGCACTCCAGCCTGGGCAACAAGAGTGAAACTCCATCTCAAAAAAAAAAACTTTAAATCAATGGAATGCCTACCATCTTTCTCCAACCCCCACCCCCACCAGACGTAACACATTTTTAATAAGCTAACATGGTTTATTAAATTAGTACTTGTAAACTAGGGGCATCTAATTCTGAAATTATCTACATAACCTGAAAACTTTCCCCCAAAAACTCTACATATAATAGAACAAATATTATTTTAAAGGCAAAGCTGAGTTAGCAAGAAAGAGAAAGGACAGGTGTGGCTCACACCTGTAATCCCAGCACGTTGGGAGGCCAAGGCAGGTGGATCACTTGAGGTCAGGAGTTCAAAACCGGCCTGGCCAACATGGCAAAACCCTATCACCACTAAAAATACAAAAATTAGCTGGGCATAGTGGCACATGCCTGTAGTCCCAGCTGCTTGGGAGGCTGAGGCAGGAGAATCACTTGAACCTGGGAGGCAGAGGTTGTGGTAAGCCATGATCATGCCACTGCACTCCAGCCCAGGTGACAGAGCTAGACTCTGTCTGGAGAGAAAAAAGGAGGAGGAAGAGGAAGGAGGAGGAAGAGGGGGAGGAGGAGGAAGAGGGGGAGGAGGAGGAAGAGGGGGAGGAGGAAGAATAAGAAGAAGAAAACCCCAGGAGCCAGAAAAGCAGAGAGAACTAAAAACCAAACGCATGTGGGCAGCCCCTTTCCTGAGCTGGGATGGCAAAATAGAGATCTACACCCATAATATAGGGGATAGGGTTTTAAAAACCAACATGAAGAAGAAAGGAACATTTGGTCGATTGGCATTGAATATTCTCCTTTCTTTGTAGGTCGTCTGCTCTGTACCATGAAGGCTCAAGAGCCTCTTCCAGCTAGGGCTCCTGATGTAATTAGGTTCCACCAATCATATGCACTAACATGGATTTGGAAAGAGAAACTGAAGACCTAGTTCTGCTACTTTGCAAACAGGCATAGGCCAAGGCATTTGATTGTTCTGCAGCATCATTAGTTGAGTGTACAGTGTCTAGTAACTAGTGTCACGGGTATCAGAGGCAAGGCCTGGGTATTTACTGTGGATCAAAAGCAGATGAGCATGATTCTGGAGCCGACAGCTTTAGTGGAGGCTTCCTGATCAGTGTGGTTTCCTAACCATGGCAGTGGTCATGTGGTTCTGGGTTGGTTTTTAAAACCCCAACTGGCAGCTATTTTGTTGGCCAGTTTTGTGTGTGGCTTTGAGAATTGTTCCTAAAGACAAAACCCTCTAGAACGTAAGTTCCTCAAGGAAAGTGAGCTTTGTCTGTTTTGTTCACTAATGTGTTCCCCAAGAACCCAAAAATAGTACTAAACATATGGTAGATGCTCAATAAATATCTGATTGAATGAACAAACTTGAAATCTATTTCTTCAGCCCTTCCGGCAATTTTGTTGGTGTTTAATGCTTTATGGTAAACCTCTCCTGCTTAAACTAACTAGAATAAATTATATGTCTGCAACTTCACAACTCATATCAAGTAAGGAGTAGAAGTTAAGATTTTGAGCCGGGTGCGGTAGCTCACGCCTGTAATCCCAGCACTTTGGGAGCCCAAGGCGGGTGGATCACTTGAGGTCAGGGGTTCAAGACCAGCCTGGCCAACATGGTGAAACCCCGTCTCTACTAAAAATACAAAAATTAGCTCGGCGTGGTGGCATGTGCCTGTAATCCCAGCTACTCACGAGGCTGAGGCAGGAAAATCACTTGAACCCGGGAGGCAGAGGTTGCAGTGAACCAAGATGATACCACTGTACTCCAGCCTGGGTGACAGAGTAAGACTCTGTCACACTCACACACACACAGAAAAAAGATTTTGACATAAAGCCAGAACCTCCAAAGGGATGCCCCTTTAGGAAAAGAGTAGACCACAAAGAATCTGCCCACCAAGCCAGGTGAGCTGCTAAGGACACTTACCTGCCTCTGCTGAGGCTCTGGGAAGGAAGGAAGGAAAAGTATACCCTGAAAATTTTTAATGACAGACCTACACCTTACGTAGGTTTGAAGCTTAAATTTTTACTACCTTGGTCGTCCTGAAACCTTTAAGTCAAGAAATTAACAACAAAGAATACATCCTCAACCAAAGCCATACAGGATTCCACAGGTAAAGCTCTTCTTGGGAGAGAGAAACAACAAAAAACCTACTCACAAGCCACAATCACAAACAATAGGAGGAAACAATCCACTATAAGCAAAAGGCAACAGACAAAACAAAAAACATTCCAAAATTATCAGATAATAGAATTCTCTTTGGAAAAAGTTATACAGAAGTTGCTGCAATCCAAAACTTTTGACCAATTAAAGGGTGAAATCAGGTAAGTTAGCCCCTGCTAGTATACAACTAGGGAAAACTTACCTCTCCTAAGTCACAAAAGTCTTAATCTTCTTCCCACAAAAATTCAGCTTCAGGAAGTCTAACAGCAATCCTAAGGAAGTTAGGGAACATGTCTAGCCAAACTAGATCAATAATCTACTCTGACCATGGGAAATATTTAAGACCTCATAGTTTAAAGCAAACCTTATATCACATAAGTTTCTCAACGCACATAAGTAAACATAATGATGGTAAATCCAAATGCTATGGTAGGCTCAAAGGAGACCATGCATCATCTAGTCATTCAATTAACATGTGCTGAGTATCAAGTTCTATAAGCCAGTTACGAAAACAAGTAAGACAAGGACCAAGAACCTGCAATCTAGTCAGAAAATACAGATATGTATGACATATTCTTGGTTGAAAAGACCTTTTTTGAAAAAAGTGATGGTGCTAGGTAGATGATAAACTGACCTACACATTAGTAAGGCAGGAATCTACTGTTTACCACTATCAAAAATCCCTCCTAGATCACAGATACCCTAGTGAGGCTGCAATTATGACCTTCATTTTCTAGGTGAGGAAACTGAAGTTTAAGCAGATTAACTTGATTTGCCCAACATAGATCCCCAGCTGGAAAATCAGAGAGCTGAGGTTCAAATACAGGGCTGACTCCAAAGCCCTTGCTGTGAACTACTGTGGTACCGAGGCAGGCTTGAGAATCAGCAATAGGCATGGAATCACATTCCCATTCACAAGTAGGTAGACTGCACAAAGGTCAACCTCCCAGCCTCCCAGTCCCCCTTTACACACACTCCATTCTCACTCACTCACAAACCAAACAGAAAAGAACTGGAGGCCGGGCACGGTGGCTCACATCTGTAATCCCAGCACTTTGGGAGGCCGAGGTGGGAGGATCACTTCGAGATCAGGAGTTCGAGACCAGCCTGGCCAACATGGTGAAACCCATCTCTACTAAAAATACAAAAATTAGCAGGGCTTGGTGGCAGATGCCTGTAAATCCCAGCTGCTCAGAAAACTGAGGCAGGAGAATCACTTGAACCCAGGAGGCAGAGGTTGCAGTGAGCCAAGATCACACCACTGCACTCCAGCCTGGGCAAGAGAGCAAACTGCATCTCAAAAAAAAAAAAAAAAAAGGAACTTGGAGCTTGCTCCCAGTAAAAGGCTGCCCCCACTACAATGTGGGTACCTGGGCAAAGTTTTTGGCAAATATGTTTACTTTGGAAGCAAGTAGAAGAATGTCAAAGTATGTGATTCCTGTACTCAGAAAGCTTAGTCTAAGTTTATACTCAAAAGATTATTTGCTCAAATTGTCCACAAATATGTAGTTTGCTCAGGGATTTTAATACATCAGCATGTACATATCAATTTGTATGTATAGTACATACAGGTAATGTAAATGCAAATGTATATAGAGAAAAGCTATAAAAATTGCTCTAAAAAACTTTAATGTAATAGTTCATACAGCTGAGCTAAATTTACCTTTACCCCATCTATGGAGAAAAAAAATAAAATGTTTACTAAATAAGAGTATAACCAAGACTAAGTGTTACTGGTTAAACTATTAAGAACTCTTTCAAAGTAGACTCAAGCACTTAGAAGCATCTATTTACATGCAAAACCAAGGCTCAGGTAATTGCAAATTCCTTAAGGACCAATACTAGGTAATATATTGTGGTTCTAGTCTTTAATTTATCAGTACAAATGATAATATAACATTCCTTGAAAAATGCTCTGTATTTAAGATCTTATGCTAGTTCAGAGTGGCCTTCCCTCTACTCCTTCAGATACTCCAAATTAGTATAGCTTTACTTCAGACGATGGAATTTAAGAAATGAAAGAATCAAAATTCTGATAGTTAAGCAAGCCAAATATGAAAAAGCAGGAGAGCACTGTAATGGAGGAAAGCAGATGGAACAGTTCAAATCCTAAGATCAGATACTGTAATCTTAAAATGGGGCAAGGAAGTAACCCAAAAGAAATATTACTAAAAATAAATATCCTTTTAATCAATATCTTATTTGCTTCCATTAATTATTTCCATCCCTTTTGAAGTTGGAGGGATTTTATGAAGAGAACCAAGTAAGAGAAGGGGCACACCATTTCAAAATTTAAAATTTCTGGCCTGGTGCGGCGAGTCACATCCGTAATCCCAGCACTTTGGGAGGCCGAGGCAGGCAGATCACTTGAGGTCAGGAGTTCGAGACCAGTCTGGCCAACATGGTGAAACCTCGTCTCTACTAAAAATATAAAATATTAGCCTGGCATGGTGGCACACGCCTGTAATCCCAGCTACTCGGGAGGCTGAGGCAGGAGAATTGCTTGAACCTGGGAAGCAGAGGTTGCAGTGTGCCGAGATCGCACCACCGCACTCCAGCCTGGGCAACAGAGCAAGAATGTCTCAAAATAAAATAAAATTTCCTACAGCCACAATGGAAAATGTAAGAATTGGGTCTCATTTGTACACAGAGATAACTATTCCTACTCTCCAATTACAGTGAAAGTTCTCCATGTAGGCTGAGGAACAGGGGGTAAAAGAAATCAGAAGGTAAATTTACACAAAGATCTTTAAAGTTCCACACCGTCAACCATTCAAGGCACTGTACATTAAGGAACGGACAGATACACACTTCTCTCACACCTCAAAGAACAAAATGCAAGAGTGGATGGAAAGAATATCAAAATTGCATTAAAGATCGCTTCACTCTGTTACAAAACAAGTATAGGTGGTCAGTGATGAGTGTTCTGGTTAGGAATGAGGCTCATTCTACGCCCACCCCTTTCACTTTTACTTCCAAGAACTTTGTACACATGAAGACTTAGAGCCATTGCTATAGCTTAAAGTTAGAATTCTCCTACTTAATGCCTATTGGGAACTACACTAATAGAAACTGTTTCTATTATTTTTCTGATTCTATTCATCTATACCACTTACTAAAGCCATCTTGCTCTTCAGTTTTCTTAAACTGGCCAGTTTAACCTTAGCCATTCCACACTTTTATTCCCACGCAAAATCCCTACAATTGCTTATCCAGCTTCTGTAGCATCCCCATCCCTAGTAACATAATTCTATACATCTGGGGGCACACAAGTAGCCAGTGTGTCCTGTCTACTTGAAAGTTTAAGACCGGGCACGGTGGCTTAAACCGGGCGCGGTGGCTCACACCTGTAATCCCAGCACTTTGGGAAGCCAAGGCAGGCGGATCACCTGAGGTGAGGAGTTCGAGATCAGCCTGGCCAACATAATGAAACCCTATCTCTACTAAAAACAAACAAACAAACAAAAAACAACAAAGAATTAGCCAGGTGTGGTGGCACATGCCTATAATCCCAGCTACTTGGGAGGCTGAGGCATGAGAATCGCTTGAACCGGGGAGGGAGAGGTTGCAGTGAGACGAGATTGCACCACTGCACTGCAGCCTGGGTGACAGAGCCAGACTCTGTCTCAAAAAAAAAAAAAAGTTTAATGGATATGAAAAGTAAGAGGCTGTTATAATTATTATATTATACCTTTTGTACAATCACTAATCATCTTTAAAGAACTAGAAGCCCTATAGTTAAACAAAGGAGTATAGGCATTAAGAAACCCCAAATTGTATTTTATTTTGAGATAGGATTCTCACTCTGTCGCCCAGGCTGGAGTGCAGTGGTGCCATCTCAGCTCACTGCAACCTCCGTCTCCTGGGTCAAACAATTCTCCTGCCTCAGCCTCCCAAGTAGCTGGGACCACAAGGATGCGCCACCATGCCTGGCTAATTTTTGTATTTTTAGTAGAGATCGGGTTTCGCCATGTTGGCCAGGCTGGTCTCGAACTCTTGACCTAAGGTGATCCGCCCGCCTCAGCCTCCCAAAGTGCTGGGATTACAGGCATGAGTCACCATGCCCGTCCCCAAACTATCTTTAAATGTACCATTTTTTTTTTAAACTCACTTTAAGAACATAAAGCAAATATTTTCTCTTCCCTAAAATACAAGGAAAGCCTAAATAAAAATAAAACTTTATTTGTTGAAGTAACCTCCAAAAAAAAAGAAGAATGAAAAAAATAAAATAAAGACGACCCCAGCTAAGTCTTTAGACAGAATTTACTCACTGAACAATGAGTAATTTAACCTTGACTAGTTAAGTCTCAAAAATGTCCGATTCTTGGGGAACTGTTCGGATGGCTGAAAAGATAATGAAAGTTTCCCCTGCTCATCCTGACATTTTGCCAGGGTTTTTGCAACAGTAGTTTGCTTATCTAAATAGACATACGTTACTCAGTGAAGGTGAACTGTTGAGCTGTTCCTGTTTGCACAGAACTAAATATTTAGAATTGTAATCGGATCTGTCTGGTGTTTAAGGAAACCAGAAGAGCAACAACAACAAAAGTTCAAATCATACAAGCCTGTGTAGTTAGACAACCAGGGTTACTACTGAGTACTTCTTATTCTAAATCCTATACTCAAGGCTTCTAATCTGCTTAAGTTTTCAGAAGTCAAAATCATTCCCTTTGAAAGGGCTCATTCACAGGTGACTTCTAGAGCAACTAAGGAGAAAGTTAGTCGGTCACCTAAGCCATTAAGCCTCACTTCCGTGGAGAACAAACTTATTGATCAAAGCACCATAATGGCTTTGATGCTGGACTCAAGAATATTCTCTAATTGTGGATGAAATAGCTGCTTTTCTCAATGCTATTTTTAGGTATAATTAAGTGCCCAAAAGATAGGGTGTGGGCAGAATTTTACCAAGGAAGAGAATTTTAACCCATCATTTGGTAAAGTTAGCAAATGATGAGCTGAGGTCCCTGGATGCTCTAGGGCAGCTGCAGAACGAGACATTCACTCAAACTGTATGCCAAAGTATGTGTGTGTATGCATACTTCTGGGGAAAAGGTCTATACTTTGTATAAGATTCTTAAAATGACATGTCAAAACTTTGAGAATCCCAGACCTATAGAATTTCTTTGTGGTCAAACGAAAGCACTTTTGTAGTATCTGTGTCACTTTCATTTGCACCTGTGAGCATTCACAGGTTTCAGTCTAAAACGTATTAACACCCCTGACTACAGTAAGGGTCTTGAGACCCTATCTTTGTCCCACGCCTTTTCAATATTTCTATTATTATTTTTTTGAAACAGCCTCGCTCTGTTGCCCAGGCTGGAATGCACTAGGTGCAATCCCGGCTCACTGCAACCTCCGCCTCCCAGGTTCAAGTGATTCTCCTGCCTCAGCCTCCCAAGTAGCTGGGATTACAGGCGCCCACCACCACTCCCGGCTAAGTTTTTTTGTATTTTTAATAGAGACGGGGTTTCACCAGGTTACCGAGGCTGGTCTCAAACTCCTGACCTCAGGTGATCCACCCGCCTCGGCCTCCCAAAGTGCTGGGATTACAGGCATGAGCCACCATGCCCGGCCTTTTCAATATTTCTAAATCAATTAAGTAGCGTGGTGCATACAGCTGATTAACAGGTCTCCAGAATTATCTGCTGCCACAGTTCAGGTCTTCACATTGAGGCCTCAGAGAGAAGACAGTGGACTCTGACCTTTGGCTCTGGTCTCATTATCTTTGGAACCTTAATTTCCAAAGGAAAATAGTGATAATTCCTGCCCCACATTTCACACAACTGTTGGGGGTGACAATCTTGAACCAAAGATGTAGGGTGTTTTATTTTTGTTAGAGCAGAGGTTGCAAACCATTTTTGACTATGTATTCTATGAAAATGTTGAGTACACCTCCCTAATTTATATTTACTTATAAATTATATATATTACAAAATATATACATCATGAAATCCATATAAAAATAAGCTTGGCCGGGCGCAGTGGCTCAAGCCTGTAATCCCAGCACTTTGGGAGGCCGAGGCGGGCAGATCACGAGGTCAGCAGTTCGAGACCATCCTCGCCAACATGGTGAAACCCCACCTCTACTAAAAATACAAAAAAATTAGCCAGGCGTGGTGGTGGGCACCTGTGGTCCCAGCTACTCAGGAGGCTGGGGCAGGAGAATGGCGTGAACCTGGGAGGCGGAGCTTGCAGTGAGCCGAGATCACGCCACTGCACTCCAGTCTGGGTGACAGAGCGAGACTCCGTCTCAAAATAATAATAATAATAATAAGCTTAATGTATATGCATATTCATTCATATATATATATGTAAGTCCTACTGCATCCCAAGGCACAGCTACATGCAATTTACCTTGAGGACTACCGCTTTAGAATATATCATTTTCTTTATGGTTCTCTAATTTCTTCTTCTTCCTTCAAACTCTCCACCCTCAGCCTTTGTACCCTAAACCCTCTGGTTTTCTTCCTCTGAACATTCTCCTTCAGCAGTTTACTTCCTGCTTCCATCTTTTAAATTTGAGCTTTCATATTAGGTTTTCTGCTCTTCTGGGGACACCCTCCCTTGGCAATGTTGTCTTACTAACCATCAGCAGAAATCTGTGCTTGTTCCTTCTGTGTTCATCTGCAACTACTGAAATTTATACTTGAATCAAAATATCTCACTATTAGCAAATCACCTAGCCCACCCTACCCATATGTCAACACTTACACAAAATCCCTATTATTGCTTATCCAGCTTCTGCTGAATCACCACCTCTAGTAATATAATTCTACGATCTGGAGGATAAAAACTTTTTTTTTTTTTTTTTGAGACTGAGTCTTGCACTGTCACCCCGGCTGGAGTGCAGTGGCGCAATCTCGGGTCACTGCAAGCTCCGCCTCCCAGGTTCACAGCATTCTCCTGCCTCAGCCTCCCAAGTAGCTGGGACTACAGGTACCTGCCACCATGCCCAGCTGACTTTTTTTTTTAAGTAGAGACATGGTTTCATCGTGTTAGCCAGGATGGTCTCAATCTCTTGACCTCGTGATCCGCCCACCTCGGCCTCCCAAAGTACTGGTATTACAGGCGTGAGCCACCGCGCCCAGCCACAGGACATTTTCAAATGGCTCTACTTTTTGGAAATTCTACTTTGATTAAGCTGAAACTAACTTCCCTATAACTTTCACATTAATTCCAGTTTGGCTTCTGAGGCTTTACAAATGGTCCATCACCACCCATACTCGGGAGAATCACTTGAACCCGGGAGGCAGAGGTTGCAGTGAGCCGAGATCACACCACTGCACTCCAGCCTGGGTGACAGAGTGAGACCGCCTCAAAAAAATAAGATAGAAGTAAGGACAAGATCACACAATTATATTTCAGTTATAATCTAGGCTTAGATTGTCAAATATCTAGTTGTAGAGTGAGCACTACCCTAAGCCTTTTACACACTCAAGTCTAAATCACATGCATTATCTTTGTAATCTTAAAATTTAGTCACATGATGACTTTCTCTAAGTAAAACAGGGCAAGTGAACATCGGAGCTAGTCCAAGCCCTATAAACCAAAACAGGTACTGAACATGACAGGTACATCAGGGCAAGCACAGACATGGTCTGGAGGTAAGGTGCAATCACTTTGGCACCAAGCTAACAGGTAAACAGATAACACTAGATATTTAAAAAACTTGTGGGTCTCCAAGCTGATGGATAATACTCTGAAGTCTGAACATGCCAACCATTTAGGAGACATCACTCCTCAGTTGGCAGGGCCCATTCACTTTGTTTAGAAGGCCCCCCTTTCCCAATCCTTTTACTAGTCCCTTGAACAGCTGTCATTAAATGATTACACTGTTGCTAAAAGACAGCTATTCTATCAATCTGAGCTGGTCATGTAAACAAAACAAATATTCTGCTGTAGAATAAGGCATAAAGTACTTATCTAGCCCCTAGGAACTTCCCAGGTAACTCAAGTTGTCTGGCCACGCAGTTTGGAGACTTGATGGCTAGAAAGAACATGACTAAGAGTAGCCAGTAGGATGTCAAGGAAGAACCTGAAGGAGAACATAAGTGAGACAGGGTCTGCTGGTTAGTTTAGAGCCATTCCCTTGGAAGAAAGGGACCATAAACACTTCCTGTATCTAGCTTTGATGAGGAGGAGCTTGGTATGTAAAGAAGCTTTCAGAGTTCTCAATGATGTTGACACAGAAATTCTCTCAGCCCCTTTGCCGGACTCACAGCAGAATTTTAAAATTTTAAAATTCTTTTTAAAGAATTTTGGCTATATCAGACAAAATAGGAATATACAGAGGAGGACTGCTAATTACATGAAACAAGAGGGTGAGAAGGGGAAAAACTTGTTTCAGATGGAAAGGATCCGCTATTCAAATTGTTTTAGAAAAAAAAGATAAAACAATCTGCAGCAATTTAGAATTCTCAAGGTCTGCCAGGGTTTCCTACACAAAGCAGGAATTTTGCCCAACTGCTGCAGAAAGTTAAAAAGAAAAAAAAGACTTTCCCTTCGTTATTTCCTTTTCATGTTAGAAAATATTAGCAAAATTCATCGCTTCTCGGCCTTTTGGCTAAGATCAAGTGTAGAAAATATTAGCAAAATTCAGTCTTTTTTTCTGTCCTTAACAAACTGACATTTAAAATAAGAGTAAAGCCCGGGCACAGTGGTCAAGCCTATAATCCCAGCCCTTTGGGAGGCTGAGGTGGGTGGATCATTTGAGGTCAGGAGTTAGAGACCAGCCTGGCCAACATGGTGAAACACCACCTCTACTAAAAATACAAAAATTAGCCAGGCGTAGTGACAGGCGCCTGTAGTCCCAGCTACTTGGGAGAATCACTTGAACCCGGGAGGCAGAGGTTGCAGTGAGCCGAGATCACACCACTGCACTCCAGCCTGGGTGACAGAGTGAGACCGTCTCAAAAAAATAAGATAGAAGTAAGGACAAGATTACACAATTATATTTCAGTTATAATCTAGGCTTAGATTGTCAAATATCTAGTTGTAGAGCGAGCACTACCCTAAGCCTTTTACACATATTCCTTTAAAATTACTAGTAACATCAAAAAATTTTCCTGCAAGAATCTTATACACATGAAGACCTGGAGCCATCACTTAAAAATTAAAATTCCCCTACTTAATGGCTACTGGGACTAAGAAATTATTTCTGATTATTTCTCTCATTCTGTTAATATATAACACTTCCTAAAGCCATCTTACTCCAGCTTTAATTGGCCAATTTAACCTTGGCTATTCTACATGTCAACACCACATAAAAACCCTATAATTGTTTATCCAGCTTCTGCTGAATCCTCCTCCCTAGTAAAACAATTCCACACATCCATCAGGGGACAATAAAGAACATTCCCAAATAGCTTTATTTATTGTCTTGGATTATCACATAAGTTTTTAACCTCTCTGGGCTTCAGTCTTTATTCACGTAATCTTCATCCATAACTACATGCATTCATTTATTAACTCTTTCAAAAAATATTTACTGAACAACTACTGCCAACCAACAGTAGGCTCATAAAATTTACAATCTGGCCAGGCACAGTGGCTCACACCTGTAATCCCAGCACTTTGGGAGGCCAAGGCGGGTGGATCACCTGAAGTCAGGAGTTCGAGACCAGCCCGATCAAACCCCATCTCTACTAAAAATACAAGAATTAGCCAGGCGTGGTGGCGGGCACTTTAATCCCAGCTACTCAGGAGGCTGAGGCAGGAGGATCGCTCAAACCTGGGAGGTGGAGGTTGCAATAAGCCAAGATCCCGCCACTGTATTCCAGCCTGGGCAACAGAGCAAGACTCTGTCAAAAAAAAAAAAATTTACAATTTAAGTGCTATGTAAAATGAAACAAACTAGGCCAGGTGGCTCATGCCTGTAATCCCAGCACTTTGGGAAGACAAGGAAGGAGGAGCACTTGAGCCCAAGAGTTCAAGACCAGCCTGGGCAACATAGAAAGACCCTGTCTCTACACAAAAATTTAAAAAACTAGCCGAGCATCGTGGTGTGCACCTACGATCCCAGCTACTTGGGAGGCTGAGGTGAGAGGATCACTTGAGCCTGGGAGGTCAAGGCTGCAGTAATTTTTGTATTTTTAGTAGAGACAGGGTTTCACCATGTTGGCCAGGATGATCTCAATCTCCTGACCTTGTGATCTGCCCGACTTGGCCTCCCAAAGTGCTGGGATTACAGGTGTGAGCCACCACGCCCGACCTAAAAAATTTATATATATAAATATATATATAAAATATATATAAAAATATAAATATTTTAAAGACAGCTAGGCTGCTTTGATATTGTCCATTTAAGACCTAAAATTCCATAGTTATATAATATATAGCATATATTTTACTCCTTAATTATCAAAAAAGCAAAACACAAAAAAACTTGTCATTAATAAGAAATATAATATTTAGATCACACCTGAGCAAGGTCTTTTTTCAATCCTGGGAGGAAATTTCTAGTTCTATCACAATTTCCTGTCCTAACAATTAAAATCAATATCAAAGTTGAACAAACAATAAGCCACAAAATATGGGTCTCCTTTCAAATTATGAAAAGGCTGGAATTATTAAGTAGAACTAAACACCATAGAGTGGATGAAGTAAACTCATGTTTAAGGAATAGTTTTTAATATTCAGTTCTGTTCACTTGTCAGCTTTCTGTAACTTAGATTAGTTTAATTAATGTTAATTTTCCATACATTCCAAGATTTAGACTGTAATATAAGTTTATTGAATGCAGCACCAATGACAAAACTGTATTGCAACTCCATCACTAATTAGTTTAAAAATGTATTCTTCAACCACTCCTCTGAAATAACAATGAGTATCGTCATCCAATTCAGAACAACAAACATTCACATAAACAAGTAGGAACAGTCTTGTTTCCAGTTGCTTACAAGTTCCAGAGTCAAATTAATACACTCATGAAAACAATTACTTATATCGGAAAGCCCTAAAGCCACAAAGAACTAACTACCCATCAAAGCTTTACAGTCTTGATTACACAGGGGAATGCAGCTAGGCCGAGCAAACAGCCCAAAGCTGGGCCAGCTTCTCTCTCCTGCAAATTAGTAATGGTCTATGTTTTTCCTCTTCTCTGCCAAATCCTTGAAGAAGGAACACACTTCAAATACAAAAAGAGCCAATAAAAAGAACCCTAAAAATACCTTCTATTCCTGAGATCTAATCATTTCATTCATTTGTCTGACAAATATTTATTATGTACTCACTACTGCAGGCCCCAGGCTAACCCTATGCTGGACTGGGTTGCTGTCTTCAGTGGAGCTTAAGGTCTAGAGAGACAGACCAATATGAATCAAATAATATAGCCAGTGTGATAATTATGAAATAACAATAACCAAGTGCTAATAGTGAGATTTAAAGGAGAATCTTACCTAATATAAAAAGGCAAAGAACACCTCCTTGAGAAAGTGACGACTGTTTAGTCGTCTGAAGGATACTAAATATCTTAAATTTTTTCTCTGCACATTTGCATGGATAATTTTTCTGGTCACCAAATGACTATAGTTCCAAAATAGGATATTTCTGAATATGTAGTGGATATACTTCAAATGTAAGAAAAGCACTTATGCATTCCATTTGCCCTCCACTGTTACCATGAGAAAAGCACACCTTGGCTAGACCACTGGTCCTCCAAGAAAGATGAAACAAATGAAGAAGAGGCAGTCACCCTAGTCATTCCAACCAAGGCCATCCTAGATCAGCTAATAGCTGGCCAACCCTCGAGATCAGCAGAGCCTCCCAGCCAACTATCCTAGACATATGGCCAATAAACACTTACTATTATGTGCAACTGAGGTCTCTCAGTGATCTGAGATATAGTATTATGGCAATAGATAACTGATACACAAGATCAAAAAAAAAATTACCATCCCTGGTCAGGCGTGGTGGTGTATCCCTATAATCCCAGCACGTTGGGAGGCCAAGGCAGGCAAATCGCTTGAGCTCAGGAGTTCAAAACCAGCCTGGGCAACATGGCGAACCTTGACTTAAAAAAAAAAAATACCAAAGTTAGCCGGGTGTGGTGGCATGCACCTGTGGGTCCCAGCTACTCGGGAGGCTGAGGTGGGAGGATCACTTTTCTCTAGGAACTACTGGAGGATATGTTCTCCCAAGATAAGTGAGTAAACCAACAAAGATCCTGATGTGGGGATCCAGAGGTAAAAAATTTAATATAGGAAAAAAGAGGAAGGGAATTATTTGTTTTGGGGTTTTTTTTTGAGACTGGTCTCGCTCTGTCACCCAAGCTGAAGTACACTGGCATGATCACAGCTCACTGCAGCCTCAACCTCCCGGACTCAGGTGATCCTCCCATCTCAGCCTCTCAAGTAGCTGGAACCACAGGCACACGCCATCACACCTGGCTAATTTTTAAATTTTTTTTTGTAGAGATAGGGTTATGCCATGTTGCCCAGAATGGTCTGAAGTCCTGGACTCAAGCGATCACCTGTTTCAGCCTCCCAAAGTGCTGGGATTACAGGTGCGAGCCACCACACCTGGTGATGAAGGGAATTCTTAATTTGTGAAGGTAAGATTCAGGGCAACAGCAGTACAGAGCCAGCACAGGTTGGCAGTTCTAGGAGATGTGCTTCCGAAACAAGCTAAAGAACTGATGCATAACCTGATGTATTTACTTTAGAATTCCAGCAAAGTGTATGTGGATAAGCTGGTGATGTGAAGAAAAGTAAGCAAAGAAAAAGAGATTTATGAAGGATTCCAGGGAAGAAAAAAAAGCATGTGATCGCAATATGTTGATTGTATCATATGAACAATCTTTATGTAGTCATAATAATGTAAACACTGAACACATTGGTTTAAGATGAAAAGTTAGGGAACATTTCTCTAAGGAAGTGACATCTAAAGCACATCTTAAATCTGATAATTATAACAACAGGATAGAGGAAGAAAAGTATGAATGTGTGGTGTGGGGAGAGGGGAAATACAGAAAAGGAAAGTCCTTATCTTTCAGCGTAAGAGCCAACAAAGAAGATCTAAAACTGGGTTGGGCATGGCACCTCACACCTATAATCCCACCACTCTGGAGCCCAAGGCGGGCAGATCACTTGAGCCCAGGAGTTCGAGACCAGCTTGGATAACATGGCGAGACCCTGTCTCTACAAAAGATACAAAAATTAGCCAGGTGTAGTGGTATGCGCCTGTAGTCCAGCTACTCAGGAGGCTAAGGTGGGAGGATCACCTAAGCCAGGAAGTTGAGGCTGCAGTGAGCTATGAAAAAAAAAAAAACCCACTAAAACTGAAATAAAATAGATAGCAATTTAACTAAAAGTTTAGAAATATCAAGTTTAATGGTATGAGAAAGAGATGAGGCTGGACGCAGTGGCTCACACCTGTAATCCCAGCACTCTGGGAGGCCGAGGTGGGCAGATCACTTGAGGTCAGGAGTTCTGAGACCAGCCTGGCCAACATGGCGTCTGAGACCAGCCTGCCAACATGGCGAAACACTTGTCTCTACTAAAAAATACAAAACTTAGCTGGGCTTGGTGGCACGTGCCTGTAATCCCAGCTACTTGGGAGGTTGAGGCAGGAGAATGGCTTGAACCCAGGAGGCAGAGATTGCAGTGAGCCGAGATCACCCCGCCGCACTCCAGGCTGGGTGATCCAGCAAGAATATGTCTCAAAAAAAAAAATAAAAAGAAAAGAAAGAGATGGAAGAGAACAAAGTAGTTAACTTTGGAGAGTAGGAATTAGAATGAGATAAGGAGTTGCTATTTTAAGCCCTGTGTCTTTTTCAGCTATGTTTTAATAAAAATTAAAATTAAGTAATTTTTATCAATTTTTAACCTCATTTGTCTTATTCTCCCCAAATTCTATTTTCATCCATTATGTCTATTACAACTATTTGTTTTATGTATTCATTTACTCACTCAACTATTTATTGGGCAACTATTAATGTCTACTGTTCTAGAGGATAATGGATACAACAATTAACAAAAAAACAAAGTCCCTGGTGGGTGGCGGGGAGACAAATGTTACACATATTAAACATAGACATGCTCAGTAGTAAGTAGTACGAGGAAAAATAATGCAAAATAAAGGGACAGAGATGAAAAGAATAGGCTATTTTACATATGTTAGTGACCTGTGAGCAGACATCTGAATTTAAGCAGGTAACATAGCTAGGTGGTATAACAAATGAGGTAGTGGGGGCAGCTAGCACAAAGGCCTGAAGATACGTGTGCTTAGCATGTTCAAAGAGAAGTAGGAAGACAAGTGATATGCCACTGTAAGAATTTCAGCTATTATTGAGTGAGTTGATAAACCACTGACAAGCTTTCAAACAACAAATAATAGGATTTAACAAATATTTTAAAAGATCACTCGCTGGGGTACAACCATTTTGGAAAATTATTTGGTAATACAAAGCCCGAACCCACACATACCTCATGAACCACAGATCCTACTCCTAGGTATATACCCAACATAAACACATACATATATTTGCCAAAAGACTCGTACTAGAATGTCCAAGCAGCATGATTCAAAATAGCCTAAAGCCGGGAACTATCTGAATGCCCATTAGCAGAATGGAAGAATGGATAAATAAATCGTGGTATATTAACACAATGTGATAGCACACAGCAATGAGAAGAAACCATTTACAATTTCATAAAACATCATGGATGATTCACACACACATAAGGCTGCATAAAAGAAGCCAGACTCAATACAGTACATATTGTACGATTCCATTTATTATAGATAAAGTACAAAAACAACAAAACTGACCTATGTTCTACAAGTCAAGGTGATGATTACCCTTGGGACAGGGACTGGAAGGCAGCATGAGTTGCTGGTCACATTCCGTTTCTTGCTCTGGGCGCTGGTCACACACAGGTATGACCAGTTTGCGAAAATTCACTGCAAACTCATAACATGTGCATTTTTGTGTGTGCTTATAAACATCAGTAAAGTTTTTTGTTTGAAAGATCACTGACTGCTGTGTGGAAAATAATTATAAGGAGGCAAAGATAAAACAGCAAGGAGACCAGCAAGGAGGCTAATGGTACAGCCATAATATGCTATAAAATGACAGGGGCTTGGGTGGTAGAGGTAGAGATGGTATGGAGTGGCCACATTCTGGAAATATTCTGAAGCTAGAGTCAGTAAGATTTCCTAACAGATTACACCTAAGGTTAAGAGAATCGAAGTCATAAAGGATAACATTCAGATTTTACCCTGACAACTGGAAAGACAGGACGGCCATTAATTAAAATAAGGATGATGGCAGCAAGTATAGATTTGCAGAGGGCGGGGAGAAGAGGAAAAAAAAAATCGAGTCCAGTTTTGAAAATCGTATGTTTGAGATGGCTCTAAGTGGAGCTTAAAAAAAAAAAAAAAAGTCCAGGCATGGTGGCTTACGTCCGTCATCCCAGCACTTTGGGAGGCCGAGGCGGGTGGATCACGAGGTCAGGAGTTTGAGACCAGCCTGGCCAACATGGTGAAACGCTGTCTCTACTAAAAATACAAAAAGTTAGCCAGGCGTGGTGGTGCATGCCTGTAATCCCAGCTACTTGGGAAGCTGAGGCAGGAGAATCGCTTGAACCCAGGAGGTGGAGGTTGTGGTGAGCAGAGATCACACCATTGCACTCCAGCCTGGGCAACAGAGCAAGACTCTGTCTCGACGACAACAACAACAAAATAGGTCCCAGGAGGAACTCAAAGACCAAGGAATGGTCTGGAGATTCTGTCTAACAGCATCATTCATCATTCCTCCTGTTCACCTACTTTCCTCACTTCCTCTTTTAAAAACAAAAAAAAGTAGACAGAGTCTCGCTCTTGGCTTACTGCAACCTCCGCCTCCAGAGTTCAAGTGATTCTCCTGCCTCAGCCACCCCAGTAGCTGGGACTACAGGTTTGTGCCACCACACTCGGCTAATTTTTGCATTTTTAGTAGAGACAGAATTTCATTATGTTGGTCAGGCTGGTCTTGAACTCCTGACCTCAGGTGATCCACCCACCTTGGCCTCCCAAAGTGCTGGGATTATAGGCATGAGCCACTGCGCCCAGCCAATAACACAATTTTTAAAAATTTTTTCACAAGGAAACTTAAGGATCCTTAGAGTATGTCCTCAAATCATAAGGGAACTACAATTTGAGAAACAAACTATTCCCAGTTGAAATACAGGTTGAGTATCCCAAATCCAAAATCTGAAATACTCCAAAATCCAAAACTTTTTGAGCACTGACATGATGCTCAGAAGAAATGTTCACTGGAGCATTTCAGATTTTGGATTTTTGGATTTCAGATGCTCAGCCAGTAAACATAATGCAAATATACCAAAACCTTTAAAAAAAAATCCAAAATGCTTGTTCCCAAACATACATACAAGGAATACGCAACCTGTACAAACATCCATGAGAGTAAATAATAAGAGCTTGTCACAATTGGGCCATCAGATGCTTTCCACTCTGCAGTCAGATGGGAATAGCTCTTTAGGACAATCAGTTTTACAGATGTTAATGTCTTTTCTAAAACTCTTTTTATTATGGGAAGAATAATACTGTGAGCCTCCCTGTACCCAATACCCAACTTGACCAATTATCAGCACATAAAGGTAAAGTGTTAATAGTCAAGCTGCATGATGTTAACAGCAATATCTCAGAAATGCCAAAACAAGGAAGTAGCATAAATGAAAGAAAGGTAAAGGGGTTCCTGTTTATTCATTCAACAAACATTTATTAAACCCTTAACGTACATCCAACCCTGAGAGTCCAAACATGGTCCTTGTCTTCCTGAAGCTCAGAGAGTTTGAAAACAACCAATTAGAAAGTAGTGGACAGGGCAAGCGCAGTGGCTCACGCCTGTAATCCCAGCACTTTGGGAGGCCAAGGTGGACAAATCACTTCAGGTCAGGAGTTCAAGACCAGCCTGGTCAACATGGTAAAACCCTGTCTCTACTAAAAATACAAAAAAAAAAAAAAAAAAAAAAAAAAAATTACCTGGGCGTGTGGCGCACACCTGTAATTCCAGCTACTCATGAGGGTGAGGCAAGGGAACTGCTTGAACCCAGAAGGCGGAGGTTGCAGTAAGCTGCAATCTAAGCTGCAATCACACCCCTGCACTCCAGCCTGGGTGACAGAGCAAGATTCCATCTCAAAAAAAAAAAAAAAAAAAAAAAAAAGGCAAGAATTGGAACTGATACTGTAACAGACATAATGTTACACAGTACCAAGGTGGGCACCTAACCCAGCCTTGAGGGTTCAGAGAACCCTGAAACAAAGGATAATTCAGAATCTGCCTAGGGCTTCAATTCTGCACTACTCTACTAAATTCTTCTTTCATTAATCATAAAATGTTATTCACTTTGCTTTCTCTTCTAAATTCCACTCTCCCTCCAAAGATTTTGTAAATTTGACAGAAAATTAGCACAAGCATGCATGTTTTAGTGTATTTTAGGCTCACATTGCTTTCAGATCTTCTCAGCTTCTAAGCCCCTCAGCTGCTCAATGACTTTATACACACCAATATTATTTTCATTAATCACTCTCTTCCAAGTATCTCTTTCAAACCATCAAGGTTTCTCAATTGAAAGAACCAGTGAGGTTCTTTTAAGACAAGGAAGTAGAATTTCACTTAAGACTGAAAGCAAGCCGTAGTGCCACTGAGTCTCTTCTCCCCTATGGTGAAAACTTATTTCAAACTGCTGACTTCGTTGTAATTATGATCCTCAAAGCTGGGGCCAAATTCCAGAGGGGCCAATTATAATACACCTAAGTTTTCTCATAGTTTTAATTGGCTATGCTTCTGTTACTCCATAACCCTAAACTACTGCCAAGCATATATTACAAGGTCATTTACCAAAGAATTTTACAATTGGAAGGAGGCCTTAGAGATCAATCACTTAGTGTTGTGGTTTGCAGACTATGTTCCAGAGGAGTGCTTCACAGGTCCTGCCAACACAGACACAAGTTTTGACATACTTGGCAATTTGTTAATTTGGGCTTATGAAGACCTTGGCATAAAGTTCCTCCTGCCCTCTCAGTGTACATACATGTATTTGCAGGTTCTTACCACTGTATCACTGATGAGAAAAGGCTGTTTAACTCTGTGGAGGTTTGTTTTTTTTTTTTTTTTTTTCTAATTCCATCCCACAGAATCCACTCAGGTAAACTTGCTAGAGCAAATTCACCATCCAGTTCACTGTCACCACTCTGCTTAATTCAATGCTAAGGCTGAAGTACATCTGCTGGCTAAGTGATTACTGTCAGTTGCAAAATAATAAATTTGATAACATGTTATGTCATGATAGTATATTATGAGTGCCAATTTAAATTTTGAGTGTTTCTTGCCTTTTCCATTTATAATGAGGAAAAGTGAACACTTGTTAGTGATTCAACATTTTTATATCCTCTAAAACACAGCTGCCAAATGATTGTTCAACCTCCTACAAACAGGAAGTTTACCATCTTCTACTCCATCATTAAACAGCTCTCACTGCAAATTAGTCTTTAAATTGAGCCATGTCTTTCTATCTGTGGCTTCCATCCACTGGCCTTAGTTCTATTCCCTAGAACCACAAGGTACAAATCCTCTTCCTTTACATATCCTGATGGCTAATTATGGGCTTCCCATGCCCCAAGTTCTCATGTCTCCAAAGCAGATCTTTCTTCAATTGTTCTTCTGTATGTGGCTTCTAATTTCAAAATGTGTGCCCCAGAATTGACCAAGACTTGATAGTTGTGTCCACCCCAATACAGAATAAAATAGGATTCATGGGCATGCTGGCTCATACCTATAATCCCAGCACTTTGGGAGGCCAAGGCGGGAGGACTGCTTGAGCCCAGGAGTTCAAGACCAGCCTGGGCTCGATGGTGAGACCCTGCCTGTATGAAAAAAATTTTAAAAGTTGGCCAGGCACAGTAGTGTGTACCCACAGTCCCAGCTACTGGCAGGGCTGAAGTGAGCTGTGATCATACCACTGCACTCCAGCCTGGGCTACAGGGCAAGACCCTGTCTCAAAAAAAAAAATAAATAGGATTATCATCTCCCCCAATTCTAGATATTCTTTTTTTCTTTCAATAATGCATCTGAGATTTTATTTTTGTTGTTGCCACATCTCACTACGGACTCACATTTGGCCCTCCGCAGATGTCCTTAAGTGCTACTCCTAAGCCACAAACCCCTCAACATCATCCTGTGCTTACTTATGCAACTAGCTTTATGGTCAAAATAGGATCTACATTCGTCCAGTCAAACTTCATCTTATAACTAGTTCATCATCTTAGTTTGACAAAAACATGACTGAGTTCAAATTTGGACATGTACATGCCCCATCTTAGAGCTGTTGTTTTTTGTGCTTTTCCCTCTCTTATGTTTAGGGTAAAAGACTGATCAGGTGATCTACCTGTGGGGCCACACATACTACACCCCACACATCCCCTCCCACACCTCCATCTGAAGTGAAGAAGAGAATTTCAAATACAAAGCCAAAGCCAAAATCAAAAATAGGAAAAGGAGAGGAAACTGTATTACCTAGTTCCCAAGGACGTCAATGCCTTTCTTAAAACCCCAGAGTTCCAAAAAAACTTCCCTGTTCTTTGTCAATAGTTATCTTTCACCCCTGTTATACCAGCAGCAATTGCATGGAGATGGATGAATGACAGAAGCTGAGCAGAAAGGATAGGTGGGTTTCAAACAGCCAGAGGTCTGGGGAGAGGGTAGGGAGCAATCCCGCATAAGGATTCAATAAGTAAATACAAGATGATGTTGTTTTAAAAAAGGGGGGGGGGGAATACATGAAAAGATGCTGTTAGCTTATCAATGCAAAATTGGAGTATGTGAAGAATAAAAGGTTGAAGAGGTAAATATTTCATTCAAAGGGTCTAAAATGAAATATTAAAATGTTTGAACTTTCTGTTACAGTTGTTTCTTATTAAAAGTCACTGCATAAGGCCAGGCACAGTGGCTCATGCCTGTAATCCCAGTACTCTGGGAAGCCAAGGTGGGTGGATCTCTTGAGCCCAGGAGTTTAAGACCAGCCTGGGGGCACAACATAGTAAGACCTTGTCTCTACCAAAAAAAAAAAAAACACACACACACACACAGAAAATTAGCACAAGCATGCATGTTTTAGTGTATTTTAGGCTCACATTGCACACATTAGCTGAGTGTGGTGGCATTTGCCTGTAGTAGTTCCAGCTACTCTGGAGGCTGAGAAGTAGGAGATCACTTGAGCCTGGGAGGCTGAGGCTCCAATGAGCCATAATTGCACCACTGTATTCCAGTCTGGGCAACAGAGCGAGACCCTAGCTCAAAAAAAAAAAGTTATTGCATATAGCAGTGATTTAATCAGAATCATGGTCTGGGAAGATTAATCTGGCAGCAGTATATAAAACTTAATTAGAAGGAAAGAAACACTAGAAGAGAAGAGACCACTCAGGAACATGAAGGCCAGTATGGAAAAAAAAAAACCGTACTGATGTACTTTAGATACAAAAATGAAAGATAAAAAATTATCCAACTTCTCCAAGTTGACTAAGATGAACCATTATACTACAAAATTTAAAATGCTGCCAAATAAACTATGTCATGCTGTCATCCCAGTTTCATGGATGTTAAAACGTGGGGAAAAAAAGTGCATCTTTCAACCAATGAAATATAGCCAATAGCTTGTGGTTTAACACAATTGTCAAGATAAAGAAACTTGATTGTACAGTTACAGTGCACAGCAAAGGGTACAATGTACAGCAGTTTCTCTCCTTATCAGTTGCATGAATTCTCTCCTTACTAATTCTCCAAGTGTGTCACAGGAACTCAATGAATGTTAAGTAAAAGGAACCAAGCAGCACCACCCCCTTCACACTCTCAAAGAAAAAAACACAACTCAACTGGAAAGAGGCAATGAAATCTGTTTTACATACTGTGATTTTTTAACTAGGGTTTCACATCAGAATCAGGGAGCTTTTTTTATTTTGAGACAGTCTCGCTCTGTCTCCCAGGCTGGAGTGCAGAGGCGCGATCTCAGCTCACTGCAAGCTCCGCCGCCCGGGTTCACGCCTTCTCCTGCCTCAGCCTCCCGAGTAGCTGGGACTACAGGCGCCCGCCACCACGCCCGTCTAATTTTTTTGTATTTTTAGTAGAGACAGGGTTTCACCATGTTAGCCAGGATGGTCTTGATCTCCTGACCTCGTGATTCGCCTGCCTCGGCCTCCCAAAGTGCTGGGATTACAGGTATGAGCCACCGTGCCTGGCCAGGAAGCTTCTTCCTCTCTCCAAAACAAAACAAACCAAACTCCACAGATTTGGACCCCACATTTTATCTACGAAGAAAGAATATCTTAGTTGGAAATCACAGCATATATGCTGAAAAAAATTCCCCTAAATTATTCTGATGCAGTCATGATTAGGAATCACTGAATTAAGATAGTTACACTTAGAATATTAAAACATGGAAACACGTTGCAAGCATACCTCCAAATCCAAGAGCTATAAATGTTTGACAGATCTGACAACATACAAAACTAAGACTTCTGTAAGGAAAAACGCCACCATAAATAAGAAACGATCAATTGTAAGAAATATTTGCAAATTAAGAGTTAGGGTTTATAATATATAAAGATCTGCAACCAATTAAAAGACACAAACAACCCAAAGAAAAATAAGCAATAGATAATTCATAGAAGTACAAGTGGCTAAAATAAGGAAAATGTTCAGTCTCACTGAAGAAGTGCAAGTTATGACAATGAGCTATTTTTCACTTACCAAATAGGCCAAAAAAAGAAAAATATGTTAAAGATGAATATAACCAGTGTTAGTAAGGCCAACTGAAACACACGGACATTACTTACATAAGCAAAAACCTTAAACTTCATCAACAGTTAAGTAGATTATGGTAGAGTCATACAAAAAAAGGCCATGCAGCTGCTAAAATGAAGACAGCAAATCTACAGGTATGCACAGCCACCATACCCTGGGCCAAGTTCTGAAAAACCTTCATTTTAAAACAAAATGTACACTGCAGTTTCATTTCTGAAAAAAACAGCCACAAAACCCAACTGGCTATGTTTATATCTGCATAGAAAAAGGTATAAAAGGAAATAAATTCCTAATAATGGCGACAAGTAAGAGTAGAATGAGGGGGTAAGTGACTTCCTATACCTCTGTATTATCTTAAATTTTATAATGGGCACTTAAAAAAACCAATAAACAAAATTATCTATGTTACACAGCATCACTTTCCAAACACAAATAGTTAACGTGATACCTTCATCTACAAAAGCACCATTCTTTCCCCTTTGTTTACTGGGTGACTTTCTTAAAAGGTCCCAGAGACTTTTTTTTTTTTCTTTTTTTTTTTTTTAGGGACGAGGTCTCTAAGTCACCATAGTGTTTGCAGAAAAAAAAAAAGGATGGGGTCTCACTCTGTCACCCAGGCTGGATTGTGTAAATGGCACAATCATAGCTCACTGCAGCCTTGAACTCCTGGGCTCAAGGGATCCTCCCACCTCAGCCTACTGAGTAACCAGGACTAGAGGCAAGTGCCACCAGGACCAGCTAATTTTTAGATTTTTTTTTTTTTTGTAGAGACAGGGTCTCACCATCTTGTCCAGGCTGGTCTCAAACTCCTGGGCTCACATGATTATCCTACCTTGGCCTCCCAAAGTGTTGGGATTATAGGCATGAGCCACCACACCAAGCCCCAGAGACTAACTTTAACTAGAGTCACCAAGCCAGGAAAGAACACATTACAAAACAGGAATCTTTCAATAAGTCTCTTCCCTTCCAGGGTGACACTTGAGAAATGAATTCAGGTTTCCCAGTAACAACAAACTGGAGAACCAACACAAGAACTGAACCAATGCCTGAAGAAGGGGGGTGAACTGGCCCAGGGAGGAAACAGAGCAGGTCAAAATTCCCATGCTGATCAGTACTGGTACTGTGCCTGTGAACAGCCACTCTACTTCAGCCTGGGCAACATTGTGAGACCCTATCTCTAAAAAAGGAACTGAACCAAAAGGACAAGTCAATAGCAAATTTTTTTCTGAGAATAGGCAACATCTGGAATGGGTGAGAGCCAGGGTGGGCAAACTTTCTGTAAAGAGCCAGGCAGTAAGTATTTTAGGCTACGCAGGCTGTACAGTCTCTACTGAAACTACCCTACTCTTGCCCTTATAGCACAAAAGCAGACATGGGTAACACATAAATGAATAGGCATGGCTGTATTCCAATCAAAATTTATTTATGACACTGAAATTTGAATTTCATGTAATTTTCACATATCACAATTATTTTCAAGACAGCATTTCATGCTGTTGCCCAGACTGGAGTGCAGGGGCACAATCATGGCTACTGCAGCCTCAAACTCCTCAGCTCAAACAATCCTCCCACCTCAACCTCCCAAGTAGCTGGGACCATAAGTATGCACCACCACACCTGGCTAAAATAGTATTCTTTTACTTTCGACCATTTAAAAATAAAATTCTTTACTCCTGGGGCATACAAAAGCAGGTGGCAGGCCACAGGTAGTTTATATCAGAGGATAATTTTACAAATCTCAAAAAGAAAGAGTAAAAATAAGTAAGCAAAGAGTCTCTAATAAAATAGTGTCTGGATTCTTCACATACAAAAATTCTTTCAAGAGCTTTAGAAAAAAATACAGTTAATAAGGCAGGCACGGTGGCTCATACCTGTAATCCCAGCACTTTGGGAGGCCGAGGTGGGCGGATCACCTGAGGTCAGGAGCTTGAGACCAGCCTGACCAACATGGAGAAACCCCGTCTCCACTAAAAATACAAAATTAGCCAGGCGTGGTGGTGCACGCCTGTAATCCCAGCTACTCGGGAGGCTGAGGCAGGAGAATCACTTGAACCCAGAGGCAGAGGTTGCGGTGAGCTGAGATCGCAACACTGCACTCCAGCCTGGGCAACAAAGAGCAAAACTCCGCCTCAAGAAAACAAACAAAACAGTGAACCACAACACCAATTGCCGCTATTATAGAGTAGTGTTTTCTGAAATAGCCGAAATAATTTACAATATTAAAAGACTGCCAGTCGGTGGAGAAATACAAAGCAAAACTACAACTAAGATAGCACTACTGGCTGGGCATGGTGGCTCACGCCTGTAATCCCAGCACTTTGGGAGGCCGAGGCGGGCAAATCACAAGGTCACGAGTTCGAGACCAGCCTGGCCAACATGGTGAAACCCCGTCCCTACTAAAAATACAAAAATTAGCTAGGCGTGGTGGCAGGCACCTGTAATTCTAGCTACTCGGGAGGCTGAGGCAGGAGAATCGTTTGAACCCCAGAGGCGGAGATTTCAGTGAGTTGAGATTGCCCCATTGCACTCCAACCTGGGCGACAGGGCGAGACTCCGCCTCAAAAAAAAGCACTACTAGGCGCAGTGCAGTGGCTCATGCCTGTAGTCCCAGCACTTTGGGAGGCTGAGGTGGGCATATCACTTGAGCCCAGGAGTTCAAAACTAGCCTGGACAACATGGCAAATCCCTGTCTCTACAAAAAATAGAAAAAATTAGCCAGGCATGGTGGTGCACACCTGTAATCCCAGCTACTCGGAAAGTTTAAGTGGGAGGATTACTTGAGCCCAGGAGGTGGAGACTGCAGTAAGCCAAGATCATTCCACTGCATTCTAGCCTGGGTGACAGAGTGAGACCCTGTCTCAAAAAAAAAAAAAAAAAAAAAGACAGCACTGGCTGGGCACAAGTGGCTCATGCCTGTAACCCCAGCACTTTGAGAAGCCAAGGCAAGAATATTGCTTGAGCCCAGGAGTTTGAGACCAGACTAGGCAACATAGTCAGATGCTGTCTCTACAAAAAAATTAGCCTGGCATGGTGGCGTGCACCTGTATGTAGTCCCAGCTACTCAGTGCAATGAGGCGGAAGGATCACTTGAGCCACAGAGGTCAAGGTTGCAATGAGCTATAATCGCACCACTGACCAGCCTGAGGCAGAGCAAGACCCTGTCTCAAAGAAAAAAAAAAAAAAGCACTACACTCCCAGTAGCATGGTTATAACTCACATGCCAAGTGTTGACAAAGATGTGGAAAATAACCAGGTTGGGTGGCTCACATCTGTAATCCCAGCACTTTGGGAGGCCAAGGCGGGCAGATCACAAGGTTAGGAGTTCGAGACAAGCCTGGTCAATATGGTGAAACCCTGTCTCTACTAAAAATACAAAAATTAGCCGGGCTTGGTGCTGGGCACCTGTAGTCCCAGCTACTTGGGAGGCTAAGGCAGGAGAATCACTTGAACCCAGGAGGCAGAGGTTACAGTCAGCCGAGATTGCGCCATTGCACTCCAGCCTAGGTGACAGAGCCAGACTCCGTCTCAAACAAAAACAAAACAAAACAACAACAACAACAACAACAAAAAGATGTGGAAAAACCAAAACCCTCAGACATTGCTGGTTGTAAAATGGTACATACAGCCAAGTTGGAGAACAGTTTGGCAGCTTCTTGAAAAGTAAAATATATATATATTCTTACTATATGACCCAGAAACTTCACTCTTAAGTATCTCCACAAGAGAAATGAAAACATGTCCACACAAAGACTTCATGCAAGTGCCCACAGGGAATTATTATTTTGAGACAGAGTCTCACTGTGTCGCTCAGGCTGGAGCACAGTGACACAATCTCAGCTCATTGCCACCTCCGCCTCCCAGGTTCAAGCGATTCTCCTGCCTCAGCCTCCCACGTAGCTGGGATTACAGGCACTTGCCACCATGCCTGGCTAACTTTGTATTTTTAGTAGAGACGGGGTTTCACCATGTTGGCCAGTCTGGGCAGGAACTCCTGACCTCAGGTGATCCGCCCGCCTCGGCCCCCCAAAGTGCTGGGATTACAGGCATGAGCTCCCGCGCCCAGCCTTGGAGCGTTATTAATAACAGCCTAAACCTGGACACAATACAAATGCCCATCAACTAGCAAATGGGTAACAGAATGTGGTATATCCATGCAATCAAATACAATTAATCGGCATAAAGGAACAAACAACTTATACATGCTACACCATGGCTGAGCCTCAAAAACATTTTGCTAAGTGAAAGTAGCCAAACAAAAAAGACTACCTATGATTCCTTTTATAGGAAATTTCTAGAAAAGTCAAATCTATAGAGACAGAAAGCATAACAGTGTTTGCCAGAGGCTGGAGATGAAAGCAGGGATTGACCCAGAAGAAAGGAAACTTCCAGGGACAAAGCAGTGTTCTAAAACTGGGTTGAGGTGGCAATTCCCAACTCTATAAATTTACTTTTACAAATCACTGGATTGTATGCTTACATGGGTGGGTTTTATGGTATGTAAATTATACCTCAATAAAACCAGTTTAGGAGGAGAAAGGAGGCCAGGCACAGTGGCTCCCACCTATAATCCCAGCTACTCAGGAGGCTGAGGTGGGAGGACTGTTTGTGGCCAGGAGTTCAAGACCATCCTGGGCAACACAGCAAGACCCCTATCTCTAAAAGAAATTTTTTAAAAAACGTAGCGAAGTATGTTGGCATGCACCTGTAATCCCAGATACTGGGGAGGCTGACATGGGAGGATCCTCTGAGCCCAGAAATTCGAGGCTAAAGTGAGCTGGATCACACCAGACCCCAGGTAGCCCCATGGACCTACCAGATTGCTCATAGCTCTCTGCATTCTTCCAGACACTTCCATGATTCTGTGCCTTAATTAAGTACCTCCTCCTAGAAACTTCATTTATATCCTGCCCCACTCCTCATCCCACCTCACTCCCAAGGAGACTGCATATTTTCAATCTTCCCTGAGCTTTGCACTCAGCACATGTATCTTCGTCTCCTTTATTCCCACCTCCTAATTCCATGACAATTCCTTGAGGAAAGGACCATGTTATTAATCTATTTTATATTACATCCTACATATAGCAGGCACTAAATAAATATTTGTAATACCAAGCTACAAAATCTACAGGGAATAGGCACCATTTAAACAAGATCCTTTTAGGTTGGGATGGAGTCCACGCTCTGTTGCCCAGGCTGGAGTGCAATGGTGCGATCTCGACTCACTGCAGCCTCCGTCTCCCAGGTTCAAGCAATTCTCCTGCCTAAGCCTCCTGAGTAGCTAGGATTACAGGTGCCTGCCACCCAGCCCGGCTGTTTTGTATATTTAGTAGAGATGGGGTTTCGCCATGTTGGCCAGGCTGGCCTCAAACTCCTGACCTCAGATGTCTGCCCACCTCAGCCTCCCAAAGTGCTGGGATTACAGGCATGAGCCACACGCCAGGCCAACAAGATCCTTTTTTACATTAGCATGAACAGTGGCAAAAATCTAAACTTTTAAAATTCATACTAACCCACCTTTCACTCCTCCTCCATCCATCAAACCATTATCTAAATCCCTTCCAATTTCAGAAAACAGTTCTAGTTTATTTATTCCAGTTTATTTATTCCAGATTTTTCCAGTTTAATCATACAAGTACAGAAATCACGTTCAATGCTGAGCACAAGCAAATTTGACAACTGAATATAAAATCTGCAAGTGGAAAAGACAGTGGAACTTAACCAGACATAAGGAAATACAGCTCCTTATACTTCAACTAAACCCAAATTTCAACCAGCATAAAATTCCAAGAGAAGGAAAGGCTTTCTGGCAAAAATCTTGGTTAAGATGAAGACTCAGCTGTGACAAAGACCCTATTTTTTTTTTCCCCTGAAGAACTGTTTAGTCCTGACCATTTTTACCTGAAACAGAAAACACAGAGACCTTGAAGCTTAAAAAAGTCTAGCAAGTCTACAACTTCAAGTGGTTGGCATTTAGCTTGTGCTACTTCTTAAATAAGTGACTTAGGAAAATTATCTGCTTTTATTTTCAGAGATGGTAGGACAAAGCAATTTATTTTTAAAATCACAATTTGCGTCAGATGGAATTTAACCCTCCTACAAATGATTTACAGAGATAGAGTAGACAAAGGCCAAACACTGATAAGGATAAAGACGCTGACTCAAGACTTTAGAAAAACAAGCATGAAAACAGTAAAGCAGACACTACAGGGAATTAAAAGCCATCTACTGGCAATCTTCAATGAAGAAATCACTGAGATTTTAGTGAGTTCAATTTTGAGTAGAACAGCAAGTATTAACTATTGAGATAGTCTGAGCTGATTACTCCCCTGGAAGGAGGCGCACAACGACAGCCGGGGAAAAACTGATTTCCTACTTCTCGTCTTTGACTCAGACTTTCAAATAATCCCCCGTCTATATCAAACAGCTGTGATTTTAGGAACTATAAGCCAGCCCAATTTAAGAGGTTCACCCTCAAGAGGAAAAAGAAAGAATACTGAGATCATTTTAAACTGTTCATTGTTAACTGCTGATCCTTCAAACAAGTCAAGACAGAGCAGGGAAGAAGCATTATTTATAGAGAGCTGTGTGTCAGGTGCTTCATATATGTCTTGGTCAGTTTGTACTGCTATAGCAGAATACCACAGAATGGGTAATTTGTAAAGAAGAGAAATTTATTTCTCACAGTTCTGGAGGCTGGGAAGTCTAAGATCAAGGCGCGGGCAGGCTGAGTGTCTGGTGAGGGGCACGGTCTCTGCCTCCAAGATGGCGCCTTGCATCCTCTGGAGGGGAGGAACGCTGTGTCTTCACACCGCAGAGGGCAGAAGAGTAGGAGGGCCAAGTGCTGAGTGAAGCCTCTTTTATGAGGGCTTCAATCACTTTCATGAGGGAGAAGCCCTCATGGCCTTAACTCCCTCTTAAAGGCAACCCCCTCGCTTAACACTATCACGTTAGCCATTAAGTTTCAACAGGTTAATTTTGGAGGGGATCCACTCAAATCAAAGCAACATATAGTATTTCATTTAATCCTAACAAGAATCCTAGGAGGTGTTTTAAAGATGAGAAGACCAAGGAATAGAAAGACAAAGTAAAACTTACCAAGGCCCAAAGCTACCAAGTAGCAGAGCCCAAGTTTATGTCTTCTCTGCTGTATCACAGCACCTCCTAGGCTGAGTAGGTGGTCCAGGTAACTAGCTCTGCCAACTGATTAAATACAGGACACCTGATGCCAAGACTAGGCTCCCAATTTGCCCATTAAGAATATCTAGCCAGGCGCAGTGGCTCATGAGTGTGACCCCAGCTCTTTCGGAGGCCGAAGCGGGTGAATCACTTAAGGTCAGGAGTTTAAGATCAGCCTGGCCAACACAGTGAAACCCTGTCTCCACTAAAAATACAAAAATAAGCTAGATGTGGTGGCACACACCTGTAGTCCCAGCTACTCGGGAGCCTGAGACAGGAGAATCACTTGAACCTGGGAGGTGGAGGCTGCAGTGAGCCGAGATGGTGCCACTGCACTCCAGCCTGGGTGACTCAGCAAGACTCCATCTCAAAGAAAAAAAAAAAAAGAATATCTAATTAGCCCAATTAACTATTTCTACAAGTAATTTTTAATATTACTTTATGTTATGCATAAAATTACATTTCATTAAAGTTGGTAGACTGCAGACTCTGAGTGTAGACTTAATATTTGTAGACTATTTTTTGAAAACCATTAAGGCACTCTAAAGTCCATTACTTGCCTAAGGGATTGATATACAAACATTTGCCTCTTAATTTCTCATAAAGTAAAATAAAGTGTGAAAGCAAGGGACCATTTGTTTCTCTTTTTTTCAGTCCATCAGAACAATGCACATCTGTTTAATTTCTAAAAGAAAACTCAGAAAACACGATTCCTTAACGAGAAATAACTGCTCCTCTGAATTTCCACATACATTGTGCCTGTCCCTTTGGGCACTTATCACCTCAAGTTTGTATTAAAAACTATTTCTGTGCATGCTTTATCTTCTCTACCAGACTTTAAGCAACTTCAATATGCCCCACGGCATCTAGCAGAGCAGATGCTGAATACACGATTAAATGAAGAAAATTATTTTTTTACCCTCACTTCTGCCATATAGATGCTCAGAATCAATGTGTTTAATAAAAAAAAAGAAAGAAAAATAAAAACTGTTTACAATAATAATGAGATTCTCCGGGAACAATCAGCCTTGAATCAAAGTTGATTTCTGTCATCAGGTTCTAATTAAGAACGGCAGATAAAGCAGATGGAGAACAGCTTTAATCTTCATGCTAAGTTGATACTACTCTGGTGAAAACACAGAAAAATTGTTTGGACAAGCCAACTGAACAAACATGATATTGGGTGTCTGGAGGAAAGTCATTCTTAAAGAGTCTTCTTTCCACTAGATGGCTATCTGAACTTTTACTGAGAGAGTCAGTCAAAGGGCAAGGCATCACTTAATGTGACTGTGCGTTCCAGTTAGGCCAAGGAAAGGGGGTGGTGGTGAAGGGGAAGAAGTCAAGGACAGGGAAGTTTGTCCTTTTTCCATTTTTAAAAGGTTTCTCTTTTTGGAACTACTTACTTAGTCCTCTTCCCATTTTACTTACTCATATCACTTATTAAGTACTGCAGAAGTGTTTTCCTAGAATTGATGAAATTGTGCCAAAGTTCTCATCAAAGAAGTTTAGAGTTCGCTTAAACTGATTGGCCATATGATTTCAGATGCAAGCTCTCAGGACTTAATTTTGCCCATCTAAATGTGAAAATGTACCTACACATAATGTGTCATTTTAAAAAATGAATGGCTCCTAGTAATAGTTTTTCCATTAAGTACAATATGTTGTGATCCATACAGTAAAACTCCAGCCATTTGAAGTGAACTACCATGGCCATTTGTTTAAAATCATTATTTTACACTAATGTTTATTCACTTCTTTCTGATTATAGGATAAATGCTCACGGAAGAAATTTTGGAAAAATCTGAAAGCACATTTTGTTTCTCCTTAGTCTTTTAAAAATTATTCTATGCAAAGATATTGATGGTAAAATAGGTATACTACAATACACACACACACACACACACACACACACACACACACACACAGTATATCATATTGTGAGAATTCTCCCAAGTTGTTAATTATGCTTTGAAAGCATTATTTAATAGCTATGTAATATTTCATTATTTGGATATGTTGAAATTGACTTAACTATTCTCCTTTTGTTGAACATTTGAATTGTTTCTGCTATTTTTCTAGTATGAATAATGCTTTGATAAATGTCTCTGTGTCTGAGTTAGACCATGCCCTCAGGAAAGTTGACTACTAGGAGTATAATCACAAGAATCCCAAACAAAAGCATTTACCAGAAAGGGTGTGTCAATTCCCACTCACAGTGATAGCACCCACCTCCTCATACCCAGGTCAATGCTGAATGTTTCTTTAATCATTTTTTAAATTTAATTTTATTTTACGTTTCCAGGATATATGTGCAGGATGTGCAGGTTGGTTACACAGGTAAACTTGTGCCATGGTGGTTTGCTGCACAAATCAACCCATCACCTTAGATATTAAGCCCCGCATGCATTAGCTATGTATCCTGATGCTCTCCCTACCCCACCACCCCCCGGGACAGGCCCCAGTGTGTGTTGTTCCCCACCCTTTGTCCATGTGTCCTCATTTCAACACTGAATTTTACCATTAAAATTTTTTTTTTGCTAATTTGTTACACAAAAGCTGGTATCTTGCTGTTTTAATTTGCACTTCTCTTATTACCAAGGTAGAATTTTTCTTCATTTTAAAAAAAGTAAGTGCCTTATTTCAAGTCATAAGTTTGTTTTTTATAAGTATCGTTAGACAACCTTTCTTATTTTTTTTTAATATTTAATTTAATGTTTTTAGAGATTGGAGTATCGCTTTGTTGCCCAGGCTGGTCTCAAACTTCTGGGCTCATGTGATCCTCCTGCCTCAGCCTCTCAAACTGCTGGGATTACAGGTGTGAGCCACTGCACCCAGCCTCCTTTTTTAAAACTTTGTAAAATTTTCAGCTGGTTCTAAGTGACCTTATCCTACACCATGACAAAATCCATTTGACTATTCTCAGATTAACTACTGCAAAGAAAGAGTGATATTTTCAAAACAAGAGTTTCACATAATTTAACCTAATTTTGAAATTTTATAATTAAAATGCTAAGCTAGTCACACTATATTAAATCTAGTAGCCAAAAACAATGTAAAATTCCCCATTTTACAGGAAAAGCATTTCATTAATTTCTTCCTCTGTAAAAATGTAAATATTTATTTCTATAAGACATGTGCTTCAAGTGAATTACTAGAGAAATAGCCTGAGCATTGCCAAAAATAGAGTAAATTTTTGAGCATAAGTAAATCCTCTTTCTTTTCATATTCTCAGCTTCATCTCATAAATGAGAGCTATCTCTTGGCTCATGATGAAGGCTTAAGTATCAGTTAAGACAGCAGAATCAAATTACTCAACGATACATTACCAGAGCATGGTGTTATCTGGTTTAGGTTACATTATTTGATGGAGAATGACAACGCAGAGGTAAGATCCATCTGATGGGATATTTCTGTGCAGCCTTATTTAAAATTCTGTTGAACCAGGTATGGTGGCTCACACCTGTAATCCCAGCACTTTGGGAGGCTGAGGCGGCTGGATCACTTGAGGTCAGGAGTTCAAGACCAGCCTGGCCAACACGGTGAAACCCCGTATCTACTGAAGATACAAAAATTAGCTAGGTGTGGTGGTGCGTGCCTGTAATCCCAGCTACTTGGGAGGCTGAGGCAAGAGAAACCGGAGGTTGGAGTGAGCCAAGATCTCACCATTGCACTCCAGCCTGGACAACAAGAGCGAAACTCTGTCTCAAAAAAAAAAAAACAGAGAATCACTTGAACTCAGGAGGCGGAGGTTGTAGTAAGCCAAGATCATGCCACTGCGCTCCACCTGGGCGACGGAGCAGGACTCCATCTCAAAAAAAAAAAAAAAAAAAAAGCCAGGTATGGTGGCACATACCTACAGTCTCAGCTACTCGGGAGGCTGAGGCGGGAGGATAGCTTGAGCCTGGGAGGTCAAGGCCACAGTGAGCCATGATCACACGCCACTGCACTCCAGCATAGGCAACAAAGTGAGGTCTTGTCTCAAAAAACAAAGTAAAGTAATAAAATAAAATTCTGTTGAATTTAAGACATAACAAAAATTACAACCCGGTGTAATCTCAATTATGTTAAAAATAAATTTTAAAAAGATAAATAAATACGCACTGGAGGAAAAAAGATATGTCAAAATGTCAACAGTAGTTTTATCTCTTTGTGGTGAAAACACAGATGAAGAAAAACAGATGGCATTACTTTTAATAGTTAAAAATTTGTTATTTTATTGCAATAACATTAACGTAATGACAAAAGATTTCACAATACTGTCCTTTCAAACACCTTTCAGTCATGATCTGCACAGTAGGTACCAGTGTACAACAGTATGCACATTAGAACTGAAAAAGTGGTAATGAAATTCTCAGTATTCAAAGCATCCACCAAGTTTTCAATAAAGTGCAAATAGAAAATCAGCGTTTTTCAAAAACTACTTTTCCTGGGCACGTAGCATGCGTCAGGCACTGTGCTGAGCTCTTCACATGGATTATTTCATTTCGCCCTTTCATGACCCTAGGAGAGATTATTACTATTCTCATTTTATTTATTTATTTATTTATTTATTTTTTATTTTTTTGAGACAGAGTCTTGCTCTGTCGCCCAGGTTGGAGTGGGGTGGTGTGATCTCGGCTCACTGCAAGCTCCACCTCCCGGGTTCACACCATTTTCCTGCCTCAGTCTCCTGAGTAGCTGGGACTACAGGTGCCTGCCACCATGCCCGGCTAATTTTTTGTATTTTTAGTAGAGACGGGGTTTCACCATGTTAGCCAGGATGGTTTCGATCTCCTGACCTCGTAATCCACCCTCCTTGGCCTCCCAAAGTGCTGGGATTACAGGTGTGAGCCACCACACCCAGCCACTATTCTCATTTTAAAGATGAGGAAGCTGGCCAGCTGCAGTGGCGCATGCCTGTAATCCTAGCACACTGGGAAGCCACTGCAGGAGGATTCCTTGAGCCCAGAAGTTCAAGGCTGCAGTCAGCCATGTTCACATCACTGCACCCCAGCTTGGGTGACAGAGCAAGACCCTGTCTCTAAAGCAAACAAACAAAAAGATGAGGAAGCTGAGGCTTACAGATAAGCTAAAGTAACTTTCCTGGTGTTATGCAGCTATTAAGCAAAGGAGCCAGAATTCAAAGCCAGATGTCTGATATCAAGGCTCACACTTTTACTGAGAATGGGACATTTGCATTGTCTTCAATAACAACCAGACTGAGAGTGTTAACTACAGCAAATATTCCAGATATAGACCAGATACAGACTGCAGCTTCCTGGGTTACAAGCACAACACCATTTACTCTTCTACAAAAAGCTTGAGAATCCCTCCTGAATAGAAGTACTCGGTTCACTTTTCACGTGTAGTTATATGGGTAAATGTGGCATATAATAAATAAAATGAGCCAGGCACAGTGGCCGAGGCCTGTAATCAGCACTTTGGGAGACTAAGGCGGGTGATCGCTTGAGCCCAGGAGTTTGAGACCAGCCTAGGCAACATGGTAAAACCTCATCTCTACAAAAAATACAAAAATTAGCCAGGTGTGGTGATCCCAGCTAGTCGTGAGGCTGAGGCAGAAGGACCACTTGAGCCCAGGAGGTTGAGGCTGCAGTGAGCCATGACTGTGCCACTTAACTCCAGCCTGGGTGACACAGCAAGACCCTGTCTCAAAAAATAAGAATAATAAATAAAATAAAATGATCTCACTTGAAACTGCCAAAACCTGGATAACTATCCTGCCTCACAATCTGAAAGCACCCACTAACTTCTGGCCATCATTTAAAAGAGGGTTTTTTAAAGCACCAAACTGAAATAGCTATCACAAACCAAAGCACAAAGTCCTAGTTGATTAAAAACAAATACAAGGCCAGGCACAGTGGCTCACACCTATAATCCCAGCACTTTGGGAGGCCAAGGCATGTAGATCACCTGAGATCAGGAGTTTGAGATCAGCCTGGCAATATAGTGAAACCCCGTCTCTATTAAAAATACAAAAATTAGCTGGGCGTGGTGGCATGCACCTGTAATCCCAGCTACTCAGGAGGCTGAGGCAGGAGAATCGCCTGAACCTGGGAGGCGGAGGTTGCAGCAAGCCAAGATCACGCCACTGCACTCCAGCCTGGGTGACAGATGAGACTCCATCTCAAAAAAAAAAAAAAAAAAAAAAAAAAAAAACAAGTTGCTTGAATTCAGAACAAGTCAATTCAGACTCAACAGTTTATATTGGAAAAGAGGATGGTTTTAAAAGATGAAGACATACCAAAAACCGTCCAACTTCAAATCATATTCACTTGACTTCATTTGCTTTCTGCACAATATTGCTTTTTGAAACTAAGGGTAGAGAGGAATCCCAAATTATTCAACACAGTTAGAAAAAACAGGCCAGGTGCAGTGGCTCAGGCCGGGCGCAGTGGCTCACACCTGTAATCCCAGCACTTTGGGAGGCTAAGGCGGGCGGATCACCTGAGGTCGGGAGTTCGAGATCAGCCTGACCAACATGGAGAAACCCCGTCTCTACTAAAAATACAAAATTAGCCGGGTGTGGTGGCACATGCCTGTAATCCCAGCTACTCAGGATGCTGAGGCAGGAAAATCGCTTGAACCCAGGAGGCGGAGGTTGCAGTGAGCCAAGATCGTGCCACTGCACTCCAGCCTGGGCGACAAGAGCAAAACTCCATCTCAAAGAAAAAAGAAAAAGTAGAGCTTCTGAAATATCCCACAACTCAGCACTTCCAACTCTCCCACAGCAACTGCCCTTTAGTACTATATTCTATATTGTGATCCTTTTAAGGATTCCAGAGAAGCAAACAAGTAATGCCCAGGTAAGCGATCTACCAGCCTAACATAGCTCAAAATGGCAGATTATATTAGATGGTGTTAAACTGCATCAAAATTAAACAGAGAAATCAGTCAATGTCTTAAAAAGATGGTTCTCTCCTATTAGGGCTTAATTCCAAGGACAAAAGTCAGGACCTTGGACGTGGAAGGAATCCTGAGATAAAGGTTATGAAAGGTGCTGTCTTTGGTGAAAAGTCGGACAACTATAAAAACAATTCTTTGATTTCTTAACATTAAAAACAGTGACTTAGCTTAATAGATTCTTGATAAATGTTAATGAAAATGTAATTACCTAGTGCATAGAGTTCAAATCACTTATCCTAGCACTCAAAAACTTTCCCTTCTAAACCAATTTACGTTTCCAGCCCCACTCCCATTGTTCTCTCATCTTCACCTTTGCTTTCCCATCCCCTCAAGGAGAAATGGCCTCTCCTAGTCCTATCTCCACCAGCTGAAATCTTATCATCTTTTTTATTTATTATTATTTTTTTGAGACGGAGTCTCGCTCTGTTGCCCAGGCTGGAGTGCAGTGGTGCAATCTCGGCTCACTGCAACCTCCGCCTCCCAGGTACAAGGCGATTCTCCTGCCTCAGCCTCCCAAGTAGCTGGGATTACAGGCACCTGCCACCATGCCTGGCTAATTTTTTTGGTATTTTTAGTAGAGACGGGGTTTCACCATGTTGGCCAGGCTGGTTTCGAACTCCTGACCTCAAGTGATCTGCCTGCCTCAGCCTCCCAAAGTGCTGGGATTACAGGCATGAGCCACCGTGCCCAGCCAATCTTACCATCTTTTTTAAAAAAATTATTATTATTACTATACTTTTAAGTTCTAGGGTACACGTGCACAACGTGCAGGTTTGTTACATAGGTATACATGTGCCATGTTGGTTTGCTACACCCATTAACTCGTCGTTTACATTAGGTATTTACATTAGGTATTTCTCCCAATGCTATCCCTCCCCCTGCCCCCCACCACATGACAGGCCCCAGTGTGTGTTGTTCCCCGCCCTGTGTCCAAGTGTTCTCATTGTTCAATTCCCACCTATGAGTGAGAACATGCAGTGTTTGGTTTTCTGTGCTTGTGATAGTTTGCTCAGAATGATGGTTTCCAGCTTCATCCACGTCCCTGCAAAGGACATGCACTCATCCTTTTTTATGGCTGCACAGTATTCGATGGTGTATATGTGCCACATTTTCTTTATCCGGTCTATCATTGATGAACATTTGGGTTGGTTCCAAGTCTTTGCTATTGTGAATAGTGCCACAATAAACATACGTGTGCACGTGTCTTTATAGTAGCATGATTTATAATCCTTTGGGTATATATCCAGTAATGGGATTGCTGGGTCAAACGGTATTTCTAGTTACAGATCCTTGAGGAATCACCACACTGTCTTCCACAATAGTTGAACTAGTTTACACTCGCACCAACAGTGTAAAAGCGTTCCTATTTCTCCACATCCTCTCCAGCATCTGTTGTTTCCTGACTTTTTTTTTTTTTTTTTTTTGAGATGGAATCTTGCTCTTATTGCCCAGGCTGGAGTGAAGTGGCGCGATTTCAGCTCACTGCAGGCTCCGCCTCCTGGGTTCACGCCATTCTCCTGCCTCAGCCTCCCGAGCAGCTGGGACTACAGGCGCCCGCCACCACGCCCGGCTAATTTTTTTCTATTTTTAGTAGAGACGGAGTTTCACCGTGTTAGCCAGGATGGTCTCGATCTCCTGACCTGGTGATCCGCCCGCCTCAGCCTCCCAAAGTGCTGGGATTACAGGCGTGAGCCACCATGCCTGGCCTAACTTCTGTATTTTTAATAGAGATGGGGTTTCACCATGTTGGTCAGGCTGGTCTTGAACTGACCTCGTGATCCACCTGCCCCAGCCTCCCAAAGTGCTGGGATTACAGGCGTGAGCCAACGCTCCTGGCCTGTTTCCTGACTTTTTAATGATCACCATTCTAACTGGTTTGAGATGGTATCTCATTGTGGTTTTGATTTGCATTTCTCTGATGACCAGTGATGATGAGCATTTTTTCATGTGTCTGTTGGCTGCATAAATGTCTTCTTTTGAGAAGTGTCTGTTCATATCCTTTGCCCACTTTTTGATGGGGTTGTTTGTTTTTTTCTTGTAAATTTGTTTAAGTTCTTTGTAGATTCTGGATATTAGCCCTTTGTCAGATGGGTAGATTGCAAAAATTTTCTCCCATTCTGTAGGTTGCCTGTTCACTCTGATGGTAGTTTCTTTGGCTGTGCAGAAGCTCTTTAGTTTAATTAGATCCCATTTGTCAGTTTTGGCTTTTGTTGCCATTGCTTTTGGTGTTTTAGTCATGAAGTTCTTGCCCATGCCTATATCCTGAATGGTACTGCGTAGGTTTTCTTCTAGGGTTTTTATGGTTTTAGGTCTAACATTTAAGTCTTTAATCCACCTTGAATTAATTTTTGTATAAGGTGTAAGGGATCCAGTTTCAGCTTTCTACATATGGCTAGCCAGTTTTCCCAGCACCATTTATTAAATAGGGAATCCCTTCCCCATTTCTTGCTTTTGTCAGGTTTGTCAAAGATCAGATGGTTGTAGATGTGTGGTGTTATTTCTGAGGCCTCTGTTCTGTTCCATTGGTCTATACCTCTGTTTTGGCACCAGTACCATGCTGTTTTGGTTACTGTAGCCTTGTAGCATAGTTTGAAGTCAGGTAGTGTGACGCCTCCAGCTTTGTTCTTTTTGCTTAGGACTGTCTTGGCAACACGGGCCCTTTTTTGGTTCCATATGAACTTTAAAGTAGTTTTTTCAATTCTGTGAAGAAAGTCATTGGTAGCTTGATGGGGATGGCATCGAATCTATAAATTACCTTGGGCAGTATCGCCATTTTCACGATATTGATTCTTCCTATCCATGAGCATGGAATGTTCTTCTATTTGTGTCCTCTTTTATTTCATTGAGCAGTGGTTTGTAGTTTTCCTTGAAGAGATCCCAATCTTACCACCTTTTAAGGTCCTTCTCAAAAAATGAAGTCCCCTTGAAGTCCCCACCTCCAGCCAGCAAGTGGTTCTTAACAATGTCCTTTTATCTATCCAGAAGAACCAGCTTATCCAAAAATTACTGGCAATGTCTTTCTCCCCGAAAATTCCTGGATTGTAAATTCCTGGACCTGGATTGCATTGCTGTAAATTCCTGGATCACCCAGGAGGCCAAGATGTCATCATCTTTGCATTGTCCACAAATGCCTAGCAGCATTGTGCACTGCATACAGTGGCTCAACAAACGCTTCTGAAGAGATGTCATAGGAAACATGAAAGGTGAAACTGTATCAGGTCCCTCATCATCTTACATTTATTAATTGAATTATGCCTTTAAAAATTTTATTAAATATGACTATTGAAAAATACAGGCCAGGCACGGTGTCTCATGCCTGTATTCCCAGCATTTTGGGAGACCAAAGTGGGAGAATCAGTTGAGTCCAGAAGTTCGATACAGCCCAAGCCACATAGTGAGACCCCAAAAATACAAAGAATGAGCCAGGCATGGTGCTGTGTGCCTGTGGTCCCAGCTACTCAGGAAGCTGAGGCAGGAGGATTGCTTGAGCCCAGGAGGTCGAGGCTAAAGTGAGCTATAATCACACCACTGCACTCCAGCCTCCTGATGACAGAGGGAAACCCTGTCTCAAAAAAAAAAAAAAAAAGAAAAGAAAAGAAAAGAAAAATACAATGTTACATAGAAAATAGCACAGTGGTTTGGTGTCTTTGAGCAGTCTGGGGTTCAATTCTTACTATGCCACTTACTCACAAAGTAACCTTGAGCAAGTGATTTGGCCTTTCTGAGCTTTGGTTTCCTGACTTATAAATTGGAACTAATAATTTACTCATTGGGCTTCACTGGGCTGTTGTTAGGTAAAATTAAATAGCACAGTACCTCGCATATAGTCAATAATACATAGAGCTACAATTAGGCCAGGCACAGTGGCTCATGCCTGTAATCCCAGCATTTTGGGAGGTCAAGGCAGGTGGATTGCCTGAGTTTAGGAGCTAGAGACCAGCCTAGCCAGCATGACAAAACCCAGTCTCTACCAGAAATACAGAAAATTAGCCAGACATGGTGGCACGTGCCTGTGGTCGCAGCTACTCAGCAGGCTGAGGTGGGAGGATCGCTTGAGCCCTGAAGGTGGACACTGTAGTGAGCTGAGATCAAGCCAGTGCACTCCAGCCTGGATGACAGAATGAGATCTCATCTTTAAAAATAAATAAATAGGCCGGGCACAGTGGCTCATGCCTGTAATCCTAGCACTTTGGGAGGCCGAGGCAGGTGGATCACTTGAGGTCTTCAGGAGTTCAAAACCAGCCTAGCCTACATGGTGAAACCGTGTCTCTACTAAAAATACAAAAAAATTAGCCAGGTGTAGTGGCGGGCACCTGTAATCCCAGCTACTCAGGAGGCTGAGGCAGGAGAACTGCTTGAACCCAGGAGGCAGAGGTTGCAGCAAGCCGAGGTCGCATCACTGCACTCCAGCCTGGGCGACAGAGTGAGACTCCATCTCAATAAATAAATAAATGAAGCTACAATTATTATCACCTGAAAACTCTCCCATTGTGCTAGATTATAAGTTTTAAGTAACAATCTAAATAAAAACTGAAACCAGCACTTTTGATTTTTTAAAATTTTATTTCCTGTAATTCTTCACTGAGAAATCTCAAGTCATGTCCATAAAGTTTCATAATATAACAGGTGCAATACTGACATTTTAAAGCTTAGTAAAACTGGCTTAAGAGAATGGTTAAGTAGTTCAACAAATGCCAAATTATATTTTCTCCTTTACACTCATCAGTAGGAAATAATTCCAAGTTTCCCTGCAATAAATATACCAACTGACTTCACAATGACATCACCAACATACAGAGTTCTTACCAACCTTATTAGCACACCCTATATGTTTCCAGCCCAGAACCATCAAGGACTTCTATTCAAGTACTGAAGCAGAACTACTTTTTAGTCACAGTTGCATTGATATATTTAAGAGACCTACGTAACACATCCTATAGAGCTTCTACCAGATGGGGTGGAATACTAGGTTGCCCCCAACACTCGGGTTCCTCAGGAAAACAAGCTCCAATGTTCCCCAGTGCCCCAACTAATGAATTTAAACAGACTTATGTGAAAGGGTATCCATTTAACTTTTTTTTTTTTTTTTTGGTAGAGACAGGGTCTCACTATGTCATCATTTAACTTTTGTTTGTTTGTTTTTGTTTTTGAGACGGAGTCTCACTCTGTCACCCAGGCTGGAGTGCAGTGGTGCAATCTCGGCTCACTGCAAGCTCCGCCTCCCAGGTTCATGCCATTCTCCTGGCTCAGCTTCCCGAGTAGCTGGGACTACAGGCACCCGCCACCACGCCCAGCCAATTTTTCATATTGTTAGTAGAGACGGGGTTTCACCATGTTAACCAGGATGGTCTCGATTTCCTGACCTCATGATCCGCCAGTCTTGGCCTCCTAAAGTGCTGGGATTACAGGCGTGAGCCACTGCGCCCGGCCCCCATCATTTAACATTTTTAAAATATTATTAAAATCAGTTTCTGGCCAGCGTGGTGGCTCACGCCTATAATCCCAGCCCTTTGGGAGGCCAAGGCAGGACGACTGTTTGAGCCCAGGAGTTCAAGACAAGCCTGGACATTATAGCAAAGACTCTGACTCTCCCAAAAAATTTAAAAAATTGGCCGGGCGTGGTGGCTCACGCCTGTGATCCCAGAACTTTGGGAGGCCGAGGTGGGTGGATCAACTGAGGTCGGGAGCTCGAGACCAGCCTGACCAACATGGAGAAACCCTGTCTCTACTAAAAATACAAAATTAGCCGGGTGTGGTGGCGCATGCCTGTGATCCCAGCTCCTCGGGAGGCTGAGGCAGGAGAATAGCTTGAACCTAGGAGGCAGAGGTTGCAGTGAGCCGAGATTGTGCCATTGCACTCCAGCCTGGGCAACAAGAGCGAAATTCCTGTCTCAAAAAAAAAAAAAATTAGCCAGGCATGGCGGCACACACCTATAGTGCCAGCTACTCAAGAGGCTGAGGTGGGAGGACTGCTAGAGCCCAGAAGGTCAATATTGCGGTGAGCTAGGATCAGACCACTGCACCCCAGCCTGGGCAACAAAGTGAGACCTTGTCTGTAAAAAAAAAAAAAAAGAAAAAAAAAAGTTTCTAAAATTTTTAGACAACCATAAAACACACAGCAAAATAAAGGTAGATTCAGTTTGGCAAGTTATCCTTAAAAGCATGCAAGCGTGCTCAAAGCCCACAGAATGACTCAGGCTTAAAAGAAATACTTTCAGCCAGGCATGGTGGCTCATCCCCATAATCCCAGCACTTTGGGAGGCCAAAGCAGGCAGATCACTTGAGATCAAGAATTCGAAACCAGCCTGGCCAACATGGTGAAACCCTGTCTCTACTAAAAATACAAAAATTATCAGGGCATGGTGGCACACGCTTGTAATCCCAGATACTCAGGAGGCTGAGGCAGGAGGATCACTTGAACACAGGAGGTGGAGGTTGCAGTAAGCCAAGACTGCGCCACTACACTCCAGCCTGGGTGACAGAGTGAGACTCCGCCTCAAAAAAAACCCAGCCTGGCCAATATAGTAAAACTCTGTCTCTACTAAAAAAATACAAAAATTAGCCAGCTATGGTGGCAGGCGCCTGTAGTCCCAGCTACTTGGGAGGTTGAGGCAGGAGAATTGCTTGAATCCAAGAGGCAGAGGTTGCAGTGAGCTGAGATCACACCACTGCACTCAAGCCTGGGTGACAGAATGAGACTCCATCTCAAAAAAAAAAAAAAAAAAAAAAAAGAGAAAGAAAGAATTCCTATTGCCCCCAGGAGGAACTAATATTACAGAAAGGGAAAAATATATATATGAGTACACCTCACTTAAAGATAGAGATATGTCCTAATGTAGCTTCTGTAAAACAAATTGCTGAAAAGTGACTTTTATCTTGCAATTCTTGCTTTATTATAAAGCATCCCCTTAAAATTAAAATTACAGTGAGTTTTCCCAAATTATTTTCTTTTTCTTTTTTTTGAGACAGGGTCTCACGTTGTCCAGGCTGGAGTGTACTGGTTTAATCATAGCTCTATACAACCTTGAATTCCTGGGCTTAAGCGATCCTCCAGCCTCAGTGTCATGAGTAGCTGGGAGTGCAGGTGCGCATCACCACACCCGGCTAATTTTTGTAAAGATGGGGTCTCAGCTTTATTGTCCAGGCTGGTCTAGAACTCTTAGCTCCAAGCAATCCTCCCGCCTCAAGCCTCCCAAAGTGCTAAGATTACAGATGTGAGCCACCTCACCCAGGCCTAAATCACCTTCAAAGAAAAATAATAACTGACAAAATATTAATATCATACTAAATAACTACATATTAAAAAATACATGCACAGTTGAAAAATATGGTAAGACTCTGTTTCTCATATTATTTCCACAAGTGAATTAATGTTTAAGGCAATTTTGCTAAACTCCTTATCAGCCTGAAACTGTAACCTTCATAACTTACAAACATTTCATTTTTACCTTAGAAGTTATTTTTCCTCCATCAAATTAATCAACTGAGTATTTTCTAGACATTTTTGCCTGACAACGCCTATGCTCTTGTTCAGGAAATATTACCACATAATGATTAATACCAATATCTGCCTGTGACTAACTCTCGGCCCAAAGTCCTTCCTCTGGGTGCCCATAGCATCCTGCATGTATCTCCACGACAGGAGCTGTCATGCTGGAATCATGTATTTGAGTCTTTTCTCCCCTATTAGATAGTAAGTTCTATAGTGGTCGTGCTTTAGGTATCTTTTATAACTAATAGAGTGCTAGGAACATATCATGGACTCAATAAACCAGTATTATCAAACAGATTGGTAAACTGTGACTTTACTGATAAGCTTATTCACAACCCAATAGTTAGGATGGAGTGTGTCTCCTCATCAGAAGGTAGTAGTGATTTATTTGTTGTTGTTGTTATTATTATTATTGTTATTATTATTATTTGAGATGGAGTTTCACTCTTGTTGCCCAAGCTGGAGTACAGTGGCGCAATCTCGGCTCACTGCAACCTCCGCCCTCCAGATTCAAGCACCTTCCAGATTCCTGCCTCAGCTTCCCTAGTAGCTGGGATTACAGGCACGCGCCACCACGCGCGTATTTTTAGTATTTTCTCAGTAGAGATGGGGTTTCTCCATATTGGCCAGGCTGGTCTCGAACTTCTGACCTCAAGTGATCTGCCTGTCTCGGCCTCCCAAAGTGCTAGAATTACAGGCATGAGCCACTGTGCCCGGCCACTAGATACCATTTAAATCACTACTACCGCCAGGTGTGGTGGCTCATGCCTGTAATCCCAGCACTTTGGGAGGCTGAGGCAGGCGGATTACCTGAGGTCGGGAGTTCAAGATCAGCCTGACCAACATGGAGAAACCCCTTCTCTACTAAAAATACAAAATTAGCCAGGCGTGGTGGCATGTGCCTGTAATCCCAGCTCCTCAGGAGGCTGAGGCAGGAGAATTGCTTGAATCGGGGAGGCGGAGGTTGCGGTGAGCCGAGATCACACCACTGCACTCCAGCCTGGGCAACACAGCAAGACTCCACCTCAAATAAATAAATAAATGGTATCTAGTGAACCTGACAAAGCAATGCTCATTGTCAGATATGAGTCCATTGCCTAAATTTAGCTTTAATGCACAAGAGCTGGACACTGTAGTTGGTGCTGTGTCAGTCAGAGAATACCTAAGTTCTCCAAACTCAAGGTTCTCTCCTAAAAAGGCAGAGTGCCATAAAAGAGAGCAGCGTATGTGAGGTCAGACAGCTTCCAGTGCCAGGTCTACTTCTGCTTACTAACTGCATGATCTTTGACTTTTCGGGCCCCGGTTATGAAGATAATATCTATATTTTGCCTCTCTCTCTCTATCATTGAAAGGGGGGTTGGTAAAGCCTTGTCCTTTTTGGCATCTTCAAATCAATCATCCTCTCCCCATCCCAACCACCCAGCTGTCATCATTTCTTACCAGACTTCTGCAAAGGCCTCCAAATGCCAGTCTCTGTCTCTCCACATCTTTTCTCTCTCCTCATCAAAAGATTTTCCACACAGAAGACCTTTTGAAAATGCAACTCTAATAATGTCATGCTCATGTACCCCCAATACTTCAAGGACATATTGTTGCTCTTAGAAGAAATCCTGGAACCCTTAGTGTGGCCTGCAAGGTCTGCCTGCTGGAGTCCCTGCTTGCTTCTGCTGACTTCGCCAATAGCATCTTGTACCACCCAACCTACCCCTCAACATGCACACACACAAATTATTTGTGTTCCAGCCACACTAATCATCTTTCAGCTCCTTGAGTGTACAATGTTACCTCCCACCTTATCATGTCTCCCTGCAATAGTCTCTTTTCCACACCCAAATTTCCTCTAGTTGACGCCTACTTATCTGTCAGATCTCAAGTCACCCAAAAGCTACTTTCTTCCCTCCCGTCCCACCTGCCAATATTCTCAGGGCACTAAGTACTTCTCCCCCACAGCACATGCAGATGAGTTTATTCGTGTGATGATTTGCTTCATGTCTATCTCCCCCACCAAACTGTCAGCACCAGGAAGACAACAACAATCTTGTTCACCAAAAGACATACAATGTATGTTTCAAGAAAGAAGTGATCTTTTGAAACCTGATAATAGAAAATTACAAGATGAATGTTTTTACCTGTGTGGGGTTTTTGTTTGTGTTTGTTTTTTTGTTTTTTGAGAGGGAGTCTCGCTCTATCCCCAGGCTGGAGTGTAGTGGTGCAATCTCGGCTCACTGCAAGCTCCACCTCCCGGGTTCACGCCATTCTCCTGCCCCAGCCTCCTGAGTAGCTGGGACTACAGGTGCCTGCCACCACGCCCGGCTAATTTTTTTTTGTATTTTTAGTAAAGACAGGGTTTCACCGTGTTAGCCAGATGGTCTCGATCTCCTGACCTCGTGATTTGCCCGCCTTGGCCTCCCAAAGTGCTAGGATTACAGGCATGAGCCACCGCGCCTGGCCTGTTTGTTTGTTTTTGAGACAGAGTCTCAGTCTGTCAACCAGGCTGGATGGAGTGCAGTGGCGCAAACTCAGCTCACTGCAACCTCCATCTCCCAGACTCAAGTGATTCTCCTGCCTCAGCCTCCCAAGTAGCTGGGATTACAGGCGTGCACCACTACGCCCAGCTAATTTTTGTATTTTTAGTAGAGACAGGGTTTCACCATTGGCCAGGCTAATCTCAAACTCCTGACCTCATGTGATCTGCCCACCTCGGCCTCCCAAAGTGTTGGAATTACAGGCGCGAGCCACTGTGCTCAGCAGTCAGTGGTTTTTTTTCTTCATTTTTCTTCACTTTATAAGTATTTCCAAATATTTTTAAAATTCTAGCCAATATATAACATCATCACAATGAAAAACACTAGAAGACGCATACATCTTTCTAAAACAGAAACAAAGTCGTTTCAAATTAGAAACTTCTGCTTGCCTGAACTTATTCACAGCTTTAGAACAGTGTGAAACATGACTATTAAATATAAAACTGAACCCTTTATAGGGTTATTTTAAAACCCAGGGAACTATAAAAGGATTATAGTACCTATGAAGCAGTAGGAAAATGATTAAAATGTATGCCAGGGAAGGGATTACAAAACATATGACTGGAGAATTTATGGCAGTGGGGTTAGTAACTATAAACTAGTTCAGAGTAAGTTAGTATTTATGAGAAAAAAAATCAGTTCTTCAATGGTTCACATGTCCTATCTCATCAACATTTACTCTGAGTAAAAAGTTCTGGCATTTGGTGAAGAGCTACTCAGATACATGCAGAATTGTATTTGAAGGGGAAAAAATGGATACTAACATATTAAGTATGGCATGTGTTTTGTTCTTTCTCAGATCACAATATTGTTTTTTCCAAGTTGGTTATTAACATGTTGTAGTTTTTCCTTATTTAAAAAGTAAACATCTGGAAAATAAGTACCATGACAAAGTCTCCAATCCTTTCTTAACGGTGCTTCAAGTTCTATCCCGGTTGCAAATCAAAATAGTGAAGTAACTCTTTCAGGCTACAGAAAACACTAAAAGTGCAGAACAGAAGCAGTAACACCTCACGGGTGTTCAATTATTAATGTACTTCCCCTGAAGCTTACCCTGTTTAACCTAGGAGTGAAGAATTTGGGCTCAAAGGAGTTGCACAAGCAGGGAAGAATAGATCTTTAAAAAAACAATACTTTGATTCAAACAACAGCTAGCACAAGTGCTTTAAAAAAGTCCTGCATGATAGAAATTACCCCCGTGAGAGACTTTTCTGTCAATATACAAGTTCAATTAGTATCACTAATTGCTTTTAGGTATCCCTAAAAGCAAAATGGAAAAGATTCCGGACAACAATCAATATATCACAAGAATAATCAATATGTACATTAAATGTAGGGCAAAGAATCCTAAGAGCCAGTCAAATCAACTGCTCACAATTCTCCCAAACACAACCTTTCTGCCTCTGTGCCTTTCCCAGTATTGGTCCCTGCAACTAAAATGTTCTGACCCTCCCCCAGCCTCTGGCCTCCTTTGAGACTGCCCTAAGAACACCTTCATCTTCCCATTGCTAAAGCACTTTGTAACATTCCCTGCAGCACCAATGAACTCATTCTGTCTTTTTATAACTACAGCCAGGACTTTCCCCCATGTTCCTGAAGGACTTGCTCAACACGTAAAATGGCTTTGCATTTTCCACACTGCCTTGCACATTATAGATCAAATATTTATGGAAGCTGTCAAAACTGGAGAGACGTGGAGGTCTGAGTCTCAACCCTGCCTTTATGGTAAAGTAATCAATGACCACAGAGATGAAGTAGCTTTACAGGTAAAGCAAATATCGACTGAGCACCTCCAAGTGGCAGGCCCAAGGCAAACTAAACAAAATTCCTGACCTCAAGGAGCTCATCATCCTGCGAGAAGAAATTGTAAACAACAATTACCCAAAGGGAAAAAAAGAAAAGATAAACATGGATACATAGAGTCTTACAATAACACAGAAGAGGGTACCTAACATAGCCTGCAGGTAGGTAAAGGCCTCCTCTGAGCAACTAGCTAAGCTCATGTAATGCTTAGGAGAAAACAACAAGGGAAGGGAGAATGGAACAAGCCAAAGGGAAGCACAGAAGCAGGCAGAGAGAGGAGAGAGCCTGGAGCTCTGCTTCAGTGTGGCTGGAGGGTAAAGGACACTGTGGGGCGCAGGGGGATGGAGTGGGGGGAGCAGGAGAGGAGGCTGATCTGCCTCTTTTGAATAAATGAATAAAGGAATGTACGCAAAAGAAAACATAATATATGCTTTCTTTCTACTTGCAAAAAAGTTATACTCTATTTGAGATTATACTGTATTTGTTTTGTCTTATTGGTTAGGGGTCACTAAGAGGCAGCTGGAAATAGCACTAGATAAGAATCAGGAAACCCAGGTTCTAGTCCTAAAACAGTTGTTACCAACTACACAGTTGCTCTTGGGCAAAACACTAAACACTCCTCTGGAAAATAAGGTGCTTTGAACTACATTCACTTCTTCCCCTTCTTATTTAAACGCCTATTTCGATGCTTGAATGGGAAAAGAAACAGGTTACTATAGACAAGGATGGACAAAGAAGGCTTTGCAGAGTCATACTTTTTAAAGGGAGGAGTGAGATGCCAAAATCCTTGGGTGAGTTTGTGGGGGATACAGGATATGTACACAATCTAAAAATATCACCTCATAGATTCCTTGTTAATTATTAAGGGAAGAAGGTACTTTTTACTATGTGGTATTCTTGCCAAAAAAAAAAACAAAAAACAAAACAAAACCATATTTAACCCTGCTTCTAATTATGAGAAGATAAGATAAATCCAGATTGCAGAACATTCTACAACTAGCCCGGACTCCAAAAATGTCAATGTCATGAAAGAAAAAAAGGCAAAGGAGCTATTCTGGATAAAAGGACATCAAAGAGACATGCCAAGTGAATGAATGTGGACTGAATATTAGATAATATGTTTGTACTGACATTAAATTTCGTGGGTGTGATCATGGTACTGTGCTTATTTGGGAGAACATACTTAAGAGATACATGCTGAAGTGTTTAGGAGTGAAGTATCATGATGTCTGCAACCTACTTTCAAATGACCAATGGTCCAGGAAGAAAAGATGTACACACACACACACACACACACACACACACACACACGAAAAGATACAAATATGGCAAAATATTAACAACTGGTGAATGTAGATGAAGAGTATAAGGGAATTCATTGTACCAATTAAACTTTTCTGTGCTGGAATTATTTTCAAAATAAAAAATTGCAGGGGAGTAGGATGAATGAGAATTAGATAAGCAGAGAAAAGCCAGGGCATTTTCCAGACAGGTACTATAAGAGTTACGAAAGCAGGCCAGGCACGATGGCTCACGCCTGTAATCCCAGCACTTTGGGAGGTCAAGGCAGGCGATCACCTGAATTCAGGAGTTCGAGGCCAGCCTGGCCAATATGGTGAAACCCCATCTTTATTAAAAATACAAAAACTAGCTGGGCGTGGTGGTGGGTGCCTGTAATCCTAGCTACTCGGGGGGCTGAGACAGGAGAATTGCTTGAACCCAGGAGGCGGAGACTGCAGTGAGCCGAGATCGCACCAGTCTTGCCTGGGCGACAAAGCAAGACTCCATCTCAAAAAAAAAAAAAAAAAGAATTATGAAAGTAGCAACTTAAAGATTAAAGAGAATTAAGAAATGTGAGGTTTTAATTGTAGGTTAATTTTCTGCCAATCTTACATATATGTAAACTTACGGATCCCTTAGGTATAAGGGGTATAGAAGTTCAGAAGTCAGCATAGATTTCAAGAAAACAATGGAATTGTAACTAGGTATTAAAGGCTGAGCAGAGTTTTAGACGAACAGAACTAAGTACTCTTTAGGATGAGAACATGAGCAGAGGTGTGTTAACTACAGACAATGTGTACAGACATAAACACATATATATACAACACACAGACATACAGACATACATATGAATATACATATATTATACACATATATGACATGCAGTTATGAGATTAGCCATTTTAGACAGAAAATAAAAACAAGGGCTAGAGCCAGAGTATGAAGAGCTCTACAAACTCTGGAAGGCTCTGGATTCCATACAGTAGTAGTTGGTAATGAGTACTCTTGACTTTTTTTGTGCGTTTTTTTCCTAAATAATAAAAGTAATGCCTGCTCAATTTAGAAAGTACAGAAGAAAATTAGATGCATATAGATATCACCTCATTTTTATTAACATTTCAGTGTATCTCCTACCAGTTTTGTATGTAATTTTTTTTTGTTTTTTGTTTTAGAGATGGGGTTTTGCTATGTTGCCCAGGCTGGAGTGCAGTGGCTATTCAGAGGTGAGATCATAATGTACTACACAGCCTTGAACTCCTGGGCTTAAGCCATCCTCCCGCCTCAGCCTCCCAAGGAGCTGGGACTACAGGTGCATGCCACCATGCCCAGCAATGCAGCTTTCTTTTTTTGTTTTTGGTGGGTTTTTTTGGTTTTTGTTTGTTTTTTTGAGACAGAGTCTTGCTTTGTCACCCAGGCTGAAGTGCAGTGGCACGATCTCAGCTCACTGCAACCTCCACCTCCCGGGTTCAAGCAATTCTCCTGCCTCAGCCTCCCAAGTAGCTGGGATTACAGGAGTGTGCCACCACGCCTGGCTACTTTTTGTATTTTTAGTAGAGATGGGGTTTCACTATGTTGGCCAGGCTGGTTTTGAACTCCTGACCTCAGGTGATCCACCCCCATCAGCTTCCCAAAGTGCTGGGATCACAGGCGTGAACCAGCCTGTGATCCAGGCGCGCCTGGACTGCAATGCAGTTTTTAAAACACAGTTGAAACCATGTTGCTCTTTTCACTTAAAATAATAATCTCCCCCATGTTATTAAAAACTTTATAAATGTAACTCTACTGGCAACATCATATGTATATAGCTAGACTTGGTTAACTATTCTTCAATGCTGGACTTTTAGACTGTTATAATGTTTTGCTATTTTTAAAAACTATTTAGTTTCTCAAAAAATTAAGAATAGAATTACTATATGACCTAGCAATTCCACTTCTGGTTATATATCCAAAAGAACTCAAAGCAGGGACTCCAACAGATGTTTTCACACCCATGTTCATAGCAGCATTATTCACAATAGCCAAAAGGCAACTCAAATGTCCATCAACAGACGAATGGATAAACAAAATGTGGCACATATACACAACGGAACATAATTCAGCCTTAAGAAAGAAGGAATTTCTGACACATGCTACAACATGGATGAACCTTGAGAACATTACATAAAGTAAAATAAGTCAGTCACAAAAAGATAAATACCATATAATTCCATTTATATGAGGTACCTGGAGAAGTCACAATCATAGAGACAGAAAGTAGAACATTGGTTGCCATGGGCTGGGAATTGGGGAATAGGAAGTTTTGTTTAATAGGTATAGAGATTCAGTTTTGCAAGATGAAAAGCGTTCTGGAATGGTGGCACACCATGTGAATGTACTTAATACTACTGAATCGTATACTTGAGATGGTTAAAATGGTAATTTTTATGTTATATTTTACAGAAATGTTTAAAAATAAATAGAAATTTAAATGAGCACCTCTGTGTTTTAAGTTTTACATGTATTTCTGATTAGTTCCTAAGATCACATTCTGGAAGTGGAGCTACTAGGTGAAAAGATATACAAAAAGTATCAGGTTCTTAAATATAGAGCCAAATGGCTTCCTAGGAAGATTATACAAATTAACACTACCATCAGTAGCATAAAAGAGTACTAGTATCACAACACATTCTCAACAATATTCAGTTCAATCATTCAACAATATCTATTAAGCACCTATGTGCCAGGCCCTGCTGTGGGCCCTGGCAACGCAGCAGTGAACAAGACAGACAAGTCCCTGCCCTTATGGAGCTTACGTTCTAGTAGGAGAGGCAGGTGAAAAAAAAAGAAAAAAGATGAATAAGATATAGTACAGTAGAGGGCTAAGGAGAAAAAGTTGCAGGAGAGGGGCTGGAATCGTAAGACTGCCATGGACAGCCTGGCCACAGCGGGGATATCTGAGTACAGATCTGAAGGAAGGAGGGAGCAAGCTGCAAAGCTATCTGGCGAAAGGACATTCCAGGGAGAAGGAGCAGCAACAACACAGGCTCCAAGGCAGGGGCATGCCTAGAGTACCTGTGGCACTCAGGAAACAGCCAGAGGTCACTGTAGCTGCTGGAGGAGTAGGAGATGCAGCCAAAGAAGGGGCCATATCCCATGGGACCTTGCCAGTTGTATATGATCATTTTTTTTTATGCTGGCTATTTTGACTTGTTAAAAGACAATATCAACTGGGCACAGTGGCTCACGCCTGTAATCCCAGCACTTTGGTAGGCCAAGGCGGGCAGATCACTTGAGCCCAGTTGTTTAAGACCAGCCTGGGCAACATAGCGAGACCCCATCTCTACTACGTAATTTTTTATAAAATAAAAAATAAAATAAAGACAATATCATATTACTGTAATTATAAGAGGTTTTTAACAAACTGGTAAGATGAAAGTTATGTTTAAGGAAGATCAGCCTGGCAGAGGTATGCTTGATGAAACAGACAATAAAGAAAGCCATCTTGGAAGTTTAATGATAATCAAAATAGACTGATTCATGCATTAATTTAAAATGTATTTCTAGGCTGGGCGCAATGGCTCACACATTCTGTATCACCCAGATACAGAATGGAAAAGAGTACAAATTCATATGTAATCCCAACCCTTTGGGAGGCCAAGGCAGGTGGATCACTTGAGGTCAGGAGTTTGTGACCAGCCTGGACAACATAGTGTGAAACCCCATCTCTACTAAAAATATAAAAATTTGGCCAGGCGTGATGGCAGGCACCTGTAATCCCAACTACCTGGGAGGCTGAGGCAGGAAAATCACTTGAACCCTGGAGGTGGAGGTTTCAGTGAGCCAAGATAGTGCCACTGCACTCCAGCCTGGGTGACAGAACGAGACTCCATCTCAAAAAAATAATAATAAAATAAGGACCAGGCGCGGTGGCTCACACCTGTAATCCCAGCACTTTAGGAGGCCAAGGAGGGCGGATCACGAGGTCAGGAGATCAAGACCATCCTGGCTAACACGGTGAAACCCTGTCTCTACTAAAAATACAAAAAATTAGCCAGGCATGGTGGCAGGCACCTGTAGTCCCAGCTACTTGGGAGGCTGAGACAGGAGAATGGTGTGAACCCGGGAGGCGGAGCTTGCAGTGAGCCGAGATTGCGCCAGTGCACTCCAGCCTGGGTGACAGAGTGAGACTCCATCTCAAAAAATAAATAAATAAAATAAAATAAAACAAAATGTATTTCTGGAGCACCCAAAACATAATAAGCACAAATAAGAGGGGCTAAGGGCTGGCACTGTAGCAGTGGGAATGGAGAGAAAACAAAAAGTAAAAGATGCGTTTTCAAAACAGATCAATTATGTTTGATAACAATATACAGAGGGGAGGCCAGGCGCAGTGGCTCACACCTGTAATCCCAACACCTTGGAAGGCCAAGGCAGGCAGATCACTTGAGGTCAGGAGTTTGAGACCAGCCTGGCCAACATGGTAAAACCCCACATCTACTAAAAATAAAAATTTTTAAAAAAGAAGATACAGAATGGAAAAGAGTATAAATTCATATGTACTTCAAGTTACCTGAGAGCAGGAAATCTGTCTAATTCCTCTTTGGCCGTCTCCTACATGGCGGTTTTTTTTTTGTTGTTGTTGTTGTTGTTGTTTGTTTGTTTTTTGAGATGGAGACTCACCCTGTCGCCCAGGCTGGAGTGCAGTGGCGCGATCTCAGATCACTGCAGCCTCCACCTCCCGGATTCAAGCGATTCTCCTGCCTCAGCCTCCCGAGTAGCTGGGATTACAGGTGTGCGCCACGCCCAGCTGATTTTTGTATTTTTAGTAGAGACGGTGTTTCACCATGTTGGTCATGCTGATCTTGAACTCCTGACCTCAGGTGATTCGTCCATACCAAAGTGCTGGGATTACAGGCGTGAGCCACTGCGCCTGGCCGCCAGTTCTTTATTATGATGCTAAATACATGCTTATGGATTAAAGATGAGTCAAAGAAAGTCTTCTCAAGATGGAAAAAGAACATGGAAGGAGACATAAGGACAAAATCTTGGGGACTGCTCAATTAGAAATGGAAGGGAAAATCAAGAACCTAAAAAGAAAAAGGAAGCAGTCAGAGAAACAGCAGGAGCCAACCTGAAGAGTGGTCCTCACCTACAGCTAAAAACAGTAAAGGGGCCAAGCAAGAGAGGAAAGGTAACAACCAAGATGTAGATGTGGCAATAAAAGAAGTCATGGGTTGTAACTGTTTGAAACAAGATTGTAGAGGATTAAAGATGGCAAGGAAAAGGAAGTAACTAGCTATTCTTGAAGAAATCTTGCAGTAAAAAGAGAAAGGAAAAATAGACAGCTAATGATCCCCTAAGACATAGAACTCTGCCAGAAATTAGCCTCTGATCCTGCACTGAAGCTAAGTAAGCCTTAAGGAAATATTTACAACCTTCAACCTGGCTGGGATCCTCAAACAACTAGGCAGGTTGAATGAATACAGGAAAGATCCTACCTACACCATGTCTGAAAAAGGCAACAAATCTTCGAATTTGCTACTCATACCTGGTTTGGTAAGTGGCTTTGGGAGGTCACAGATAAAGTAATAACTGCTGACTTTTTGGATATTTAGGTAATGTGAGATAAATCAGCTTAAATCAACTAAGGGCCTTTGTCTGCTTGTTTATTTTAGTCTCCATAACTCCTATTAGAGGCTCTCCTCAAATATTCAGAGATCTATCGCTGTCCATTCATATTTCAGAGGAAAGCATTAAAATGCTGGCTGGAAGTTCTGTGTCAACTGATGATCTTCACTCTACAGTAATCAGGTCAAAACGCTGGTATATTTTTAATATCAAGGAACTCAGTAAAAATTAAATTTAACTGTCTAATAGGCATAGGACTATTTAAGAGCAATGCCATCTGTAAGTAAAGGAAACATCGATTTCTCTCCCTAAAATGTTTAATTTTTTTAGAAAGTTGGCTAAAGGAGTAGAGGCGTTGTCTTTTTTTTTTTTTTTTTTTTTTTTTGAGACAGGGTCTCACTCTGTCACCCAGGCAGGAGTGCAGTGGCGCAATCCCATCTAACTGCAGCCTCTACTTCCCAGGCTCAAGCAATCCCCCTACTTCAGCCTCCTGAGTAGCCAGCATGACAGGTGTGTGCCACCATGCTCAGCTAATTTTTTCTTTTTTTTTTTCCATTTTTTGAGACAGAGCGTTGCTCTGTCACCCAGGCTGGAGTGCAGTGGCACAATCTTGGCTCACTGCAAGCGCCGCCTCCTGGGTTCAAGCAATTCCCCTGCCTCAGCCTCTCGAGTAGCTGGGATTACAGGTGCCCACCACCATGCCCAGCTAATTTTTGTATTTTTTTTTTTTTAGAAGAGATGGGGTTTCACCATGTTGGCCAGGCTGGTCTCGAACTCCTGATCTTGAGCAATCCACCTGCCTCGGCCTCCCAGAGTGCTGGGATTACAGGTACGTGCCACCGCACCCGGCCTAATTTTTTAATTTTTTTGTAGAGATGAGGTCTCACTATGTTGCCCAGGCTGGTCTCAAACTCCTGGGCTCAAGCCATCCTCCCAACTGGGCCTCCCAAAGTGCTTGGATTATAGGCGTGAGTCACTGCGCCCCACACATTGTCATTATTTTATGTCATTTTAACAGACTTTAGTAAAGGCACCTAAATGATAGCTAACTTATCCTATAGTTAAATTAAACGTTTCTGGGGTTGGGTGCAGTGGCTCATGCCTATACTCCCAACACTTTGGGAAGCCAAGGTGGGAGGATTGTTTGAGCCCAATAGTTTGAGACCAGCCTGGGCAACATAGGGAGAGCCTGTCTCTACCAAAAAAAGAAAAAAAAAAGGTTTCTGTATACATCCAGAAAAAGAACGAAAGAAAATCACATCTGTTTATCTGTCTGAGAATATGTACGTTTTAGGAGTATAATCAAACCAAATATTTGATCTTGTCTTGATCAAAGCTAAAAGGTCTTTTTATTTTAGCAAAATGTGTAAGATATACATTTTGTAGGCTTAATAGTCTGGAAACTATTAACTGAGCTTCAAGCACAGGTGGTTCAGAACACTCCTTTTATCTTTTTGTCTCCTTTTAATAATCAAGACTAGATTTACAGTGATTATTTATTTAGACAAAAGGAAGCACCAGTTTCCAAAACCATCATGTCCCCAAATAAGAGGTATCTTGGGATTATAGCTTTATGTTAAAAGTACAGATCTAGTTGGAACTCAACTACTTAACAAAACATTTTTTTTTTTTTGAGATGGGGTCTCGCTATTTTGCCCAGGCTGGGCTTGAACTTGCTATCTTCCTACCTCAGCCTCAAGAGTAGCTGGGATCATGGGGCACATGCCACCCTGCTGGCTTTCACCAAACTTTTATTTAATCAGGGCTATCATGTAAGTATAAAAAAGTTTCATTCCAGGCAGACTACATACAAATCTAAACAAACTGGATTTTTGTCACCTATTAACATGTTTTGAAAACAAATGTAACCCAAAAGCCTAAATTCCCTTATTTCTCACACAAAATGAATCTTACTAAGATGTCACGTGTGTACTCACACACATTACGGGCTTTAAAATACTACTCATCTTTCACCCCAAACAGTAAGAATCACAATGAGGAGGAAAAAATGGCATAAATGACAGCACAGCTGCACTATAGATAAAATATTCCACATTCTCCAAGAAAAAATACCTGTGAGTTTCATCTAAATACATTTCAATTCTGTACCTCAATGAGTGGTTCAGGTTACAAAACTTGCACTTTATTTTGATGGATTTGGTTTCCCCCAAACATTACAAAATACATGCTTTAAACAGAAAAACTTGGAGCAACACAGAAAAACATACTTCCTCCCCTAAACCCACCACATCAAAAGATAGTCACTGTTGGTTAATATTTTGGTAAATGTTCTTCTAGTTGTTGCAGGTTAATGTATGTATATATGAACAAGCAAATAAAAACATAAAAGAGCAAAACTAAGCAGAAGATGGTCCACAAAATATGATTAAAAGAGTATTTTAGCCAATTGACTTGTTTCCAGCAGAATCTCACCCCTCTCCACACCCAATCTCCCCCACCCCCATTGCACCAAAAAAAAAAAAAAAAGCAAAGAGTTTCATTTTGTCTCTTCTGTTTACCTGGAACCCCAAACCCTCAAGGATCAGACTGATGATAGCAAGATGAAAAGCAATGACTAAAAGGTAGGGTTTTTTCTCTGCTTAGTTATCAACTCTACAGAGATGAAATTATTCCTGCCAAACCTTACATCAAGGAGGTACACTAGTGACTAAAGGAAATAATCTTGAAAGAGATAAGAAAGCATGCTATCTTGTTCTAGTTGTTTTTAGTTTTAATTTTACCTCTGAAGACCTGCTCAAATATTTCCATCTCTTGAATGATTCTGAGGACTGTCTAAACCCAAACGCCACTCCGCAGAGGCTCCGAGTTGAGTCAGCACATTGTTTCTATGATTGCAGATGGGCAAATGGAAAAACTGAGGCTTTGCACACTCCCATAAAGATCAGATGATGCCCTCAATCTGTCTTTGCTAGCATGGGAAAACATTCTCCCTCTCAGATTACCAGCCCCCTACCCCCACAGCACCAAAAAAAAAACCAAAAAAACAAACAAAAAAAAACACCATAGAGTTTCATTTTGTCTCTTCTGGTCACCTGGAACCCAAAAACCTCAAGGATTATAGTGCTAGGCCGGGCGTGGCATTTCATATCGTAATCCCAACACTTTAGGAGTCCAAGGTGGAAGGACTGCTTGAGGCCAGGAGTTAAAGACCAGCCTGGGCAACATAGCGACACTTTGCCTTCTACAAAAAAAAAAAAAAAAAAAAAAAAGCCAGGTGCAGTGGAGTGTGCCTGTGATCACAGCTATTTGGCAGGCTGAGGCGGGAGGATCACTTGAGCGCTGCTAGTCAACCAGGGCTGCAGTGAGCTGTGATTGTGTCACTGCACTCCATCCTGGGCAATAGAGCAAGACCCTGTCTCAAAAAAAAAAAAAAAAAAATTTTTTTTTAAAGGACCATACTGCTCATAGCAGTAAGAAATGCAGAGTAACAGAAGTCAGGGTTTCTTCTAGTCTTTGCAAATAAAACCAAAGAAGACCCTTGATAAATTGATGTGGAGAAGAAAGATACTACAAAAGTTTTTTTTGAGATGAGGTCTCCTCTGTTGCTCAGACTGGATTGCAGAGGTGTGATCACAGCTCACTGTAGCCTTGACCTCCTGGCTCAAGTGATCCTCCCACCTCAACCCCCCAAGTAGCTAAGACCACAGGTGTGCACCACCACACCCATTTTCTTTTTATTTTCTGTAGAGGCAGGGTCTCCCAATATTGTCTAGGCTGGTCTTGAATTCCTGGACTCAAGCAATCCTCCCACCTCCCAAAGTTAGCGCTAGGATTACAGGCCACCATGTCTGGCCCAAAGTCTTTTTTTTTTTTTTTTTTTTTTTTGAGATGGAGTCTCGCTCTGTCGCCCAGGCTGGAATGCAATGGCGCGGTCTCGGCTCACTGCAACCTCCACCTCCTGGGTTCAAGCAATTCTCCTGCCTTAGCCTCCCAAGTAGCTGGGATTACAGGTGCCCGCCACCATGCCCAGCTAATTTTTGTATTTTTGGTAGAGTCGGGGTTTCACCATCTTGGTCAGGCTGGTCTCGAACTCCTGACCTCAGGTGATTGGCCCTCCTCAGCCTCCCAAAGTGCTGGGATTACAGGCATGAGCCACCATGCCCAGCCCAAAATCATTTTTAAACTTTTTATTTTTAGATACAGGAGTCTTACTCTGTCACCTGGCTGGTGTACAGTGACACAATCATAGCTTGCTCACTGCAGCCTTGAACTCCCAGGCACAAGTGATCCTCCCACCTCAGCCTCCCAAGTAGCCAGGACTACAGGTGCGTGCCACAACACCTGGTTTACGAAAACATTTAGATATTAGCTAGTCTTTCTGTGCTTATCTCCAATCCCAAGTCCCTAGACTGATAAAAAGCCACTCTAAATAGTAGAAAGAAATAGATTTGGCCGGTGGCTCAGGCTGGGCGCGGTGGCTCATGCCTGTAATCCCAGCACTTTGGGAGGCCGAGGTGGGTGGATCATTTGAGGTCAGAAGTTCAAGACCAGCCTCGCCAACATGGTGAAACCTCACCTCTACTAAAAATACAAAAATTAGCCAGGTGTGGTGGCAGGCGCCTGTAGTCCCAGCTACTTGGGAGGCTGAGGCAGGAGAATCGCTTGAACCCAGGAGGCAGAGTTTGCAGTGAGCAGAGATCGCACCACAGCACTTGCACTCCAGCCTGGGCGACAGAGCAAGGCTCTGTCTCAAAAAAAAAAAAAGAAAGAAAGAAAGAAAGAAATAGACTTGCTTTTAAACTCCTAAGCTCCAGCCAGGCATATTTTTTGTCTTGACTGACATTTTATACAACCTATTTCTTCTTTTCCTATCTAATCTGGGACAGAAAACTTACTCTTTTATGGCAGGCATGGTGACTCATCCGTAATCCCAGTGTTTTGGGAGGCTGAGGCAGTAGGATTGCTTAAGGCCAGGAGTTCAAGATCAGCCTGGGCAACATAGCCAGACTCTGTCTCTCCAAAAAAAAAAAAAAAAAGTTAAAATAAGCTGGGCACAGTGGCAGGAACCTATAGTCCTAGCTACTTGGGAGGCTGAGGTGGAAGGATCGCTTGTGCCCAGGGTTTGAGGCTGCAGTGAGTTATGACTGTACCACTGCAATCTGGCCTGGGCAATGGAGGGAGACCCTGTCACAAATACAAACAAAAACACAGAAGTGCCTGATGGTGTATATCTTCCCAATTCCATATCCGTTTCTTCCTGGACTAATACTTGATTTTGTGTCAGACAGTTAATACGTATTTATGTGCTAATGAGACCCTGTCTTAAAAAAAAATTTAGTCTTTCCTATCAAATTTCCTAAATGACTGTCAATAACCAATTGTGGATATTTCAATATCTACATATAAAAGTGGCAAGTAAAAATCCCTACATTTTTTAAAAAAACAAAATCCACTACAAGCAAATTAAAGAAGTAAATGTAAGATAACCTCAACAAACTCATGTTTTTTAAAAGCATTTTTCTATCTTAAGAACCATTTGTCACCTAACAAGTTCTGCAAGGTTGCAGGATAGAAGATCAACATACAAAAATCACTTGTATATCTATATACAAGCAATGAACAATCTGAAGATAACATTAATAAAACAATTCCATTTATAATAGCATCAAAAAATAAAATACTTAGGAATAAGTTTAACAAAAGGATTGCAAGCACACTGAAAACTACAAAACGTTGTTGAAGGAAATTAAAGAGGACCTAAATAAATGATATGACATCCCCGTTCATGGATGGAAGACTTTGTACTGTTAACATTGCAATACTCCTAAATTGATCTACAGATGCAATGCCCCTATGTAAATTCCAACTGCCTTTTTTTGCAGAAATGGGCAAGTTGATCCCTGAAAAATTCACATGGAAATGCAAGGAATCCTGACAGCCAAAACAATCTTGACAAGGAAGAATGAAGTTGGAGGATTCAAACTTTCTAATTTCAAAACTTATTACAAAGCTGCAGTAATCAAAACAGTGTAGTACTGACATAAAATTAAAGATCAGTGGAACAGATCTTAAGGTTCAGAAGTAAACTCTCAAATGTATGGCCAATTTTTTTTTTTTTTTTTTTTTTGAGACAGAGTCTTGCTCTGTCACCCAGCCTGGAGTGCAGTGGTGCAATCTCAGCTCATTGCAACCTTGACCTCTTGGGTTAAAGCGATTCTCCTGCCTCAGCCTCCTCATCAGCTGGGACTACAGGCATGCACCACCACGCTGGCTAATTTTTGTATTTTTAGTAGAGACGGGGTTTCACCATGTTGGCCAGGCTGGTCTTGAACTCCTGACCTCAAGTGATCCACCTGCCTCAGCCTCCCAAGGTTCCGGGATTACAGGCGTGAGCCACCGTGCCTGGTTACCAATTGATTTTTGACAAGTATGTCAAGACAATTCAATGGAGAAAGAATAGTATTTTCAACAGACAGTACTGGGACAACTGAATAGCCACATGCAAAACAATAAAGTTGGACCCATCCCTCACACCATATATAAAAACTCAAAATGGATTAATGACTTAAATGAAAGAGCTAAAACTATAAAACTCTTAGAAGAAAACATAGGCATAAATCTTTGTGACCTTGGATTAGGCAATGGTTTCTTAGCTATGACACCAAAAGCATAAGCAACAAAAGAAAAAAAATAGAGCTGGTTGCAGTGGCTCACACCTGTAATCCCAGCACTTTGGGAGGCCAAGGCTGGAGGATCGGTTGAGGCCAGGAATTCAAGACCACCCTAGGCACATAGCAAAACCCCGTTGCTCAAAAAATGAGTTAAAAAAAAAAAGGAAAAAAAGACAAGTTGGACTCAATCAAAATTAAAACCTTTTTCTGCTTCAAAGGTCACTACCAAGAAAGTAAAAAGACGACATATAGCATGGGAGAAAAATATTTGCAAATCATATATCTGACAAGTGACTAGTATCCAGAATATAAAAAGAACTCTTACAACTCAACAATAAAAAGACAAATAACCCAAGTTAAAAATGGGCAAAAGAACTGCATAGACATTTCTCCAAAGTTATAGAAATGGCCAGTAAGCACGTGAAGAGATGCCCAACTTCATTAGTCATTAAGGAAATGCAAATCAAAACCACGATGAGATACCACTTCTCACTAGGATGGCATTCTTTTTTTTTTTTTTTTTTTTAACAATAACAAGTGCTGGTGAGGATGCTGGAGAAATTAGAACCTTCATACATTATTCATGGGAATGTCAAATGGTGCAGCCACTTTGAAAAACAGTTTGGCAGTTTCTCAAAAAGTTAATAGAATTACCATATGATCCAGCAATTCTATTCCCGTGTATATATCCAAGAGAATTAGAAATAAATGTCCATGGCCGGGCGCTGTGACTCACGCCTGGAATCCCAGCACTTTGGGAGGCCAAGGCGGATGGATCACCTGAGGAAGAAAATTCAAGACCAGCCTGACCAACATGGAGAAACCCCGTCTCTACTAAAAATACAAAATTAGCCGGCCGTGGTGGTGCGTGCCTGTAATCCCAGCTACCTGGGAGGCTGAGGCAGGAGAATCACTTGAACCCGGGAAGGCGGAGGTTGCGGTGAGGTGAGATCGCACCATTGCACTACAGCCTGGGCAACAAGAGTGAAACTGTCTCGAAAAAAAAAAAAAAAAAAGAAAGAAGGAAATACATGTCCACACTCTTAACACTAAAAGATTAACATCTGGCCTAACAGAAGGGCTTCTGAGACCCTGCTCCAGCTCTATGGCCAACTTGCAATAGGTTGGTTTTCTGTGCCTTTAGTATTGCTCATTATTTAAAACATCCTTCATGAAGACATACCAAGCAGGGGCACTGAGGCAGAAGCCCAGTACAGACCAATGGAAGGAAGGTAGTTGTGACTCACACACTTTTAAGTTGCTCAGAACTCACCCCAATAACATGCCCAAACTAAATCACAGTCCTACTCTATGAGACCACTGAACTATCTTCAGACTAGAATGGGATTTGTCAAGAATGCAACATGCACACCAATGTTCATAGAATCATTATTAATAGGCAAAAAGTGGAAACAATCGAAATGCCCATCAACTGATGAGTGGATAAACAACATGTGGTATATCTATAAAACTGAATATTTGGCCGTAAAAAGGAATGAAATACTGATACATGCTACAACATGGATGAACCTTGAAAACATGTTAAATGAAAGAAGCCAGCCACAAAAGGCCACATTTCATTTACATGTTATATGAAATGTCCAGAATAAGCTAATCCATACAGACAGTAAATTAGTTGCCAGTGACTAGGGGGAACAGAAAATGAGAAGTGACTGCAAAGAGGTATGGAGTTTCTTTCGGGGTGATGAAAATGTTCTGTAAGTAGACAGTAGTAATGACTGCACAACCTTGTGAACATACCAAAAAGCATCAAATCACATACTTTAAAAGGGTGAGTTTTAAGATATGTGAATTATATCTCAATTTTTAAAATTTTAAAAAAGAACCAACTGTTTCAGCAGTAAAATGTTCCTCAAGAGAAATGGAATGAGTTCCTTAATACGAGCAATGGTTAGTTTTCACAAGATCAGGATTCATAATGTTCTTAGCAGATTTGAATTTTTTCCAGGTATATCATGTACAAAGTTAACAAGGAGATTTTCACAAAGACTGGCTATGATCACCCCACCCTAATACATCAACTATTTTCATTTTTTCCACGTTACCTTCCAGTGTATACATATATATATTTTTTTGCATGTCTATATTCCGTGCAAATAATCAGTGCAAATTTTCCCATATTGCTATGTGGCTTTCAAGATTATCACTGAATGGTTGGAAATAGTTCACATTTATAATTTTCTTAACTCTTTCTCCTCCACTCCTTGCCTTGAAGTGTTAGATATTTACTTCCAATTTTTCACTGTTTCTAGATAACGCTGCAACACACATACAACATAAAAAGCTAACATAGCTCTTTTCTTCTCTTGGATCACTGAATTAAGATTTCCAGGGGAAAAAAATACTAAATCATTTTTATGACACCCAGTTGCCTTCCAAAATCATTATAAATTTACACTGCTATAAGCAATACAAACTTGCTATATTAGGCATTACCATTTTTTATACTTTTTATGCAATCAGTGTTAAAATATTTTATCTTTTTTGATCTTCCTTTAGTCTTAAAAGTCTTTGGTTATTCAAGGGCTTCCAAAATCCACAAGCACTTGCTTTTAAAATGCATGCCAATGTTCACAGCAGCATTATTCATAATAACCAATCATAATGGCCAAAAAGTGGAAACTGTCTAAATGTCTATCAACGGATGAGCGGATAAACAACTCAAAAGACTTGTTGTCTTTTTCAGTTGTTTATGATTAAAGAGAATGAAGAATTATTTTAAAACACAGTATTCTTACTCTAAGGAAAGTAGAACCTATAATAAATTGTTCTGTTTTCCTTAAAAATATATATGCATGTAGTCACCTTGTCAACTGCTAGGAAAATAACAAAGCTTAGGATTCAATCACAACAAAAAGGAAAAGAAAAAACCTACAATAACTAGTCACTTTTTTTTTTTTTTTTTAAAAAAGACATGCTCTTGCTCTGTCACCCAGGCTGGAATGCAGTAGTACAATCACAGCTCATTGCAGCCTCAAACTCCTAGATTCAAGCAATCCTTCTGCCTCAGCTTTCCTAAAAGCTTCCTAAAGTGCTGGGATTACAGACATGAGCCACTGCACCCAGCCTAGCCACTCTTTTTTTTCTTGTTTTGAGACAGAGTCTCGCTCTGTCGCACAGGCGGAGTACAGTGGCATGATCTCGGCTCACTGCAACCTCAGCCCCCTGGGTTCAAGCAATTCTCCCACCTCAGCCTCCTAAGTAGCTGGGACTACAGGCACATGCCACCACGCCCGGCTAATTTTTGTATTTTTAGTGGAGACTGGGTTTCACCATGTTGGCCATGCTGGTCTTGAACTCCTGACCTCAAGTGATCCACCCACCTAGGCCTCCCAAAGTGCTGGGATTACAGGCATGAGCCACCACGCCCAGCGAGCCTAGCCACTTTTAGATTTCAACACCAATAATAATTATAAGGACACACGCTAAAATGTCTCTCTTGACTATCAGGCTCCAGTCAAGAGAATGACCAAGAACAATTGCTATGGTTTGAATGCGTCCTCTCAAAATTTCATGTTGACACTTAATCCCCACAGTAGTGATATTAAGAGGTGGGGCCTTTGGGGGAAGTGATTAAGCCATGGGGACTCTGAACCAGCGCCTCATACAAGTGCTGGAGGGAACTAGCTTAGGCCCTTTTCACCTTCCATTTCTCTGCTATGTGAGGATGCCATATGAAGGCTCTCACCAGACGCCAGTGCCAGTGTCTTGATCTTGGACTTCCCAGCCTCTAGAACTGAGAAATAAATTTCTTTTTTTTTTTTTTTTTGAGACAGAGTTTCACTCTTGTTGCCCAGGCTGGAGTGCAGTGGCGCAATCCCGGCTCACTGCAACCTCCACCTCATGGGTTCAAGAGATTCTCCTCCCTCAGCCTCCTGAGTAGCTGGAATTACAGGCGCCCACCACCACAGCTGGCTAATTTTTTGTGTTTTTAGTAGAGACAGGGTTTCATCATGTTGGCCAGGCTGGTGATCTTACCTCAGGTGATCCACCCGCCTCGGCCTCCCAAAGTGCAGGGATTACAAGCATGAGCCACAATGCCCGGCCACCTTCTATTATTTTTAAGTTACCCAGTCTGTGGTATTTTGTTACAGCAGCACAAACAGACTAAGATAACAACCAAGAGCCTACAGAAAGAATTGTTATAATAAAAATACTGGTTAAGCACAAAGTGCCAGGTACTGTTAGAAACATTTATATATTTATTAGTACAATAATTCTTACTAAGTACCATATGAGTTAGAAAATATCCCCATTTTACTTTGAAAAAAACTTAGGGTTAAAGAGGATAAGTTACTTGTCCAAAACAGATCCAGGAAGAGCACATTGTTCTTAACCTTTGCATTAACAGATGCTATCCTCCCCACAGCATGTGAATTCAAAAAGAAGCACTCCCACCTCCGAATGACAGCAAGGGAGGGTTAAATAGGATGACACGAAGATCTCACCGTCCATTACAGCAGTGTTTATGTTCAGTCATAGCACTAATGTAACACAGGGAGAGGGTTTGGCATCCCCATTATCCATCAACATCTAAGCTAGACCACAAACCTCTAGTTCCTCCTTCGAAAGCCTGCCACCACCCCCTCCTTTTTTTTTGAGACAGAGTCTCACTTTGTCGTCCAGTGACGTGATCTCAGCTCACGGCAACCTCCGCCACCTAAGTTCAAGTGATTCTCCTGTCTCAGCCTCCCAAGAAGCTGGGAATTCAAGCACCCACCACCACGCACAGCTAATTTTTCTGTATTTTTATTAGAAACGGGGTTTCACCATGGTGGCCAGACTGTCAGTCTGGAACTCCTGACCTCAAGTGATCCACCTCCCTGGGCCTCCCAAAGTGCCGGGATTACAGGCATGAGCCACCACGCCCAGCCAACTGCCACCCCTTTTTATCCCTCTGTATAGACATCCTAGAGTTGCCAATGTCTGTGATGTTGAAAGAAAGAATGCTTCTTATTGTCTCTTCTTTTCAGTGTTGGTATGATTTGGGTTTCTTGTTTGTGTGTTCTGAGAAAAACAAAAAGAGATGAAAAGACAATACTTTAAAAAACTGTATTCAATCCTAGTGATCCACTTCCACATGTTTGAGTTTAATAGTACTCTTTATATGTCAAGCAAATCTTAATGAATTGAAAGTTTACTGTCAATAACATATACATACACACATATATATATATTTAGAGAAAAGGGCTCATTTGAAAAATATATACCACTTTATAAGTAACTACGCATCTAATTACACTCTACAGGTTTGCTCTTAAAAGTTTATGTAAGGCTGGGTGTGGTGGCTCACGCTTGTAAACATAAAATTTTATATTGAAAATAAAAGCAGGGGTCAGGCATGGTGTCTCATGCTTGTAATCCCAGCACTTCAGGAGGCCGAGGAAGGCAGATCACTTGAGCCCAGGAGTTCAAGATCAGCCTGGACAACATGGCATGACCTCGTTTCTACTAAAAATACAAAAAAAATTAGCCGGGCATGGCAGCGGGTGCCTGTAATCCCAGCTTCTCGGGAAGCTGAGGCATGAGAATGGCATGAGCCCAGGAGGTGGAGCTTGCAGTGAGCCGATATCGTGCCACTGCACTCCAGCCTGGGCAACAGTGCGAGACTCCATCTCAAAAAAAAAAAAAAAAAAAAATTAGCTGGGTGTGGTGGCACACGCCTGTGGTCCCAGGTACTCTGGAGGCTGAGATGGGAGGATCACTCGAACCTGGGAGGTCGAGGCTGCAGTGAGCTATGCTAGCTAGCACCACTGCATTCCAGCCTGGGTAACAGAGCAAGACCCTGTTTTGAAAATAAATAAGTAAAAGCAGGAAAACCCACAGAACAGTTCAGTCTGTTTTGTGGGTTTTCTTGGTTGATGATATTTTAAATTGTGTTTAGATTTGCTAATAATTAAAATTAACCAGCCCCTCACAATGGTTAAGAATGCTTCAGGAAAGATAGTGTGTAATCCCCATAAAAACCAAGAGAAAACGCAGACAAGTTCCTTTCCCGCTTCATCCAGCTCCTACTTAGTCAGGGCTGGTATTTAACTAGGGTCTCTCCTCACCTAAATGTCTATGCTCAGACTTCGGTGATCCTAGTAACGCAATAACTTCTACAAATCAGCATGATTCTCTGTGAGAATTTCACTTATATTATTTGTTAAAACTTGGGAGGTGTGTGGTACAGAGGGTACACAAATGCACGAATAGGACATGGGCTTCAAATGCTTTGATGAACATTTCCATGGAAATTTTACAGATCTGTATGTACTGTGAACAGAAATGAAAAGTCAAGGAAGCTTCACCCCCACAGTCCTAACCAAATCCAATCATCATTACTCTCACAGAAGAAATAATCAATGAGAAAACAAATCATTAAAGGATATCCAAAATAAGCTAAGTCAAATAAAACATCTTATATTTAATTACCTGAGGCTTCAAATAACCTAGGTATCAACACTCATTTCCTAAAATACCCTCCTAGTCTAACCACAACAAAGTAAAAAACTCAGTTAAACTAAGATAAAAATAAAACATAAAATTAAATAAAAATGAGCTCACACACTTGGACTTATTTTCTATATAATAAAATGCTTGTCAAAAATTGCTTGAATCCAGGGCATCTAACATATTGACAGGAAAATCACGAGACCAATAAAAACCAACGGTAACACTCACTATTTGTTTTTTCAATGATGCTGCTACCTTCATCTCTGAATAACTTGGGACCAGAAGACCAGCCTGCTGGAGCAGGAAGAACTCCAATCTAGAAGTCAGGGACATGGGATCTAGTTCAGTTGATGCTACTAGCTAGGTAGGTGGCCCTAAATAGGTCATTTACTTTGTTTTTTCTCTTTCTCAGGGTTTACTTTCCTTAATCAAGGGGCTGACTAGACCAGTTTTTCCTAAACTCACCTAACCATAAGAAGTACCCCAGGGAAACTGTAAACGACATGGATTCCAAAAGCTCTTTCCCAATTCAGAGGTCTCTGGGTGAGGCCTAAGACCTTACTCTTATTAAGTGACCCAAGTAAATCTTTTTTTTTTTTTTTTTTTTTTTTTTTTTTGAGATGGAGTTTCGCTCTTGTTGCCCAGGCTGGAATGCAATGGTGCGATCTCAGTTCACCACAGCCTCCGCCTCCCGGGTTCAAGCAATCCTCCTGCCTCAGCCTCCCGAGTAGTTGGGATTACAGGCATGTGCCACCATGCCCGGCTAATTTTGTATTTTCAGCAGAGACAAGGTCTCTCCATGTTGGTCAGGCTGGTCTTGAATTCCCTTCCTCAGGTGATCCACCCGTCTCAGCCTCCCAAAGTGCCTGGATTACAGGCGTGAGCCACCGCACCCAGCCCCAAGTAAATCTTATCATCAGGTAAATCTGGCAAACACTGGACTAGATAATCCTCAAGCTGCCTGCCTTCCAGCTCTGATTCTGTATTATCTGGATATTTCATAATAGTGTTCTAAAAACACACAAAATTACAATCATTTAATGTATGTTACTGCACAAAAATAAATGTACAACATCATGAAAACAAATATATCAGCTCCCGGTGACACCATTCATACCTTTAAACACTAATAAAAACATCTTCTGGCCAGGCATGGTGGCATGCACCTGTAATCCCAGCACCTTGGAAGGCTCAGATGGGAGGATTGCTTGAGGCCAGGAGTTCAAGACCAGGCCTGGGCAACATAGCAAGACCCTAACAAATACGTATAAAATAATTAAAAAAAAAAAAACAACTTCCTAGATTCAAGGCAAATACAACACTTAATTTGGTGAGAAAAAAATGTGTTTAATATTAAGCTCTCAGTATATTAATATGGAGAGATTTGCTGAGTTATAGAAAGAAATTACCTAATATCTTAGGTGAAAACTGTACAGTGCATTCTTTCCTTGAAGAACAACATTATCTGGTGATCCCACCTGTTACTAAGAAAAAGCTAGAAAAGAGGCTGGCTAAGTCCCTAGCAGCTGTAAATAGCATGCTCTGCAATACTGGAATGCAACTGTTATAAAGCTAAAAGAAAAACAATGAAACAGTAACTGGTTACAAATTCTTCAAATGCACCTCAGCATAGACAACTTGGTGGCCCAATCTTTTGTGAGGACGGTTTTGTCAGGTGAATGGAGAGCCTCTAACATGCTTTCCACACACAAAGGTGGCAGCCTTTCATTTTGCTTTTCCTTCCCCTACACTACATTGCTCTAGTTTTTCTAAAATTCTCATAATCCTCTAGCGGTATTTACTGAATTTATTCTCTTATTTAGACTTGTAAGTAACTACAAAACTAACACACACAAAAAAAGAGAAAGGTTCCTTGCATGGAATACAGAGAGCAGAGTTGTGTAAAGGATGCTCATTAGCAACCAGTTATACAGATAGATTCAAAAATGTAAATAAAAACCAAGATTAAAACACAAAACTGAGTTTGACCAATTACTATGTGACCCTTGCAACAGAAACAGATAAGAAACCAATAGTGAAACATGATTACATAATTTAGCTATGGGAAAAACAGCTGTAGAGCAGCCCATGGAAGAAGCACATTAGTACAGCACATTGTTAGTACAAAACTTTCCAAAATGAATCTTGATGCTGGATATGCAAATGCTGTCAACACAATTCTTTAGACTTAGGATCACACAGGCCAAAAAACTGTTTTAATGGCAAAAAAGGGGACACCAGTTGTTATGCACAACACCACAGAAGCACTGGGTTTAAAGCCATATATATGTTTAAACACATTTCTTTTCTATTGCCCAACAGGCTCTGAGGCAGTGTTGAGACAAAAGACTAAACCTCACACTCAGTAAAATAGAAATGTCAAACCAGGATCAAGGAGAGCAGCATAAGAGAGAGGTTAAGAGAGCAGGTTCTGGTGTCACAAAGACCTAAGTTAAAACCCCAAGGCACAAATTACTGTGTGACCTTGAACAAATCATTTCACCCAAGTCAATTTCCTCATTTGTAAAATGGAGATAATACTTCATTCAGCCATTTGAGATTTAAACAAGGTGATTCATATAAAGCCCCAGCCCCTGTACCTGGCACAGAATACATAGGTAAGTAATAATCATCACCATCATCATGATCAAACTGTAAAATCAGCACAATTACTGTCTCAAATAAAGCCAAGAGTTTCCTGGTAGCCAGAGAAAAAAGACAATCACAGTTCGAATCCAGCCTGGGCAACACAGTGAGACCTTGTCTCTTGGGGAAAAAAAAAAGGAAGAAGAAAGAAGACATTCACATATACTAATATAAAGGTGGCTTTTCTTCCCACATTCAGAACATTCTATTTCCTCCTCTTTAATAAAGAACAACTCAGACTAATTCTCTACAGCTATATACAGGAAAGTCTTCAATACAGAAGTTCTTAACTAGGAAGGACAATTTTGTTTCTTTTTTTTTTTTTTTTTTGAGACAGGGTCTTTGTCCCCAAGGCTGTAGTGCAATGGCACCATCTCAGCTCATTGCAATCTCCGCCTCCCAGGCTCAAGGAATCCTCCCACCTCAGGCCTCCCAAGGAGCTGGGACCACAGGCACACACCACCACGCCCAGCTAATTTTTGTATTTTTTGTAGGCACGGGGTGTCACCAGGTAGCCCAGGCTAGTCTCAAACTCTTGGGCTCAAGCCATCTGCCCACCTTGGCCTCCCAAAGTGCTGGGATTACGGGCATGAGCCACCATGCCTAGCCAAAAGGATAATTTTCAATGAGATCTGGATCTATGATCTAACTGGTCTGGGGAGTTACAATTGGTATTGTTGGGGTTGTTTGTTTTGTTTTGGGTTTTCTTTTGTAAATGAGGAATTTAGGAGAGAGGTAGAGGAAGAAAAAGTCTTCAAACCATTTAATACGCCGTTATTCAGTAGAGAAAAATAAAAGGTTGATTGTTAACACTGTCATAATTGATTTAGAAAATGAAGACATGAAAATCAGGTAAAATGTTTTAACTCAGACATAAAAAAAAGAACCAATATAACTGACAGTAAGGTTAAAGTAACCAAACTGATAATAAAAAAAAAATCCAAGAAAGGGAAGGTGAAAAAATCAATTATTCCCATAGTTTAAGTAACAAATATCCATTCTGTCCTTTTAAGATCATGGCTTAAATTTCCCATTTGCAACCAACTATCTTTGCCTGCTCTTCCGAATATGCCACTAGCTTGAATGTATGCCTTTAACTTGGACTATCTTCTTAACCAAATACATCATTCTAGTTAAAGACAAAAATTAAATCTTGTGCATTATTATTTTTCTAGAATTCATAGGGAAATATTAGTAATTCCATCATTTAAAGAATACATTTCAAAAAAATACTGAGTGGTAATTCTGAAGGAAAAACAGCTCCTCATGAAAATAAATCCATCATAGAAAAATTGTTCAAGGTCAATCAAGCACAAATTTCAAAATAATACGAATTTTGAAATTTTGAGTAAGGGCGGCATTAAGGAGCTGTGAGGTGAAAAACTAAATTCTCAAGGTAAAAAGATATAGAAGTGAAGAAAAGACTTCAGCAAGAAGTACAAACTAGTGTTATCAATTCATGAGTAAATGTGCAAAATTCTAAGTAATAAAAAACTCATGCAATAGATCATCTGTATCAATATTGGGAAATTTAGCAATAGAAAGACTTTCAGGGGCATTTCCAAACATCCCAATATATCTTTCTGTATTACAGATATTACTGCAAAATGAAAGAAGTTAGATGCTCTAATTAACAACTTAGTGGTGAAAGAATGACACCCCCAAAAGAAGCTATGTCACCTAGAGATACTGGACATTTTCTTTTTACTATTTAAGAAACCAGAAGAACCTCCTTCTGCTTTTAAATGCAAATTTACCAATCTTCAAAGCACATTCTGCCCTGTTCCTTTACATAAAACTTACTACAATGTGATCCTGTTCTAGAGAGGACATCATTCAACCAGAAAAATGGCATTAGGACAACCATACACTCTTTGAGTATGTTCAGATCATCACATCCAGTGAGCTGTCACCAGGTACATATCACCTTTTTCAGAGGAGAGACTACTACCAGTGATCAAAATTCTATTTGAAGAAGGGAAACTTGGTTTTGAGGACTATCAGGTCACGAAAGGTTACATACACATTTCAATACCTGCACATGCCCTAGCATCTTAATAATTCAAAAACTCAGCATCCCTTGGTTTTCAAATAACACTATTTACTGGAAACATTCAGAACTTCAATAATAATAGTACAAGTTGCTATTTACCTGTTCATTATATGGTCAAACGAACAAATATAAATGATGTACTGTATAAGCATCTTGGAACGGTGAGAGTTGACGGAGACATACTTCAACTTAATGTATCGGATGATCAAGGTGGAAAAAAAGAACACGTTAAACTGAAAGAGTCAAGAAATAAATAAGCCCCAATAGAGGGATTCATCCCACTGTTAAAGGTTCAAGCTTTCTGCCAAAATCACACTTGGTTTGGGCAACTGTAACTGTTGTCAGATAAATGTAAACAAATAGTGAAGAAGGCTACGGGACATACAGCCTCTTCACAAAAGGCTGGCTAACCTCTAATCTTTCCAAGTTACATATTAATAACTTTAATTTAAAACAACAACAACAACTCTTTTCTAGCTAAGAGAAGTCACATCCAAAATGGGTGATTTTTTTTGGCGATACTTAGTTTACCCCACCCCTTACCCTCAAAGGCAGACCTCAATCTTCCCCACAAGTTGCCAGGCAAGCAGGAACAGAAGCTATAGAAAATGTACTTCGATCTTTGAAAGGCCAGTGTGGATGTTTAAGGAGGAGAAAAAGGACTGCACTGGGTTTACAAAAGCTAGTTACATGTTTTCCAAATGCCTGTGATTAAAGTCCACCAAATGGCATGGCATCAGCCAGCCCCTACCTTCACCTACTCACTGAGAACCCAGACAATGAAGGCGGCAGACCCCTCAAGAACAGAGGCCCACACACGGGACCAAAAAAAAAAAAATAAATAAGTGTCATGCACAGAAATTACACAGCCTGCTTTTTGATAATGGGAAAAAGTAAGTGATGGCAGTCTTGTGCTTTAAAATAACCTAGTAGCACTTACTAGTTCAATCCATCCCCAAATCCACGCCACCCTTTCAACTTTGCAATTAAGAGGGAGAAGGAGAAATCCCGGTCAACTCGCCTTGGGGGGTTGGTCTGAGGGTAGAGGACTCAAGTAGGGAGGAGGATGGAGAGAGAAAGAGCAAGCCAATGAAAGAGACCAAAATTTCCCACCTTTCTTAAATTCTTCCAGCATAGCGTCCAACTTGGTGTCATTGAAAACAAAGTGCAAGGGGTGGTTATAAAATTTGGTGATGGTTTTCAGGGGGGTACAGTCATCGGGATCCACGAAGGCCAAGTCTTTGACAAACAGCAGGTCCACGATATTGGAGCGCTCCCCTTCAAACACTGGAATGCGGGTGTAGCCGCTCTCCATGATCTCAGACATGGTGTTGAAGTCCAGGATGGCTTCGCCGGTGATCATGAAGCAGTCCCGGAGTGGGGTCATCACGTCCTCCACCGTCTTGGTGCGGAGCTCCAGCGCCCCTTGGATGATGTTCAGCTCCTCCTTAACGAGGTCGTTGTAGGGATCGGTGACCCGGAGCATCTCCAGCAGTTTTTCCCGGTTATAGACGGTGCCTATCTCCTGGCCCAGGACGCAGTCCAGCAGCTTGCTGACCGGGTAGGAAGCGGGGAAGGTCATCATCATGAAAAACTTGGTGAGGAAGATGGTGTTGGCCCCCACAGCCAGGCCATGCCGGGAGCAGATGGCCTGGGGCACGATCTCTCCGAAGATGACGATACCGATGGTGGAGACTACCACGGCCACGAGGCCCGAGCCGGCGATGTCGTCGAGCAGGATGGTGAGCGTGGTGTTGACCAGCACGTTGCCCAGCAGCAGTGAGCACAGCAGGTAGTTGCCCTGCCTGCGCACCGGCTCGATGCGCTTGGCGTAATTCTTCTCCTTCTCCGTGCCGCAGTTCTGCACGATGCGCAGCTCCATCGGGTCCAGGGCCATGAGCCCCAGGTTGAGGCCGCTGAACATGCCCGACAGGCACAGCAGCAGCGAAATGAAGATCACCTGCAGCCAGAAGGGCAGCAGGAACTTCTTCTCTTCGCCTACGATCATCTTGGTGTCCTCGCCGTCGTGGTAAATCCAGGTGGTCTCGGCCCACGGGGGCGGCGGGAGCCCGGCCACCCCCGAGCCACCCTTGCCCCCGACGGCGCCACCCGTGGACCCCGAGCCGCCGGCGCCCAGGGCGGGCGTGGAGAGCGACGTGCACAGGTAATAGGACTTGCTCTTCTCCATCTTGCGTAGCGGTTTGATCTCGATCTCGATGATGCCCGAGGTGCGGCGGTTGAGAATGATGTGGGGCAAGATGATGATGTCTGAGGTGCGGATGCCGCATCGCTGGGGGCCGCTGTCCGGCTCTGGCGGCGCGGGGCCCCCCAGCCCGCGCTCCCCCGGGCTGTGGCGCCGCCGCTCGTGCTCGGTGAAGGCGATGCGGGACCACGTCTCGTTATTGATGTTCTGCCCGTACACCCGCAGCTTGACCCGGGTCCGTTCGCTCACCCGCAGCGCCCCCCCTTCCATGAACGACACGTCGTTCGTGTCCTCCAGTCGCAGCCCGATGATCACCGTCTCCTCATTCTCGCCCACCGCTGCGCAGCCGCCCGCACCGCAGCAGCAGCTCAGCAGGAGCAGCGGCAGCAGCCGCCCCGCAGCCGCCTGCAGGATCCCCCGGCCGCGAGCGCTGAGGCTGCGGCGCGCCGCCATCTTCCAAGTGGGCAGTGCGGCGGCTGCCTGCCCGCCCGCCATCTTTACTTTGGGTTCACAAGCGCCACAGCCAATCATAGGGTGGCTGCTCCAGCTGCGGCTTCATCCTTTCAACCCGGCGGCGCGAGCGCAGGTACCGGCCCCTGGGCGAGACTGCAACGGAGCGTCCGCGGCCAGTGCTCAGCAGTTCGCCTCCCTGACTGACACTGACTCCACCTCAGCCAGCTGAGGAACCCCGAGGCTCGCGGGAGGGAAAGAGGGAGGGAGAGGAGCGCCGGCTGCTCCCGCGAGAGGCAGGCCGACCAGCCAATCACAAGCGGGTGCCCGCCCTCCCAGCCAGGGGGCTGGAATGGGGGCGTGACCGTGTGCCGCTCCGCGGACCAATGGCAAGGTAAGTGGGTGGGGCGACGAGAGCCACCGTCCCCGTCTGCACGCCAAGTTTCCAACTGAAAGGCGCGTGACTCTTGTGTATGTGCGAGGGGAGGGGGCGTGGCCATCTGGGACTCGAGAGCCAGTCAAAGATGAGAGCTGAAGAAAAAGGGGCGTGGCATCCGTCCTGCTGCCAATGGGAAGGAGCCGTCCCTGGGGCCCGCGCTCCCCAGGGGCCCCTGTAGTAGATCCCGGAGCCTGGACCGGCCAGGTTTGGACTAAAGCCCTGCGGCGCAAGGCGGCAGGTTCCCGGTGCACCGGTTACTGGCTCTCCAGTTCTCAATTCGTAGGCACAAAGCCGCGCGCCCTCCTGCCCCGGAAGCCCGAGAAGCCAACTAGAGGCGGCTTGGGATGCACACAGCCTAAAAAGCCGGGGCACCGGCCGCTGTCCCCAACTCCACCTGCGCGGCGCTCCGCCGGGGTAAGCGGCGTCGGTGGCCCCGGCACAGCTGCGGACCAGCAGTCCTCGCGCCTCGAGACTCCTAGGGTACGGGCTCTCTGCGGCTCGCGATCACGTGGCGCCACCTGCGGGCAGCATGAGCGCCCTGCAACGCTTTCCAGGTCGGCGGCGTACCCCAAAAGGTGTGCAGAAGTTACGGATGGAGCGGTCAGGGGGACAGTTCCCCAAATTTCCTAGTCATAGAACCCCTACATATTATTGCTAGGAGTATATACTTCCTAGACCTTTTCCCATATTTACAGAGTGGGAAGGGCCCCGAATCTGTATTCCCAGCAGGAATTCAGGCAAGTTAAGGAAATGGGAGGGGGCAAGCATCCTAAACAGACCCACAGAGGCTCATTCTTAATCACACTGACCAAACTCTGCTAGGGTCTTAGGTCACTCAAGAGCAAAAAGTTCTGGAAACCTAGCTCCCCAGTACTCCCAACGTCACCTGGAGGTGACGAGGTAGCAGAGTAGCTGCCAAATTGGTCTTTTCCTTGAAACTTAAAACATTCAGGCCGGGCGTTGGTGGCTCACGCTTGTAATCCCAGTACTTTGGGAGGCCGAGGCGGGCGGAGCATGAGGTCAGGAGATCGTAGACCACGGTGAAACCCCGTCTCTACTAAAAATACAAAAAATTAACCGGGCATGGTGGCGGGCGCCTGTAGTCCCAGCTACTCGGAGAGGCTGAGGCAGGAGAATGGCGTGAACCCGGGAGGCGGAGCTTGCAGTGAGCCGAGATCGCGCCACTGCACTCCAGCCTGGGTGACACAGGGAGACTCCGTATCAAAAAAAAAAAAAGAAAAAAAAGAAACTTAAAACATTCAAAATGTTTAATGTTTCTCTACCTCTTTTGTATTCTACAAGCACATCCCGCGCCCCCCTACCACCGCTTTTGTAAATGCATCAAACGTCTCTGATTAATTTCTGGTATGAGTAATTTCTGGAATGATTGCAGTGGCCTCCTAACTGATCTTTCCTCTTCGATACCTGTTCCTTTCCCTTCTCAACCCAGCAGCAAGTGATCTTGTCCATGAGATTCTGTTGCTCCCTTGGCTGAAACGCCTCCATTGGCTTCCCATCTCATCCTAGAGAAAGCCAAAGGACCTACAACATCCTACTAGGCTCGAAGGTCTGCTACCTCCCGTTACTTCTCGGACCTCATTACCTGCTGCTCTCCTAGTGGAAGGAGACTGATAATAAGCCAAATTAATTTCTCTCCAAACTGTTTCTCCATCACTCCAGGGATTTTCCCTTGCGAGCCTTTGCACTTACTGTTTGTTTCCTGGGCTTGGGACTTTCTTCCCCCAGATGTCAGCATAGCCTTGTTGTTCACCTCCTTTAGTGCTTTGCTCAAAAGCCATCTGATTTTAAACTTGCGGAAAACACTCCCTCTATGCCGCGTCTACTTTATTTTTCTTGAAAGCAAAGATCACTTTCTAATACACTATGTAAATTATTGATTTGGTTTGTTATCTGTCTTCTTCCACTAGAACTTAAGCTCCCTGAGGGCAGAAAGTGTGTCTGTTTGTTCACTGCTGTATCACAGGGGCCTAGAAGAATAGTAGATATATAGATAGATAGATGTATATTATATACATATATATTTTATATATATATATATATATATATATATATATATTTCTTTTTTTTTTTTGAGAGAGAGAGATGGAGTCTCATTCTGGCACCCAGGCTGGAGTGCAGTGGTGCGATCTCGGCTCACTGCAACCTCTGCCTCCTAGGTTCAAAGGATTCTCTCTTGCCTCAGCTTCCCAAGTAGCTGGGACTACAGGCATGCACCACTTCGCCCAGCTAATTTTTGTATTTTTAGTAGAGACGAGATTTCACTATATGTTGGCTAGGCTGGTCTCAAACTCCGGACCTCAGGTGATCCACCCATTTGGGCCTCCCAAAGTGCCTGGATTACAGGCATGAGCCACCACACCTGGCCCTAGATATTCTTTATTCTTTTTTTAAAACAAACAAACAAAACAGGGTCTCGCTCTGTCATCCAGGCTGGAGTGCAGTGGCACAATCATGGCTCACTGCAGTCTCCACTTCCTGGGCTCAGCCTCCCAAGTAGCTGGGACTACCGGCACATGCCACCACATCTGCCTAATTTTTTTTTTAATTTTTAGTAGAGACAGGGTTTCGCCATGTTCCCAGGCTGGTCTCAAACTTCTTGCCTCAAGAGATCCTCCTTACTTGGCCTCCCAAAGTGCTGGGATTACATGTATGAGCCACCAGGCCTGGCCAATGATAGATATTCAAAACAATATATGTAGAATGTTAAATAAATGAAAGTATTTATTCTGATTATTTTAAACAATGTCCTGAGTCTAGTTTCCAGCCCTTCCATTTCTGATGCTGCTTCCCCTACCTCAAGTCTCATACTGCTATATTTGAAAAGTAAGTTCAGATGAAGAAAACCACCCACAGGCTCAGGCTTGGCATGCATTTATAAGAATGGCATTATGGAAGTTTCCCAAGAAAAAAATGATTTTTAAGGATATTTGGCAAAGGTTAAGGATAGACATGATCCTTCTAACTCAGTGGATTGAAAATAAACCATTTTAACTTCATAAAAAGTGGAAATACTACAAATGTTTTTAAGGGAGCTAAGAGAGAAGACAGGCTCTCAAATGCTGAAAGTACATGTGTGGAATAGGAGTGAAGTCGGGGGAGGAGGAGCTTGCCAACCCTACAGACATTTCCTGTGCATTTCAGAGAAAGCTACAACAGGACAATGTGACATTCAGCAATTTAGAAGCAAGTTAGAAATTCAGGACTTCATAGAAGAAAAGGTCAGAAAGGACACCCAGACAACTTACAATATTAAAAAAAAAAAAAAACTCAAATTCACACAGAGGGTTGCTGAATGATCCTGGATGGTTGGTGGGGGTTTATACTCTTCATGTATACTCAAGACACACAGAGCAATCTAGATGCCTAAGTCAAGTAATTGTTCCTTAGCAAGAGGGATCTTCAAGTTTGGAGGCTTTTTGGCTTCAGTAGTTTCTCTTCTTTTTTTTTTTTTTTTTTTTTTTTTTTGTGGTGGGGAAGGAGTTTTGCTCGTCGCCCAGGCTAAAGTGCAGTGCAGCAGCATGATCTCAGCTCACTGCAAGCTCTGCTTCCCAGGTTCAAGCAATTCTCCTGCCTTAGCCTCCCAAGTAGCTGAGATTACAGGAGCCTGCCACCACGCCCGGCTAATTTTTTGTATTTTTAGTAGAGACGGGGTTTTGCCATGTTGGGCAGGCTGGTCTCGAACTCCTGACCTCAGGTGATCTGCCTGCCTCGGCTTCCCAAAGTGCTGGGATTACAGGCGTGAACTACCATGCTCGGCCGTTACCCTCTTTAGTGAGTACCTGCTATAGAGCAGGCTTATGGTGACTTCCAGGGACTTCCCAGCCCGTCCATTTGTTTAAATGGAGGGCAAGGTCAACACCTGCCTCTAGGGATCTCTTCTGAAATCTGGAAGAAAAACAAAAATGAGGCTCTTGAATTATGATATTTCACCTCCATAAAGGGGGACAAAAGGCCCAAGATTGCTAAATGGTTGCTGCTGCTGCCCAATCCTATTTAAAGTTCTGACGGTCTGACCTTGGGCAAGTCATTTAGATAAAGCTAGAACCACATACCTTCCCTAACTAACCCTCTCTTTCCAGAATCCTTCACTATATACTAAAAGGGAAAGGTGACTTCAATTTTCTCATCTGCAAAAGATAAGCTCCCAAGTCTGTAGGTTCAGGGATTTAGAAGGCATTGCATCCAGACCTAAAAGTCTTTTAAAGTTTGATAAGTTTGATTTTCTTAAAGATGGCAAGTAAAACACTAAATGTCATTCTACACATTTTGTTGCTGAACATAAAGCTGATTTTATAGAGAAGCTTTTCTTTTTTCCAAAAATTGCCTACTTATAAAAAGTATTCGTATTTATTGCTTCAACGGTATCATTTCTTTTTTCTTTTTAGGGAACAGGGTCTCACTCTGTTGCCCAGACTGGAGTGCAGTGGCACAATCATAGCTCACCGCAGCCTCAAACTCCTGGGCTCAAACTCAAGCAATCTTCCTTCCTCAGCCTCCTGAGTAGCTGAAGCTATAGGCACAAGCTAATGCACCAGGCTCCAACAATGACATTTTAATCACACCAAAACACAAGATCTTGGCTGGCCATGGTGGCTCATGCCTGTAATCCCACGACTTTGGGAGGCTGAGGCAGAAGGATAACTTGAGCCCAGGAGTTCAAGACTAGCCTGGGCAACATAGACACTGTCTACCAAAAATAAAATGAAATGTTAGCTGGGCATGGTGGCATGTTCCTGTAGTCCCAACTACTCAGGAGGCTGACGTGGGAGGATCACTTGAGCCCAGGAGTTCAAGGCTACAGTGAGCTGTGATCGTGCCACTGCACTCCAGCCTGGGTGACAGAATGAGACCCTATCTCAGAAAAAAAAAAAAAAAAAAAAAGGGCTGGGCATGATGGTGCATGCCTGTAATCCCAGCACTTTGGGAAGCTGAGGCAGGCAGATCACCTGAGGTCAGGAGTTCAAGAACAGTCTGGCCAACATGGTGAAACCCTTTCTCTACTAAAAATACTAAAATTAGCCGGGTGTGGTAGTGGGCGCCTGTAATCCCAGCTACTCGGGAGGCTGAGGCAGGAGAATCGCTTGAACCCGGGAGGTGGAGATTGTAGTGAGCCGAGATGGCGCCACTGTACTCCAGCCTGGGTGACAGTAAGACTGTCTGAAACAAACAACCCCACAAGATCTGAGGAAAAACAGGAACTAGGAAAATGCTGGAGTTAACCACACTTTCCATAGAGTCAAATCTGTATCAAATCTGTTCACCCTGAGAGGGATTTCTCTGAAGCAACACTATCCACTTGCTCAAATACATAGAACCCTTTTAGCTAAGACTTTTTCACAACAGTTAAAAAAAAAAGTAACATAAAATCTACAACACCATTTACCATTTCAAGAAGAGTTTTCAGGCCTCTTATTTAGGGCTTTCCCATTTTCCTCCTTTTGCTAAATATTTTCTGAACATTGTTACTAGGTAGGAGAGAAAAATGTGGCTTTTTGATGGAGTTGTGGGAAAAGCATCCTTCTTTGAGAAGGGCCCCCACGCTCCTTGGGTGCCGCTGTTCCTGGGAATGGGGCTGTCAGGTGCCCACATGGGAGGTCTTCTGTGCTCTGAGCTGGCACTCCCTCCTTTTCTCCACTGCCCCCTTGACCCTACTGGGCCACTCAGAGAACAGTTCTGCTGCTAAAAGTCCACTGTTTGCCCTACTCCAGCACCCCTGCTCTCTGACTGCCAAGCCCTGCCACTGTGAGATTTTCTAGAATCTTCTAGAACGCTCTTTATGCCTGTTTCTTCCAGCCTCCTGCTCAGGTGTGGACAAGGGTGTAAGCAAGGCTCTGAGCTTGGTTATCCTTATCACTGTGACTAAAACACTCAACCCAGGCCATGCTTTTAGGGAAGCAGTTCACTTCTATATAGAAGTTTTAAAATGTTGAACCATATGAATCTTACCTATTCAAAAGACTAATTTAAAATTACATTTGGGAAGTGAGAAACAGGTGGGAAATAAAGAAGACTCTGACAGGAGGATGGTAACTAGGAATAAGATGCCAGGAAAACAAATAGGTCCTGAATGTCCAATTCTGAGCCCTCCCATAAGACTCAGACCTGCAGGGTGCTGACACCAGAGCTTCCATTTATGACCCTAGTCATAAAATATCAGCTTTCCCATACCAGCTAAGCTCATTCCCATGGTCTTTTCTCCACAGCCTCTGAAGCTGGGCTAAAATTCTACTCCAATAAGTCAAATCCCCCCATGCAAAGACAAAACAACATGTCAGTGGGAGAAACAAAACAAAACAAAACCGCCCCTATTTTTAGTTCCTCTGAGATACCTATTTTTTTTATATATATATTTTAACACCTCTGCTGGCAGGAACCTATTTATTTTAAATATCACTAAACTGAAGATTTAACTTATTTGTTCCCATTTAGTAATACATTGCCTCAATTTTCTATGTCCTCTTTAAATTTTAAATAAAAAGTTTGTGTTTTCTCACCTCATTTAGTTTTCCCCTTTTATTTGTAAATTTATCAACTAATATATATTGTATATTTAATAACTTCCAAACCGTGTACTAGGCACTGCAGAGCTGCAATATGGAATCAGGGGTTACCCTAAAAACTTACTAGCAAGGAAGTTAGCAAATGTTTACATAAATAACTACATAATACAAGATAGAGCATCAAATGTCTTAAGAAGTAAAATAAAGGGGAAGGATTGAAGAACTTTGAGGAATAGAAGTTTTAGGTATATGCCATGTCAGAGCTATTCCAAAAAGGGTGTCTTAGTGTGCTCACGGTGCCATAACAAAATACTGTAGACAGTGTATCACTCAGGGTTCCCTAGAGGGACAGAACTTTATATATATATATATCCTATATATAGATATATATCCTTTATATAGATATATATCCTTTATATAGATATATATCCTTTATATAGATATATCCTTTTTATAGATATATCCTTTTTATATATATATCCTTTATATATAGAGAGAGCCTTTATATATATATAGCCTTTATATAGAGAGAGAGCCTTTATATATATATAGCCTTTATATATATATAGCCTTTATATATATAGCCTATATATATATAGCCTTTATATATATATATAGCCTTTATATATATATATATATATAAATGAGTTTATTAAGTATTAACTTAAACGATCACGAGGTCCCACAATTGGCTGTCTGCAAGCTTGAGAAGCGAGGAGACCCAATCTGAATCTCCAAATTGAAGAACTTGGAGTCCAATGTTGGAGGGCAGGAAGTATCCAGCACAGGAGAAAGAGGTAGGCTGGGAGGCTAGGCCAGTCTCACATTTTCACGTTTTTCTGCCTGCTTTATATTCGCTGGCAACTGATTAGATTGTGGCCACCAGATTAAGGGTGGGTCTGCCTTCCCCAGCCCGCTGACTCAAATGTTAATCTCCTTTGGCAACACCCTCACAGACCCACCCAGGAACAATACTTTGCATCCTTCAATCAAGTTGACACTCAGTATTAACGATAACAGGGCTGGGTGTGGTGGCTCACGCGTGTAATCCTAGCACTTTGGGAGGCCGAGGCAGGTGGATTGCCTGAGCTCAGGAGTTAGAGACCAGACTGGGCAACACAGTGAAACCCAGTCTCTACTAAAATACAAAAAATTAGCCAGGCGTGGCGGTGTGCACCTGTAGTCCCAGCTACTTGGGAGGCTGAGGCAGGAGAATTGCTAGAACCAGGAGGCGGAGATTGCAGTGAGCGGAGATTGCAGTGAGCCGAGATTGTGCCACTGCATTCCAGCTTGGGCGACAGAGTGAGACTCCGTCTCTCAAAAAAAAAAAACAAAAACAAACAAACCATAACAGACGGGTTGGCCTATACAATGGACACTGTTCTGGAGGCTAAAAGTTCCAGATCAAGGTCCAACAGGGTGAGTTTCCAGGGAAGCCTCTCTTCCTGGCTTGCAGACAGCCACTTTGTCCTCATATGGACTTTCCTCTATATGTGCACAGAGAGAGCCAGCTCTCTGGTGTCTCTTCTTTTTTTTTTTTTTTTTTTTTTTTTTTTTTTTTGAGACGGAGTCTTGCTCTGTCGCCCAGGCTGGACTGCAGTGGCGCGATCTTGGCTCACTGCAAGCTCCACCTCCCGGGTTCACGCCATTCTCCTGCCTCAGCCTCCCAAGTAGCTGGGATTACAGGCGCCCGCCACCACGCCCGGCTAATTTTTTGTATTTTTTTTTAGTAGAGACAGGGTTTCACCGTGTTAGCCAAGATGGTCTCGATCTCCTGACCTCGTGATCCGCCCGCCTCGGCCTCCCAAAGTGCTGGGATTACAGGCGTGAGCCATTGTGCCCGGCCTAGGTGTCTCTTCTTGTAAGGACACTAGGCGCCTGGATCAGGGCCCCACCCTGATGACCTATGTTAACCTTAAGTACTTCCTTAGAGGTTCCATCTTCAAATACAGTCACCTTGTGGGCTTCAATGTATGAATTTTGGGGAGACACGGACATTCGGTCCCCACCAAAGGGATTGAAAGATAAGAAAGAAGCCAGGCACGGTGGCTCACGCCTGCAATCCCAGCACTTTGAGAGGCTGAGGTGGGTGGGTCATGAGGTCAAGAGTTCAAGACCAGCCTGGCCAACATGGTGAAACCCCATCTCTAATAAAAATACAAAAATTAGCCAGGCGTGGTGGCGGGTGCCTGTAATCCCAGCTACTTGGGAGGCTGAGGCAGGAGAATCAATCCCAGGAGGCAGAAGTTTGCAGTGAGCCAAGATCATGCCACTGCACTCCAGCCTGGGCAAAAGAGCAAGACTCCGTCAAAAAAAATAAAAATAAAATAAGAAAGAACAAGGCATTCTACTGGAGAGAAAAGTATGAGGTGAGGTTGGAAAGGGAACAGCATTTTTGGAACACCACATGGTTGAATGTGGTTCAATAGCCAATGAAGAGGAACAGCAGAAATAGTGTTGGAAACTTGGTTGGATGTCAGTTTGTGGTGCGTTGAATGCCAAGTTTAGGACTTTAGATTTCATTCTGTAGGTATCCAGGAGTTATAGTAAAAAGTTTCAAGTAGAAAGGCTGTATTACAGGAAGATTAACCTGACAGGTAGCACTGCAATGATGTTGAGGTCCTGCCGATCTAGGAATTTAGGAAACTCCTGCCACTCAAAGTAGAAAAAACCTAAACTGTTTACAATGCACTTTCTCATATATTATCTTGGACTGACCTTCACAATTAGAACTAAGAGCTATGCCACTTCTCCAGCCATATGCAGGACAAAGAACCAAAGCTAACTATCTCATGTCACAGGAGCCAGAAGAAAACCAAGGTGGGGCATCACAGCCTCTGTTCAGGAAGTCCACACCTGGATTGGCAATACTACTGCTGTGGTCTCTGTAGTAATCTTGAATCTTAAAGCAAATGCAAGGTTTCCCAGGTTGGCCTGGACTCCTGATCATAGGCCAGACTTCCTGATACTAATTTTTTTAACTTAAAAACATTTTTGACATATAATAAATACATAAAAGTGCATAAAACATAAATGTACAGTATAATAGCTGAACACATAACATATCATCTAAAACAGAACCCCTTTGAAAATGAAAAAAGGCTACTATTAATATTTAACCTGGCTGGGCATGGTGGCTCACGCCTGTAATCCCAGCACTTTGGGAGGCCAAGGCAGGTGGATTACCTGAGGTCAGGAGTTCGAGACCAGTCTGGCCAATATGGCGAAACCATGTCTCTACTAAAAATATAAAAATTAGTTGGGTGTGGTGGTGGGCGCCTGTAATCTCAGCTACTTGGGAGGCAGAGGCAGGAGAATAGCTGGAATCCGGGAGGCAGAGGTTGCAGTGAGCTGAGATCACGCCGCTGCAGTCCAGCCTCAGTGACAGAGCAAGACTCCGTGTCAAAAAAAAAAAAAAATTTAACCTGGTTTGAGGCTTAAACTGGGACAGCCCCAGGCAGACTATGTTCACTTGATAATTATCATGGTAAAGGTGACCACCCCCTAGTCAAGAAAACCCCTATATATCCCTTCTAGACCACTAGACTACACACCTCTCCCTCTAATCCAGATGTATCTACTATCCTTACTTTTTTTTTTTTTTTTTTTTTGAGACAGATTCCTGCTCTGTTGCCTAGGCTGGAGGGCAGTGGTGCAATCTTGACTCACTGCAACCTCCACCTCCCGGGTTCAAGCAATTCTCCCACCTCAGCCTCCTGAGTAACTGGAATTACAGGTGCACACCACCACGCCCAGCTAATTTTTGTATTTTTAGTAGAGATGGGGTTTCGCCATGTTAGACAGGCTAGTCTCAAACTCCTAATCTCAAGTGATCTGCCTGCCTCAGTCTCCCAAAGTTCTGGGATTACAGGTGTGAGCCACCACACCCCTGGCCACTATCCTTACTTTTATAGTAATCATTTCCCTTTTTAGTTGCTATATTCTTAAATTTGGGAAAATTCCCTAAAGGAAAACAAGGACAAACCATTTAATACAATGGTATAAGAGTCAGAACAAGTTCTGGCCTTTGTTCTAACATTTATTAGAATGTGATCCCGGCCAGGCACGGTGGCTCATGCCTGTAATCCCCACACTTTGGGAGGCCGAGGCAGGTGGATCGCTTGAGCCCAAGAGTTCTAGACCAGCCTGCGCACCACAGGAAGACCCTATCTCCACAAAAAATACAAAAATTAGCTCTGTGATGGTGGCGCATGCTTGTAGTCCCTGCTACTCGGAAGGCTGAGATGGGAGGATCACTTGAGCCCAAGAGGCAGAGGTTGCAGTAAGCCCAGATCGCCCCACTGCACTCCAGCCTCGGTGACAGAACAAGACCCTGTCTCAAAAACAAACAAAAAAAGTGATCCCATCATTTAAACCATTTGAATATACTCAGCCTCAGTTTTCTGTAAAATTAGAAAAATCAGCATTGTGAGGGAGGCATAAGGGAGTTTAGTAAAGAAACAACGTGGGGTATTTGTCTGGTTTTTATCTCACACAAACCAATGAATCTTCCTCATAACCATGAGAAATCACCATCTTTAAAGGGTTGCACTGGCTTCATGGGCTCCTGCTACATTATTTAAAAGCAAAAATAAAAATACCTCCTTCATAGCATTTCCTTAGTTAGATCCAGTTGAAAGGAATAATAAGGTTAATTTTAAAAAGAAAATAAGGACAGTTAATAAAAGATTAACTACAAAGCCTAGAAGCCACACGAATCATTCTGCACTTGCTGTGCAAACCTCTCCTCCCTGGCAACTTGACATTTGCTTTCCAGCGTAGGCTTATTTAATATTCACAAAGAAAGTTATGTGATGGGAGCTTGTTAACTCTGAGAACAGAGAGTAAACTGTCCAGGCCACTTCACCTGACACAATTAGGCTCTGAGTTGTAGGTCACATTACCATAAGCAGCTCTAGCACTCTCTGGTGTCCTCCTGCGAGCGTCCCTGCAAAGCTCCATGTGCCCTTCTTGGCTACTGCTTGTAATGAATTAAATATATGTTAGTGTCATAGATTAGGTCACTGACTTCCATCATCTGAGGTATGATAGAAAAAAACCTCACTTGTAACATTGATGAAACTGTACTAATTCTAATACTTAAAAAAGGGTCACAAACTCAAAGGCCTACAGGGGTGAGTGAAGTTGACTTGAGGTGGGGATGGTGGCACACTGTCTAAAGTGACATGCCCTGTCTGAAGGGGAACCCATTACTCAGCCATGGCCATCACAACTATGCAGAAATGTAGGGCTGCTGTTGCCAGCATTTTCAATTTTTCAAGAAGCCCCAAATTCATTCATATATATATATATATATATATATATTTTTTTTTTTTTTTTTTTTTTTTTTTTTTTGAGACGGAGTCTTGCTCTGTCACCCAGGCTGGAGTGCAGTGGTGTGATCTCAGGTCACTGCAACCTCTGCCTCCTGGGTTCAAGCGATTCTCCTGCCTCAGCCTCCCGAGTAGCTGAGACTCCAGGCATGCACCACCACGCCTGGCTAATTTTTGTATCTTTAGTAGAGACGGGTTTCACCATGTTGGCCAGGCTAGTTTCGAACTCCTGATCCGCCCACCTCGGCTTCCCAAAGTGTTGGGATTACAGGCATGAGCCACTGCGCCCAGCCCAAATTCATATTTTATACAGAATTTTCTGATTTATAAATGTGGGCAACTGATTGTAAAAAATTGGAAAAAACACTGTGACCTCCACAGAATCTGGACCCATAAATCTGTTTTTACATATGGAAGAGAACTTGAGAGTCTTCCAAGTTCAATGCCTTCACTTGACAGATGGAGAAAGTGAATCCCAAAGTGGACAAATGATGTTCCTATGGCCAAATAACTAGTTCAGCGGCAGAGCCGGATCTAAAAGAATACTTGCTTCCTGTCTCCTGCATCACTTTTCACTCCACCAATGAGAAAAAGGTTAGTGGCTTTAGGCCTAGTTTAAAAGTTAGAGATGAGCTCACTGGCATGTGCCTGCAGTCCCAGCTACCTGGGAGGCTGAGATGGGAGGATCACTTGAGCCCAGAAGTTCAAGTCTGGCCCAGACAAGATAGCAAGACCTCATTTCTAAAAAAAAAAAAAGTTATCAGACCCAAGTCTGGATTACAGTGTGCCTAGAACATCATTGACTGGCCAGTCTACATTTTTACTCTCTCTGGCTTATGAGGCATCATGCTACTATATGAGGCAATGAAGTAGTATTAAGCCAGAATATTTTGGTTCTAAATTGATCTCCCCCCTCACCTGGAGCATTGCACTGCAGCATGGCCCTGCCACATGGAAGGTGGGGCCACCATGTTCCCACTGCGGAAAGGAATTGTTACAATTGTGAGTCCAACACAACCAAGGCTCACTCAGCAGGAGGAAATTAAGTACAAAACTTACATTCGCATAACACTCCTATTAACCTCAGTGGGAGTTGTGCTTTCAGGAATTGCAGGGTCAGCAGTTGAACAGAAACTGGAATGAAGCAGTAAAGCTCATCATAGGTTGTTGTTAGGATTGTATAATTTCAGCTTCATATTTGCAAAAGAATTTTTTTTTTTTTTTGGGAGACAAGGTCTTGCTCTGTCACCCAGGTTGGAGTGCAGTAGCATGATCATAGCTTACTGTAACCTCAAAAAGAGTTCATTTTTACTCTAGTGAGATCTCCCTCTACTGACTCTCAGGGCAGGGCCTACAGAAGAACCTTTGTTTGGACCCAAATTGTGGTGTGTGGTTGAAGAAAATTGGCAAATCACAGAAGTCAGGACAGGTACCAACAAAGTTTAGAAAATACACTCAGCAGTTTTTGTCCTCTTGGCCCATGGGGTTCATAATATTCCATTTTAGCAACCAGTGCCTAGGACAGTGCCTGGTACACAGGAGATAATACTATTTAGTGAATGAATGAAAGAAAGGATAGACAGTTCCCATACCTTGCCAGACTCATTTAATACAATTCCCATCTTAACATGGCAGAATGAGTGACTACCTCAGCTGCTTCCCTGGAGCCATCCAAGTAAAGGCCAAGAATAAATAGGAGGAGCAGGCTCTGGGGCTGTCTTGGCACAAAGCCATGCCCTTTTCAGCTATGCATGGCTGGATGTGGGGGTGGGGGCCTGTTGAGGCTACTGCTGGGCCTCCCTGAGTTGGTAAGCTGAAAAGTTTCTGCAGCCTTCCATGATTCTTTTTTTTTTTTTTTAATTTTTTTTTTTTAGGCTGGGCACAGTGGCTCACACCTGTAATCCCAGAACTTTGGGAGGCCAAGGCAGGTGGATCATGAGGTCAGGAGTTTGAGACCACCCTGGCTAACATGGTGAAACCTCGTCTCTACTAAAAATACAAAAATTAGCCAGGTGTGGTGGTGTGTGCCTGTAATCTCAGCTACTCGGGAGGCTGAGGCAGGAGAATCACTTGAACCTGGGAGGCGGAGGTTGCAGTGAGCCAAGATCATGCCACTGCACTCCAGCCTGAGCGACAGAGCAAGACTCCGTCTTGAAAAAAAATAAAAATAAAAAAATATAAAATTTTTATTTTTTAGAGATGGGGTCTTGCTAAGTTGCCCAGCCCAATCCCATTACTCAACATCTTTTTGGGGAACTGAGAGTTCAGAAGGACAAGTAAAAAGCTAATACCCTCTCCTTGTAAATGCCAAAAAGCCCAATAAACCAAATAAACAAAACACCCCCCCCCTTTTTTTTTTCTGAGACAGAGTCTCGCTCTGCCACCCAAGTTGGAGTGCAGTGGTGTGATCTCGGCTCACTGCAACCTCCACTTCCCAGGCTCACTGCAACCTCCACTTCCCAGGCTCAGCCGAGTCTTGTGCCTCAGCCACCTGAGTAGCTGAGATTATAGGCCTTGGCCACCATGCCTGTCTAATTTTTGTATTTTTAGTAGAGACAGAGTTTTGCCATGTTGGCCAGGCTGGTCTTGAACTCCTGGCCTCAAGTGATCCACTCGCCTCAGCCTCCCAAAGTACTGGGATTACAGGCATGAGCCACCACACCCAGCCAACAGAACACCCTTCAATCAATTCCCCCCAAGCAGGGCCATCTTGTGCTCATGAAGAGCAAAGTATGCTTATTCCAGCTGTACCATTGTAGCTAATGCTGTAATGTACCATTTTCACATTAAAGTAGGTTACGACTAGATAGATACGGCACCCTAGAACCAAGCAAGCATGTTTAAAATTAAGGTCATGGAGGTGAATAGGGCTTAAAAAAATACTACCTAGTTCTTTCCTCTGTCTGTAATAGTAAGTTAGGCTCTATAGCTGAACCTACTCAAAAATTTGAGAATTTCTCCATATTAAACAGCTTTCTTAAAACAGAAGTCTATCCTACGGAATCCATTCCAATGTTTTACATGCCTTAAAATTCTCAAACCCCTAGTCCGAAATCCCCTGGACCATGCCATGCCCCTGGTTGTTTTTGTACTGAGCCCAGGGCAACTGGTTGACATCTTATCAAAACCCTTGATTGGTTGAAGGCTATTTATTTATTTATTTGTATTTATTGTTTTTGAGACGGAGTCTCGCCCTATTACCCAGCCTGGAGTGCAGTGGCGCAATCTCGGGTCACTGGAACCTCCATCCCCTGGGTTCAAGCAATTCTCGTGCCTCAGCCTCGAGTAGCTGGGATTGCAGGCGTGCACCACCACACCCAGCTAATTTTTTGAATTTTTAGTAGCGATAGGGTTTCACCATGTTGTCCAGGCTGGTCTCGAACTCCTGAACTCAAGCAATACACCCACCTCGGCCACCCAAAGTGCTGGGATTACAGGTGTGAGCCACCGCGCCCAGCCTGAAGGCTGTTATTTAAAAACTGAATTATCCAGCTCCTGATGATAATGACCATCACTTATACCTTTCTGTGTCCTCCAATAAAGTCTTCAAGTACAGCTGGAATTCAAATTATTTACCATCCTTGAACCTTTCTTTAATGTTCTTAATATTCTTCTTTAACTATGGAAAAACTGAATCTATCATTTTGCTAAAAGTTTAACCAGGACACCTTATAAAGAAAAAGAAAACCTACCATTTTTACATCTCTTTCCTCCCTCCCCTCCCTTCCTCTCTCCTTCCCTTCCTCTCTCTCTCTCTTTCTTTCTTTGACAGGGTCTCACTCTGTCACTCAGGCTGGAGTGCAGTGGTGCGATCTTGGCTCACTACAACCTCCACCTCCCAGATTCAAGCAATTCTTGTGCCTCAACCTCTCGAGTAGCTGGGATTACATGCACATGCCACCACACCCGGCTGAGTTTTGAATTTTTAGTAGAGATGGGGGTCTCACCATGTTGGTCAGGCTGGTCTCGAACTCCTGACCTCAAGTGATCCACCCACCTTGACCTCCCAAGGTGCTGGGATTACAGGCGTGAGCCATCGCACCCAGCCTATTTATTTATTGTTTTTTAGAGACAGGGTCTTGCTCTGTCACCCAGCTGGAGTGCAGTGGTGCAATCATAGCTCACTGCAGCCTGGAACTCCTGGGCTCAAGCGATCCTCTTGCCTCAGCCTCTCCAGTAGCTGGGACTACAGGTACATACCACCATGCCTGGTCATTTTTACATCTTTTAGCTCTCTTTTTAAAAAACGATCGAACTCTATTCCTGACCCAGTTAGGATAATTTACAATAAATAATCACTATGTCATCAGTCATTAGGGTGAGATACTTATGATTCATTTGTTTTCTTGAGATACTTGATTCAAAGATGTTTATGATTAATTTGTTTTCTTTATTGCAAAAAAAAAGAAAAAAGAAAAAAACATTTGTTCAAAAGCTACCTCAAAAGTCCTCCTACCAAACATGATTTGGCAATCTTTTTGCATGATTAGTATGATGGCAGTAGGAGCTTTGTTTAATAAGCAAACATGATGAAAATTCCAAAAGGTGCTATGCAAAAGATCAGAAGGAAGATGTTTTTCCTGAGACCCTCTGCCAACTGTTACTTCTTCTGATGCCTTTCCTGCTTCTTGAACAAGGCTTAAGACAGCTTCTCTGTTCCATTTCTGACCACTATGTGGCACCAGAACTTTGAAGTAGGAAATAGAAAAAAAATCTGCTTAACTAGTGATTTGCTGTGAATCTTTAATCAATGCCTCTTAAAAATAATTCATTTATGGCCGGGCGCAGTGGCTCATGCTTGTAATCCCAGCACTTTGGGAGGCCGAGGCGGGCGGATCACGAGGTCAGGAGATCAAGACCATCCTGGCTAACATGGTGAAACCCCGTCTCTACTAAAAATACAAAAAATTAGCTGGGCATGGTGGTAGGTGCCTGTAGTCCCAGCTACTTGGGAGTCTGAGGCAGGAGAATGGCGTGAACCCAGGAGGTGGAGCTTGCAGTGAGTTGAGATGGGGCCACTGCACTTCAGCCTGGGCAACAGACCGAGACTCCATCTCAAAAAAATAAATAAATAAATAAAAATAATTCATTTATTTTTTTCAGTGATTTGGAATATGGTGGCTCTCTGCCATTTGTTGTTTTCTTTTTCTTTCTTTCTTTTTTTTTTTTTTTTTTTGCTTTTGAGACAGAGTCTTGCTCTGTTGCCCAGGCTGGAGTACAGTGGCGTGATGCTTACTCACTGCAGCCTCTACTTCCTGGGTTCAAGCAATTCTCCTGCCTCAGCCTCCCGAGTAGCTGAGACTATAGGTGTGCACCACCATGCCCAGCTAATTTTTTTTGTATTTTTGGTAGAGACAGGATTTCACCATGTTGGCCAGGCTGGTATCAAACTCCTGACCTCAGGTGATCTGCCTGCCTCGGCCTCCCAAAGTGCTGGGATTATAGGCATGAGCCACTGTGCCCGGCCCCATTTGTTGTTTCTTATGGTCTGTGCTATGGGGAAAAGCAGGTTAAAAAACATGCAGATCACTCTTGCCCACTACTGTGGTCCCCTGGTTGGCTATAGATTTAGCAGCTTTTCTTTGTGCCACAGCAGCCTCCAGCAGCATCAGGGACACATCTGGACTTCATACTGTCAGACTCTTCTGCAAGCTTAAATGGATCTGTGATTATATCCTGTCAAAAGGCAAACCAAAATGAAAGGACAAGTTAAAGGTGTTTTGATGTACCCAAACACTAATATTTCTGTTTGATTTAGGTTGACTTACACAGAACAGAGATAAAATTTTACAATTCCATGAGATCCTGGGAGTAACATCAGTCATTCTGCCATAAAGGCACTTGCTTCCTGAAGCTTCTAATTACAACTTTCAAGGTAAACTTCACTTAAAGCTTCTTAAAGATGGTCCCTCTTGGGCAGAGCATTGATTTTTGCTCAGTTGATTTTGTTTTGTGGGGTTGTCATTTGCACGTGCCTTTTAAACCTCTTTGGAACTGAGATACGGAAATGCTAAAACGACTTCTCTTCCCTTATTCTAATCTCCAGAAACATTTATACCAAACAGGAAAGTGAGTCCCAGATGTAGGGCTGTCACTAGCAATTGCTGATGCTCAGATGAAATTGCCAACAATGGCCAGACAGATCTCAGAGTAGAGTAACATAAGACTGCTGTATTTATTTAAAAGACAAGACTGCTGTATTTATTTCCCCTCCTTTCACCTCCAAATGAGATACCTCTAACAATAGTACCAGTGGGGCCAGAGAAAAGCCAAGTACAAAGATAGGAAATCAAGAGCACAGGGTCTGGGCACGGTGGCTCACGCCTGTAATCCCAGCACTTTGAGAGGCCGAGGCCAATGGATCACCTGAGGCCAGGAGTTTGAGACAAGCCTGGGCAATATGGCAAAATCCCATCTCTACTAAAAATACAAAAAATTAGCTGGGTGTGGTGGCACGTCTGTAGTCTCAGCTACTCGGGAGGCTGAGGCAAGAGAATCACTTGAACCTAGGAGGTGGAGGTTGCAGTGAGCTGAGATCACACCACTGCACTCCAACCTGGGTGACAGAGCGAGACTCCATCTCAAAAAAAAAAAAAAAAGCATGAACATGCCACTTTAAATAATGGTAATGAATTCATTATAACATAAATTTACAGTCCTACTACTTATTCTGGTCACTGCAAATAGAGGGGTGTACAAGGCAGGCACAGACTCTACATTCATGAAACTGATAGACTGGTGGACCCTTTACTAAAGTGACTGACTTCCTGCTGGCCTTGGTCTCTCTGTCCCTCAGTGTCTACCTTTCTGAAATGAAGAGGTCTGCCTGCATCTGGTAAGATGAGCATCTGGCAGAGGATCTCCAAGCCTGGAAGAAGGCCAGCTCTGCTGGTTGCTACTGCTAGGACTTCACATCAATTGCATTTCCATCTCTCAGTATACTGGAACTCCTGCTTGAAAGGGTTTGCCCTGGCCTGGTGCGGTGGCTCATGTACTCTGGGAGTAATCCCAGCACTCTGGGAGGCCAAGGCAGTGGATCACCTGAGGTCAGGAGTTCGAGACCAGCCTGGCCAACATGATGAAACCCCGTCTCTACTGAAAATATAAAAATTAGTTGGGCGTGGTGGCTACTATGAGGCTGAGGTGGGAGAATCCCTTGAACCCTCTTCTTTCCACTCAATGATCTATCTACCAACAGGAGATGGTGATATCAATATCACTTCTAAATGCATGCTTCTAGTTCAAAAAGATCTCAAGACTTGAAGGAAATGAAAGGTGGGGTACCCAGATATAAGCAGTCCTTTCCTGCACCAACATCCTGTGATTCTATGAGAAGTACAACTATGGAGAGATGGAGCAGCACACTGGTTTAGAGTGCCAGCTCCAGAATCAGATGTGGGTGCAAATTCACCACTTTCTAGCTGTATGACTTTGGATTTGTAAATGAATCTTTCAGAGCCTCAGTCTCTCCATCTGTCAAATGAAGATAATAGGGGTGATTGTGAGGACTAAATGACAGGGTGCCTTAAACATATTAACTATTCAATAAAAGTTAATTCCTCTATATTACTGCTATGGTTGTTAATGCTATTACTACCATTACTATTAAGACAGTCCATAGCCCTAATCCTGTTTGCATCATTTCAGATGCTGCAGTGTTTTGTTGTTTTTTTGTTTTTGAGAGGGAGTCTCCCTTTGTCGCCGAGGCTGGAGTGCAGTGGCACGATCTTGGCTCACTGCAACCTCTGCCTCCCAGGTGATCCTCCTGCCTCAGTCTTCCAAAAAGCTGGGATTACAGGCACCCGCCACCACACCCAGCTAATTTTTGTATTTTTAGTAGAGAGGGGGTTTCACCATGTTAGACAGGCTGCTGTTGAACTCCTGACCTCAAGTGATCCACCCGCCTCAGCCTCCCAAAATGCTGGGATTACAGGTGTGAGCCACCACGCCCAGCCAGATGCTGCAGTGTTTTAATAGTACAATTGTTTTAATGGCAAAATACATTTTGCATATCAGGATTAAAAAGAAGATGAAGAAAAAGCAGAAGGACTCTCAAGATGTTAAGTATATGCAATACCCTGCATGCCAGCTGCGTGTACTGTCTGTACTCCAGCGTTTATCATAAAGGTCTTCCGTTAAGAAAAAAAAAAAAAAGATAAGAATGTCCTTCCCTAAGAGCACAAGGTTATATTCCTAGGTCACACAACTGTTTCATTTATTAAAATCTTCCTTCAGTGTCACTTATTCCCATTTCAAAAACTTGAAACTGACCTAAAGACATTGGCACATCTGCAGGCTGAAATAAAGCAGAAAGGAGACCTTATGTTGGGATAAACCAGTTCAAATATGTGGAATTTTACAATTTATATCTAAGGTCAAGAACCTCCTGTACATGTGTTGCACGCACACTGGGAGGGAGAACAAGGACAGCTACGCAGAAAGAAAATGGTCATCTGCAGAAGCAAACTCATTTAACTCCTTTTTTAAAAAAAATAGCCAGAGTGGCTGGGCACAGTGGCTCACACCTGTCATCCCAGCACTTTGGGAGGCCGAGGCGGGCGGATTGCCTGAGCTCAGGAGTTCACCACCAGCCTGGGCAACCCGGTGAAACCCCGTCTCTATTAAAATACAAAAAATGAGCCGGGCGTGGTGGCGTGTGCCTGTAGTCCCAGCTACTCGGGAAGCTGAGGCAGGAGAATTGTTTGAACCCAGGAGGCGGAGGAGTAAGCCAAGATCGTGCCACTGCACTCCAGCCTGGGTGACAGAGCGAGACTCTGTCTCAAAGGAAAAAAAAAAAGCCAGAGTACACTGAAAATACTGTAGCTCGAGGAAAGACCCTCTTTACTTGTAACCATTATCTTCTGATAGCATTTTTTTTTTTTCTTGAGACGGAGCCTCACTCTGTCGCCCAGGCTGGAGTGCAGTGGCATGATCTCTGCTCACTGCAAGCTCCGCCTCCCGGGTTCACGCCATTCTCCTGCCTCAGCCTCCCGAGTAGCTGGGACTACAGGCACCCGCCACCACGCCCGGCTAATTTTTTGTATTTTTAGTAGAGACGGGGTTTCACCGTGTTAGCCAGGATGGTCTCGATCTCCTGACCTCGTGATCCACCCGCCTCGGCCTCCCCAAAGTGCTGGGATTACAGGCGTGAGCCACCACGCCTTCTGATAGCTTTTATAATCAGTATTTAGGAAACCAGGTTTTAGAAGAATTAGAATGATAAAAGCCTTTTAAAATAAATATTGATTCTCACCAGCAGCTTTCCTTATCAATGAACTCTCAGGAGTTTCAAAATATCAGTGACATATTTTTGAAATGTTTAATGGATTGAATACTCAAAAGCCAAATCTGTCTACTTTCCAAAGTATCACCTTCTTCGAACAACAGAAGAGTCAGAATAGCAGAGTGCTGAAGAATTTAATAAAGCAAAGAAAGTAAATCACTCTTTTTTTTTTTTTTTGAGATGGAGTCTCACTCTGTCACCCCAGCTGGAGTGCAGTGGCGCGATCTCGGCTCACTGCAACCTCCGCCCCTCCAGGTTTAAGCAATTCTCTGCCTCAGCCTCTGGAGTAGCTGGGATTACAGGCGCATGCCACCACGCCCGGCTAATTTTTTTTGTATTTTTAGTAGAGACGGGGTTTCACCATCTTGGCCAGGCTGGTCTTGAACTCCTGACCTCGTGATCCACCCGCCTCGGCTCCCAAAGTGCTGGGATTACAGGCGTAAGCCACCGTGCCCGGCCTAGTAAATCACTCTTTAGCTCTACAGGTGGCTTGTATACTGAGCTTGGGTTAGATTCATGCTGGTAATACTGGCTCCAGGTTTTGGGGTCCAGGATTCTTATATTTTAGGTTCGATTAACCTTCCCCAACTACAAATGTACCATTTTTGAAAGTGATTTCTCAAAAAGCTTTGTGCTTTTTTTTTTTTTTTTTTGAGGCAGGGTCTTGCTCTGTCGCCCAGGCTGGGGTACAGTGTTGTGATCACGGCTCACTACAGCCTCCACATCCCGGGCTCAAAACGATCCTCCTGCCTCAGCCCCCCAAGTAACTGGGATTATAGGCATTTGCCACCGTGCCCAGCTAATTTTTGTATTTTTAGTACAGACACGGTTTCAGCATGTTGGCCAGGCTGGTCTTGACCTCCTGACCTCAAGTGGTCTGCCAGCCTCAGCCTCCCAAAGTGCTGGGATTGGCCGGGCACGGTGGCTCATGCCTGTAATCCCAGCACTTTGGGAGGCCAAGGCAGGTGGATTACCTGAGGTCAGGAGTTTGAGACCAGCTTGACCAACATGGTAAAACCCCGTCTCTACTAAAAATACAAAAATTAGCCGGCTGTGATGGTGCGCACCTGTAATCCCAGCTACTTGGGAAGCTGAGGCAGGAGAACCGCTTGAACCCAGGAGGCGGAGGTTGCGGTGAGCCAAGACCGCACCATTGCACTCTAGCCTGGGCAACAAGAGCGAAGCTCTGTCTCAAAAAAAAAAAAAAGCTGGTATTATTGGGGTTTTTTGTTTATTTGTTTTTGTTTTTTTGAGATGGAGTTGTGCTCTTGTTGCCCAGGCTGGGCAACCTAGGTGGGTGGATCACCTGGTGGCGTAAGCCACCACACCCGGCAAAGCTAGTATTATTGTAACAATGGTTTGTAACTCTACTTTTTGTTTTCCACATGATTTAAGAGACCAATGCATTTAAAATAATTATTAGTTTACGTTTTGGGGGCACAAAATGAATAAAGACATAATTTTGTGATATCAAGAACTAGAAAGACCCGGGCGTGGTAGTTCACACCTGTAATCCCAGCACTTTGGGAGGCCGAGGCTGGTGGATCATCTGATGTCAGGAGTTCGAGACCAGGCTGGCCAACATGATGAGACCCCGCCTCTACTAAAAATACAAAAAATTAGCCAGGCATGGTGGCTGGCGCACCTGTAATCCCAGCTACTTGTGAGGCTGGGGCAGGAGAATCACTTGAACCCAGGAGGCAGAGGCTGCAGTGAGCCAAGATCGTGCCACTGCACTCCAGCCTGGGTGATAGAGTGAAACTCTGTCAATGGAAAAAAAAAAAAAAGAACTAAAATAGTTGAGAACAAGCTTTAAAGGAGCAGAATTTTAGTATGTTATTGAAGTTAAGCTGTATAAATTCAAATTAGGGTGTCATAACTGTAGGATGTTAAACATTGTCAACAAAAAGGGTCAAACTCTAAAATACTTAAAAAGATTTATTCTGAGCCAAATAAGTGACCAATGGCCTGTGACACAGCCCTCAGGAGATCTGCAAACATGTGCCCAAAGTGGTCACCCTATAACTTGGTTTTATACATTTTAGAGAGACATAAGACATCAATCAATACATATAATATGTACATTGGTTCAGACCAGAAACGTGGGACAACTGGAAGTGGGGATTTCCAGGTCACAGGCAGATTCAAAGATTTTGTGATTGGCAATTGGTTGAGTTATAATCCAAAGACCTGGGATCAATAGAAGGGAGTGTCTAGGTTATGATAAGAGATTGTGGAGACCAAGGTTTTATCATGCAGATGAAGCCTCTAGGCAGCAGGCTACAGAGAGAATAGATTGTAAATGTTTCTTACCAGATTTAAAGAGTCTGTTCTATCAGTCTTAAGATCTGTTTTAATGGTAATGCTGGTCAGCAGTGTCTGAATTCCAAAAGGGAGGAGGGAATAATGAGGCATGTCCAAACTTCTCCTTCCCTTCGTGACCTGAACTAGTTTTTTAGGATAACTTTGCAATGCCTTTGCCCGACAGGAGGGGTCCGTTCAGATGGTTGAGGGTTTATAATTTTATTTTATTTTTTTATTTTTTTATTTTTTTTTATTTTTTGAGATGGAGTCTCGCTCTGTCGCCCAGGTTAGAGTGCAGTGGCATGATCTCGGCTCACTGCAACCTCCACCTCCCAGGTTCAAGGAATTCTCCTGCCTCAGCCTCCCAAGTAGCTGGGACTACAGGTGCCTGCCCCCACGCCTGGCTGATTTTTTATTTTTAGTAGAGACGGGGTTTCACTATGTTGGCCAGGCTGGTCTCGAACTCCTGACCTTGTGATCCACCCGCCTCGGCCTCCCAAAGTGCTGGGATTACAGGTGTGAGCCACCGCGCCCGGCCTAGAATTTTATTTTTGATTTACTTTCTCCGCATTCTGGCCTAGATTTGTCAGAGGCAACATCAATGGTCACCAAACTTTTATTTTATCTCACTGTGTTGCTGGGGTGGCACAGCTGCCTTCCCTGGGTCCATCTTGTGCCTTGGTGGGACCCCTATGGTCAAGGGGCTTAGAGCCAAAAGACACATAGCGAATTTGAAAGTTCTAGGCCAGACCAGGCATGGTGGTTCACCCCTGTAATCTCAGCACTTTGGGAGGCCGAGACAGGTTGGTCACCTAAGATCAGCAGTTTGAGACCAGCCTGACCAACATGGTGAAACCCTGTCTCTACTAAAAATACGAATTAGGGCTGGGCACAGTGGCTCATGCCTATAATCCCAGCACTTTGGGAGGCCAAGGTGGGTGGATCATGAGGTAAGGAGTTCGAGACCAGCCTGGCCAATATGATGAAACCCCATCTCTACTAAAAAAATAAAATAAAAATTAGCCAGGCATGGTGGCACGCACCTGTAGTCCCATCTACTCTGGAGGCTGAGGCAGAAGAATCGCTTGAACTTGGGAGGCAGAGGTTGCAGTGAGCCGAGGTCGCACCACTGCACTCCAGCCTGGGCAACAGAGCAAGACTCCATCTCGGAAAAAAAAAAAAAAAAGAAAAAAAAATTAGCCAGGCATGGTGGCACATGCCTGTAATTACAGCTACTCAGGAGGCTGAGGCAGGAGAATCACTTGAACCTGTGAGGCGGAGGTTGCAGTGAGATGAGATCACGCCACTGCACCCCAGCCTGGGTGACAGAGGAAGACTCCGTCCCCCTCCCCCACCAAAAAAAAGAAAGTTCTAGGCCAGATGGGAATGGATGTGGATAGGCATTAATAAACCCTTAAAATTTCTTAATATAAAAGCCAACAAACAAAAAGCCAAAGGTGAGGTTAAAAAATTGACTTATCTTTAACTTCTATGCATTGTGCTACTGTAATCTTGGTTTTAGTTACAGACTTACAGCAATTAGCTATACAAAACATAAGCACTGTTAAAACCTTTTAAGCTAAGGAATTTAGAGACTTCCGTTGTGCTACAGTTTTTTTTTTTGTGGTCTTTCAGTAATTTGTTCTAAAATTATTTATTTATTTATTTATTTATTTATTTATTTATTTATTTATTTTGAGACAGAGTCTCACTCTGTTGCCAGGCTGGAGTGCAGTGGCGCCATCTCAATCTCGTCTCATTGCAACCTCCGCCTCCCGGGCTCAAGCAATTCTCCTGCCTCAGCCTCCCAAGTAGCTGGGACTACAGGCGCACGCCACCATGCCCATCTAATTTATTTTTTGTATTTTAGTAGAGATGGGGTGTCACCATGTTGCCCAGGCTGGTCTTGAACTCCTGAGCTCAGGCAATCTGCCCACCTTGGCCTCCCAAAGTGCTAGGATTACAGGCTTGAGCCACTGTGCCTGGCCTGTTCTAAAATTTTAAAAAATATATATGTTATCTGCATAAATCTCATAACTCAGAGTATTAAACCTAGGAGGCTTTGACATGAGGTACCTTTATATCCTCTCAGTAATAATTTTCTTTTCATTCTACGAGAAGCAGGAAATTCTTTATGATTGGGATGGATGAAAAGGTGCCACACACATAATAACCCAGGAGGCAGAGTCCCTTATTTTACCAGCTGTTTATGCATCTGTGTGCCCATTTTTGATTTGGAGAGTCTGAAATAATTCTCTCAAAACTGGCCCTTACAGTCTCACACACCTACCTTTTGTGTGATAGGTCCCTGGGCCTAGAGAAGAGTGCTTATATAATTTTAGCAGCACGGAATTTGCAGTGAAAAGCAGATTAGGACCAGTGGGATTCCAAACGGGGGATTCTCTAACCTTAGAATATCATGATTCTGGTTTCTTTGGAAGTAAAACAAGGAGCTATAAATAACATTAATAATATGACAGTCAAAAGAGTATTCGTGTGTCAGAACAGAATAAGGAACCTATTCCACTTAGGGCACAAACTAAAAACATGAAGAAAAATTATAACCTGGTTTATCTTTAGAGGGTTATTGTAGCCAAGAAATAATTAATGATTCAATATGCACTCAAAAACAAAAGTCCAGGCTGGAAATCTAGTAACAAGTGTTATAGTTTTCCTTTGAAACCATTTCTCTCTCTAGCCTTCTTTCTTTTTTTTTTTTTTTTTTTTTTTTTTGAGACAGAGTCTCACTCTGTTGCCCAGGCTGGAGTGCAGTGGTGCAGTCTTGGCTCATTGCCCTCCACCTCCCTGGGCTCAAGCAATCCTCCCATCTCAGCCTCTTGAGTAACTGGAACTACCAGCATGCACCACCATACCCAGATAATTTTTTTGTATTTTTGGTAGAGACAGGGTTTCAACATGTTACCCAGGCTGGTGTCAAACTCCTGGCCTCAAGTGATCTGCCTGTCTCAGCCTCCCAAAGTGCTGGGATTATGAGTGTGAACTTCTGCACCCAGCTCCTCCTTTTATACTAAAGACAAATTATAGTAAGGCCAATTTATGTGCAAAATAAATTTTAGGCTTATTAAACTTTGCCTGATCATTTGCATGAAGTCCAGCAAGAGTTTGGCCAGATAGGCTCTTTTCAAGTTGGCTTTGCTGGAACTTTACCTACAAATGTTATTCCAGTCAAAGCTTTGGTAAAATAACCAAGTGTCTCCAATTGTCCTGTTTTGAGAGAAAAGACTCTTACTAAACTTATGCAAATAACTATTTTATTATAAAATCAGAATACTCACGAAAGGTCTCTGAATTTTGGAGAACTTGTTAAAGCAGGTATAATAGCTAGTCAGGCGTGAGCAGGGCAGGAGAGGGCTCCCCGCGCCGACTCCACCAGGAATGTCAGGCGATCATTAGGTGATGATCAGGTGGTTGTTAACTGTCTCTCGAAAATCATAATTAGTCACAGACAGTACCAGGGAAAGGAAGTCTCCCAATAAACAGAAACACCTGAAACTGGTGATCAGCAGCTTCCCGATAAGATCTCGGGAGTTGGGCAAGTGGGCTCAAGCATGCACATTAAGAGGCAAAATGGTGGCGTTTAACTGGTATATAACCGTCTAACAACATTTGACCAGCAAGAGAAGTGCGCCTCAAGAGACCATGCATACTGGCCGGGCACAGTGGCTCACGCCTGTAATCCCAGCACTTTGGGAGACTGAGGCAGGTGGGTTACCTGAGGTCAGGAGTTCAAGACCAGCCTGGCCAACATGGCGAAACCCCATCTCTACTAAAAAACACAAAAATTAGCCGGGCGTGGTGGTGGGTGCCTGTAATCTTAGCTAATCGGGAGGCTGAGGCAGGGAGAATTGCTTGAACCCAGGAGGCGGAGGTTGCAGTGAGCCAAGATCACACCACTGCACTCCAGTCTGGGTGACAGAGAGAGACTCCATCTCAAAAATAAATAAATAAAATAGTTCTCTCAGGTAGTGAAAGCCAAACTAACCTTTAACTCCAAAGCAGAACAGCCTCCAGATGTTGGCAACTTCTCTCCAATTGGTCTGATCAGAAAATCTTGAGCAAATCTTGAATTCTTCAAGATAGCTGCTGTTTCTTCATCCACTTCAACAATTTCACCTTCCTAAAGGGTAGTATAAAAAAAAATACTAAGAGTTGCAACTTTAGTCTCAATAGAAGAAAAAATGCCCAGAAGTATCGTTTTCTCCACATCCTCACCAGCACTAATCCTTACACACTGTTGGTGGGAATTTAAATTAGTACAGCCATTATGGGAAACAGTATGGAGATTCCTCAAAAAATTAAAAATAGAACTACTATATGACCCAGCAATCCCCCTACTTGGGTATATATCTAAAGAAAATGGGCCAGGCGCGGTGGCTCACACCTGTAATCCCAGCACTCTGGGAGGCCGAGGTGGGCCGATCACAAGGTCAGGAGATCGAGACCATCCTGGCTAACACAGTGAAACCCCATCTCTACTAAAAAAATACAAAAAATTAGCCGGACATAGTGGCAGGCGCCTGTTGTCCCAGCTACTTGGGAGGCTGAGGCAGGAGAATGGTGTGAACCCGGGAGGTGGAGCTTGCAGTGAGCCGAGATCGTGCCACTGCACTCCAGCACTCCAGCCTGGGCAACAGAGCGAGACTCCGTCTCAAAAAAAAAAAAAAAAGAAAAGAAAATGAAACTGGCTGTGTACGGTGGCTCACACCTATGTAATCCCAGCACTTTGGGAGGCTGAGGCAGGTGGATCATGAGGTCAGGAGTTCGAGACCAGCCTGGCCAATATGGTAAAACCCTGCCTCTACTAAAAATACAAAAAAATTAGCTGGGTATGGCGGCACATGCCCGTAATCCCAGCTACTCGGGAGGCTGAGGCAGAAGAATTGCTTGAACCCAGGAGGCGGAGGTTGTAGTGAGCTGAGATTGCGCCACTGCACTCCAGCCTGGGCGACAGAGCCAGATTCCATCTGAAAGGGGCGGGGGGGGTGGAGGGAGGAAGGGAAGGAAGGAAGGAAGAAAGGAAGGAAGGAAGGAAGGAAGGAAGGAAGGCAGGCAGACAGGCAGGGGAAGGGAAGGGAATGAAATGAAATCAGTATGTCAGGGAAATATCTGCACTCCTAATGTTGACTGCAGCATTAATCACAATAACCAAGATATGGAATCAACCTAAGCATCCAGCAATGGATGAATGGATGAGGAAAACGTGGCATATATACACAATGGAATACTATTCAGATTTTAAAACAGAAGGAAATCCTGTCATTTGCAGCAAGATGCATGGAACTGCAGGTCATGTTAAGAGAAATAAGGCAAACACAGAAAGACAAATATCATATGTTCTCACTGATATGTGGAAGCTAAAAAAAGTGGAACTCATTAAGATAGAGAGTATATTGATAGTTACCAAAGGCCAGAAAGGGTACAGAATGGGGGAGATAAAGAGAAGTTGATTAATGGTTATAAATATAGGGTTTGGCCGGGCACGGTGGCTCAAGCCTGTAATCCCAGCACTTTGGGAGGCCGAGGTGGGTGGATCACAAGGTCAGGAGATTGAGACCATCCTGGCTAACATGGTAAAACCCCGTCTCTACTAAAAATACAAAAAATTAGCCGGGCATGGTGGCAGGCACCTGTAGTCCCAGCTACTCGGGGCGCTGAGGCAGGAGAATGGCATGAACCCGGGAGGCGGAGCTTGCAGTGGGCCGAGATTGTGCCACTGCACTCTAGCCTGGGCGACAGAGCGAGACAGAGCGAGACTCCGTCTCAAAAAAAAAAAAAAAAATATATATATATATATATATATATATATATAGGGTTTGATGAAAGAAATAAGACCTAGTGTTTGATATATCAGTAAAGTGACTAGTTTACAATAATATATTGTATATTTCAAAATAGCTAGAAGAGAATAATTTGAATGTTTCCAACATAAAGAAAAGACAGGGCCAGGTGTGGTGGCTCATGCCTATAATCCCAGCACTTTGGTAGGCCAGGGCGAGTGGATCACCTGAGGTCAGGAGTTCGAGACCAGCCTGACCAACATGGTAAAACCCCGTCTCTACTAAAAATACAAAATTAGCTGAGCATGGTGGTGCATGCCTGTAATCCCAGCTACTCGGGAGGCTGAGGCAGGAGAATTGCTTGAACCCGGGAGGTGGAGGTTGCAGTGAGCCGAGATTGCGCCATTGCACTCCAGCCTGGGCAAAAAAAGCAAAACTCCATCTCACAGAAAAAAAAAGAAAAGAAAAGACAAATATTGAAGGTGATAGGTATCCCAATTACACTAATTTAATCTTTACAAATTATATGAATGTATTAAATTATCACATGAACGCCCCAAAATAGCTACATCAATTATGTATCAATTTAAAAAAATGTTAAGTCTTTATGTATCAATAATAACACTAAATGTAAATGGACTCAATTCTCCAATTAAGAGGCATAGTGCTGTGAAAAAGCTTGTGGCAAAGAGAGGCAAAAAAAGAAGCAGGTTATGATGTTCACTCTTGACTGTACCCACCTTGTAGAAAATGGAATCATAGATGCTGCCAATTTTGAGCAGTTTTTGCAAGAGAGGATTAAAGTGAATGGAAAAGCTGGGAATCTTGGTGGAGCATTATAACCATCGAAAGGAGCAACAGCAAGATCACTGTGACTTCTGAGGTACCTTTTTCCAAAAGGTATTTGAAATATCTCACCAAAAAATATTTGAAGAATAATCTATGTGATTTGTTGTGTGTAGTTGCTAACAGCAAAAAGAGTTATTATGAATGACGTTAATTCCAGATTAACCTGGAAAAAGAAGAGGAGGAAGGTGAAGATAAAAATTTATTTATCTGGAATATTTGGTATGAGTTCTTGAATAAAACTTGGGAACCCCCCCCAAAAAAAAGGAATAGAGTGGCTGAATGGATACAAAAATGGGACCAAATTATATGCTGCCTACAAGAAACCTACTTTACTTATAAAAATACTGGAAGTTAAGGGGTGGAAAAAAGACATTCCAAGCAACTGGAAACCAAAAAAGAACAGGAGTAGCTATACTTACATCAGATAAAACAGACTGTGAATCAAGGCTGTCAAAGAGGCAAAGAAGGTTACTATATAATGATAAAGGGGTCAATTCAGCAAGAAGATATAAGTATCTTTGCACTCAACATTGGAGCTCCAAAGTATATAAAGCAAACATTAATAGATCTAAAAGAAGAGATATACTGTAATGCAATAGTAGTAGGGGACTCTAACACCACACCTCACTCTCAGTAAAACAGATCATCCAGACAGAAAATAATAAAGAAACATTAAACTATATACTAGCTCAAATAGGCCTAGCTGACATTCACAGAGCATTTTACTCAACTGCTGCAGAATAGACATTCTGCTCAATAGCACATGGAACATTCTCCAGCATAGACTATATCTTAGGCCACAAAACAAGTCTTAACAAATTCAGAAAAGTAGACATCATAACAAGTATCTTTCTCACCACTATGGAATAAAATTAGAAATCAATAACAAGAACCTTGGAAAATACACAAACACATGGAAATTAAACAACATGCTCCTGAATAGCCAATGGGTCCATGAAGAAATTAGGAGAAAAATTTAAAATATCTTGAAACAGATGAAAATGGAAATACAACATGCAAAAATCTATGGGATACAGCAGAAGCAGCACTAAGAGGAAAGTTTATAGCAATAAATGCCTATATCAAAAAAGTAGAAAGATTTCAAGTAATGCCTATATCAAAAAAGTTGAAAGATTTCAAATAAGATCTCAGCACTTTGGGAGGCCAAGGCAGGTGGATTGCTTGAGCCCAGGAGTTCAAGAGCAGACTGGGCAACATGGTGAAAGCCTGTCTCTACAGAAAATACAAAAATCAGCCAGGCATGGTAGCCTTAGTCCCAGCTACTTGGGATGCTGGGGTAGGAGGATTGCCTGAGCCCAGGAGGTCAAAGCTGCTGTGAGCCATGATTGCACCACTGCACTCCAGTCCAGGTGACAGAGTGAGACCCTGAGAAAGAAAGAAGAAGAAAGGAAAGAAGGGCCGGGCACAATGGCTAACACCTGTAATCCCAGAACTTTGGGAGGCTGAGGCGGGCAGAGTCAGGAGTTCAAGACCAGCCTGGCCAATATGGTGAAACCCCGTCTCTACTAAAAATACAAAAAAATTAGCCAGGCGTGGTGGTGCATGCCTGTAATCCCAGCTACTTGGGAGGCTGAGACAGGAGAATTGCTTGAACCCGGGAGGTGGAGGTTGCAGTGAGCTGAGATCGCGCCACTGCACTCCAACCTGGGCAACAGAGCGAGATTCCCTCTCAAAAAAAAAAGAAAGAATGGAAGGAAGGAAGAAGGGAGGGAGGGAGGGAGGGAGGAAGGAAGGAATGAAGGAAAGAAGGAACAGACTTCAAATAAACAACCTAGTAATGCCCATGAGGGAACTATAAAAGCAAGAACAAATCAAACTCAAAATTAGTAGAAGGAAAGAAAGAACATCACAGCAGAAATAAATGAAATTGAGACTAAAAAAATACAGAAGATCAACAAAATGAAAAATTAGTTTTTTGAAAAAATAAAATAAATCTTTAGCTAAACTAAGAAAAAAAGAAGACTCAAACAGATGAACGGATAAAGAAAACGTAGTAGTATATGTACACACTGGAATACTATTCAGACTTGAAAAAGAAGGAAATCCTGGCCTGGTGCGGTGGCCCAAGCCTGTAATCCCAGCACTTTGGGAGGCCGAGGCAGGCGGATCACCTGAGGTCAGGAGTTCGAGACCAGCCTTGCCAACATGTGAAACCCCATCTCTACTAAAAATACAAAAATTAGTGGGCCGGGCGCGGTGGCTCACGCCTGTAATCCCAGCACTTTGGGAGGCCGAGGCGGGCGGATCACGAGGTCAGGAGATCGAGACCATCCCGGCTAAAACGGTGAAACCCCGTCTCTACTAAAAATACAAAAAATTAGCCGGGCGTAGTGGCGGGCGCCTGTAGTCCCAGCTACTTGGGAGGCTGAGGCAGGAGAATGGCGTGAACCCGGGAGGCGGAGCTTGCAGTGAGCCGAGATCCCGCCACTGCACTCCAGCCTGGGCGACAGAGCGAGACTCCGTCTCAAAAAAAAAAAAAAAAAAAAAAAAAAAAAAAAAAAAAAAAAAAAAAAAAAAATTAGTTGGGTGTGGTGGCACGCGCCTGTAGTCCCAGCTACTCAGGAGGCTGAGGCAGGAGAATTACTTGAACCTGGCAGCCGGAGGTTTCAGTGAGCCAAGATCACGCCACTGCACTCCAACCTGGGAGACAGAGTAAGACTCTGTCTCAAAAAAATAAAATAAAATAAAATAAAAGAAGGAAATCCTGTCACCTGCAGCAACATGCATGGAACTGCAGGTCATTATGTTAAGAGAAATAAGCCAACCTCAAAAAGACGAATATTACATGTTCTCGCTGATATGTGGGAGCTAAAAAAGTGGACCTCATGATAATAGAGAGTAGATTGGTGGTTACCAGACGCCAGGTAGAGTGGGGAGGATGAAGAGAGCTTGATTAATGAGTACAAAATCCAGTTTAATAAGAAGAAATAAGACCTAGTGTTCGATGGATCAGTAGGGTGACTATAGTTCACAATAATCTATTGTATATTTCAAAATAGCTAGAAAAGAATAATTCAAATGGGTTCCTAGAATAAAGAAAAGACAAATGTTTAAGGCGATGGATATACCAGTTACATTGACTTGATCTGTACAAATTATATGAATATATTAAATTATCAGATGTGCCCTGAAAGTATGTACATCTATTATGCATTAAAAAAATGTTTGGCCGGTCGCAGTGTCTCATGCCTGTAATCCCAGCAGTTTTGGAGGCCAATGCAGGCAGATCGTCTGAGGTCAGGAGTTAGAGACCAGCCTGGCCAACATAGTGAAACCCCGTCTCTACTAAAAATACAAAAATTAGCTGGGCACGGTGGCAGGCGCCTGTAATCCCTGCTACTCAGGAGGCTGAGACAGGAGAATGGCTTGAACCCAGGAGGCGGAGATTGCAGTGAGCCAAGATCACGCCACTGCACTCCAGCCTGGGCGACAAGAGTGAGATTCCATCTCAAAAACAAACAAAAAGTTGAACCCAAAAATGTCATATCTGCAGGCACTGAAAAACAAATACTGCATAACCTCGCTAGATTATATGTGGAATTTCAAAAAGTTGAACTCATAGAGGTGAAGAGTAGAGGCTCTTACCAGGGGCTGGGGGTAGGGGGTGGGAGGGCAGGGGTGGAACAGGATAGATGTTGGTTAAAGGATACAAAATTTCAGTTATCAGGAATAAGTTAAAGAGATCTATTATACAACATGGTGACTATAGTTAATAACAATGTATTGGAAATTGCTAAAAGGCTGGGCACCTCGCGCCTGTAATCCCAGCACTTTGGGAGGCTGAAGCAGGGGGATCACCTGAGGTCAGGAGTTCAAGACCAGCCTGGCCAACATGGTGAAACTCCATCTCTACTAAAAATACAAAAAATTAGCTGGGTGTGGTAGCACACACCTATAGTCCCAGCTACTTGGAAGGCTGAGGCAGGATAATCGCTTGAACCTGAGAGGTGGAGGTTGCAGTGAGCCGAGATTGTGCCACTGCACTCCAGCCTGGGCGACAGAGCAAGATTCTGCCTCAAAAAAAAAAAAAAAAGAAATAAAGAAAGAAAAGAAAAGAAAAAAGAAAATTGCTAAAAGAGTAGACTTTGATCTCATCACAAATAAATGGTGAGTATGTGAGGTAATGCATTTTAATTATCTTGATTTAGTCATTCCATAATGTATACATATGTCAAAACATCCCATTGTACACCATAAATATATATACAATTTTTAAAATTTGCCCATTAAAAAAATAAATAATGGGGGGAAAATTAGGGCTTTGGACTATTGGGGGTTTTTTCTTTGTTTGTTTGTTTTTGAGATGAAGTCTTGCTCTGTTGCCCAGGCTGGAGTGCAGTGACTCAATCTCAGCTCACTGCAACCTCTGCCTCCTGGGTTCAAGCCGATTCTCCTGCCTTAGCCTCTCGAGTAGCTGGGATAACAGGCACACGCCACCACGCCCGGCTAATTTTTGTATTTTTAGTAGAGACAGGGTTTCATCATGTTGATCAGGCTGGTCTCGAACTCCTGACCTCAGGTAATCCACCCGCCTCAGCCTCCCAAAGTGCTGGGATTACAGGTGTGAGCCACCATGCCCAGGCAAGGACTGGTGGTTTTTAAAGTGCATTTCTGGCTGGGCACAGTGGCTCACATCTATAATCCTAGTACTTTGGGAGGCCGAGGTGGGCAGATCACCTGAGGTCAGGAGTTTAAGACCAGCCTGGCCAACATGGTGAAACCCTGTCTCTACTAAAAATGCAAAAATTAGCCAGGTGCGTTGGCACCCACCTGTAGTCCAAGCTACTGGGGAGGCTGAGGCAGGAAAATCACTTGAACCAGGGAGGCTGAGGTTGCAGTGAGCCGAGATTGCACCACTGCACTCTAGCCTGGGCAACAGAGCAAGACTCCATCTCAAAAAAAAAAAAACCATATATATATATATATAAAACATTTTGCTTAAAAAATAATTGTATTAAAAATGGTTTTTGAAAGCCACTAGAACAAATCAATGGTTTCAAAGGCCCTTACCACTCTGATTCTGTGTATCTACTGGAATAGGCAGCACATCAAGGAGCAGTGCATTAGTGAAAAGCATTAAGGGCTCCACTATACCAAGGAGTATTTAAGAAATTTGAAGATGCAGCCGGGCACAGTGGCTCACGCCTGTAATCCCAGCACTTTGGGAGGCCGAGGCGGGTAGATTACCTGAGGTCAGGAGTTCGAGACCAGCCTGGCCAACATGGTGAAACCCTGTCTCTAATAAAAATATAAAAATTAGCTGGGTGTGGTGGCACACGCCTGTAATCCCTGCTACTCGAGAGGCTAAGGCAGGAGAATCGGCTTGAACCCAGGAGGCAGAGGTTGCAGTGAGCTGAGATTGAGTCACTGCACTCCAGCCTAGGCAACAGAGCAAGACTCCATCTCAAAAATAAATAAATAAATAAATAAGAAATTTGAAGATGCTTAGCCAGATGTAGTCCCAGACTTGGAAGGCTGAGGTGGAAGGATCCCTTGAGGCCAGGAGTTCAAGACTATAGTGGGCTATGCTTACACCTGTGAATAGCCAGTGTACCCCAGTGTGGGCAACATAGCAAGACCCTGTGTCTAAATAAAGAAATAAATACATTTTTTAAATTAAAAAAAAAAAAGAAATCTGGAGATGCTATTTAGACCAAAAAAATCAGAAGAAGCCAGGCACAGTGACACATGCTTGCAACTTTGGGAGGCTGAGGTGGGAGAATTGCTTGAGGCCAGGAGTTCAAGACCAGCCTGGGCAATATAAGAACCTGTCTTGGCCGGGAGTGGTGGCTCACGCCTGTAATCCCAGCACTTTGGGAGGCCGAGGCGGGTGGATCACGAGGCCAGGAGATTGAGACCATCCTGGCTAACACGGTGAAATCCCAACTCTACTAAAAATACAAAAAATTAGCCGGGTGTGGTGGCGGGCACCTGTAGTCCCAGCTACTTGGGAGGCTAAGGCAGGAGAATGGCGTGAACCCGGGAGGTGGAGCTTGCAGTGAGCCGAGATCGGGCCACTGCACTCCAGCCTGAGTGACAGAGCGAGACTTGGTCTCAAAAAAGAAAAAAAAAAAAAACCTGTCTCACCAACAAAAAAATAAAAATAAAAAATTAGCCAGGCATGGTGACACATGCCTGTAGTCCCAGCTACTTGGGAGGCTGAGATGGGAGAATCGCTTGAGCCCAGGAGTTTGAGGTTACAGTGAGCTATGACTGTGCCACTACACTCCAGCATGGGTGACAGAGAGAGACTTTGTCTCTAAAATAGATAAATAAATAAATCAGAAAAATGAAATATTAATAGTAAGTTCTTCCACTTTTGGAACAAATAATGACAGTATCTTCTTTTCACTGAACTTGCAGTATGTACCCAGTGTTTTGCTACATTATTGCTAATCCTTATAGAAATTCTGCAAAGTAAGTATTATTATCCCTGCTTTTACAGTAGAACAAACTGTAACCCAACGAATTTTGGTGACTTGTTCAAGTTTACCCAAGTAATAAATAATAGAGCCAGAAAACATATACAATTCTGTGTTCCTCAGTAAATGAGATTAGCATCTAATGAGTAGCACGCCTTTACTAACTTACTAAATAATAGTATAAAATGATTTTTATTTAGTTAATTACCAGAGAGATTTAGCATAATTTTGTTCTGGATTCAGTAATCAAGTCAGCTTGGATCATTCACCTTAACTTTTCCTTTAGCAGCCATTTCCACTAGTTTCCATTAAGTAGTGTTCTATAAACTTTGATCCAAAGCAGAATCGATTTCTTTTCTGTCTTGTGACTTAAAGTTCTGTGACCGTGATGCATGTGAGTGTTCTGACTTCATCTGTTCCTCTAACTACACTGTTTCCCTCACCATGGCATTCATAGGATGAAACGAATGACTGCCCAGAATGAGAATTTGTCCAGATTATTCAGATAAACATCATAAAGCAGAATACATGAATAAATAAGTAGAACATAAATAAAATTCCAAAATACTCAATGGGAAATGACTAGTAATATAGGCTTTCAAGAGTTGGTACTTTTTAGCTATATTTGCAGATACTCTGGGATTTTAAGGAACTGAGAAAGCAGCAAAGTTGACTAAATTTTATATTTCTTGTCCTCTAAATATTTTGATAATTTCTGGATTGATGCAGTGATGTTTTTGTTCCTTCTGTATTTATAAATGAAACACCTTTTTTTAGTGTTTCTAAACCTAAAATCTACTTGGTTTGAAGTCAAGTGGTTGGAACACTGTTTGACTTTTATTTGAAGCATGTTGTTGATTGAAAATTTCATTGAGGAAGTTTTCAATCAGTGTGATCAGTTTGATTCTGTAATGAGCACAGCACCTAATATTTTGAGGAGCTCTGTTTTGAGGACCAATGCTTAACGTGGACTTCGTTCATAAACAATATCCAATAGATTTGTTGACTTGAGGTCTGGTTTTTTTGTTGCTTTTTTTCCTAATAGAATTAAGAATTCTAATGTTGAAATTCTAATGTTGAAAAACTGCCCAAATTTGTATGGGACAAAGCCTAGAAAAGAGAAATGTAGATTGCATCATAATCTAAATCATGGTATGATAGGAAAGGGAAAGTTTTGGTGCCATAATCTCTCCTTTCACTGGTGTTGGACTTAAATCAGTTAAAATGTATTTCTGTACCACAATTTATGCTTCAATAAAAGTTTGTCTAGTGACATTCAGAAAAAAAAATAAAAAACAATAATAATAGAGCCAGAATTTGAACCCAGGTATCTGATTCCAAAGCCTGAACTTTTCCATTTTGAGAAAACAAATCTTACTATGCACAGGGCAGTAAAAATGCCAATTAGTGCCATCATCCAACATTAAAATTTCTTAATTCCTTGACACAATTAAACAATTGAAATACTATTGTACATACTCCTACTCTTTTCCATCCTACTTCTCTATAGCCCTATTAATCCAATGTCTGAATGAGGCTTCTTGTAAAAAGTTTTCTTAGGTGTGTAATGGTATTGTGATTATGCAGAGGGATATTACATTCCTATGGGACGCATGCTGAAATATTTAAGGGTAAAATGTCATAATATCTGCAACTTATTTTCAATGGCTCAGCAAATAAATATATATATATATATACACATATAAACACACAAACATGGAAAAATGTTCTCAATTGCTGAAATATAGGTAATGCCTATGTGGGTATTCATTGTACTATTAACTTTTCTGTATTCAAAAACTTCTTTTTTTTTTTTTTTTTTTGAGATGGAGTCTCACTCTGTTGCCCAGGCTGGAGTGCAATGGCATGATCTCAGCTCACCTCAACCTCCACCTCCCGGGTTCATGCAATTCTCCTGCCTCAGCCTCCAGAGTAGTTGGGATTACAGGCACCCACCACCACGCCCGGCTAATTTTTGTATTTTTATTAGTAGAGATGGGTTTTCGCCATGTTCGTCAGGCTGGTCTCGAACTCCTGACCTCAGGTAATCTGCCTGCCTCAGCCTCCCAAAGTGCTAGGATTACAGGTGTGAGCCACCGCACCTGGCCAAAAACATTTTTATAATAAATATTGAGGGCTGGGCACGGTGGTTCACGCCTGTAATCCCAGCACTTTGGGAGGCTGAGGTGGGCACATCACTTGAGCCCAGGAGTTCAAGACCAGTCTGGGCAACATGGCAAAACCCCATCTCTACAAAAAATACAAATATTAGCCAGGTGTGGTGATGAGTCTGTAGTCCTAGCTACTCAGAAGCCTGAGGTGGGAGGATCGCTTGAGCCCAGGAGGTCAGGCTGCAGTGAACTATGATTGTGCTACTGCACTCCAGCCTGGGTGACAGAGCGAGACCCTGTCAATAAATAAATAAGTATTGGGGAAAAAATGCTTTTTTACTCCACTTGAAACACACACATACATTTAAACACACACACAAACAAACCAACACCAGAAAAATGGGAGGCAATGCAAAGTCAAGAAAAGATAGCTGGAGCAAGGGCAAGAGCAGAAAGAATACCAGAAGTCATGGAAATTGTTTTATTTACCTTAAATGTAAAATTGGCATCAAACATTAGTTCTTTTTCATGTCCTGTAATTCCTCCATTGTAAATAACTTGGCATCTCTTGGTTGGTCCTGTCTTAGAGTGTTTGAAGAGGCGAAATGTTGCAGAAACAAAACGACAGTCACCTAAAAATAGAATTTATTCACGGTTCATCTCCAGCACTCCCCCAGTTGTTGCCTTGCTCAGCAGACAAGGAGCAAACACGTTATAAAGATGATTTTCTTCCTTGCATGTCATCAGTTATCTTTCTGAGCACTTCACTCTATTTACTGAATGACTTCAAAGTGCTTTATTAAATATCAAAATTTTTGGGGGGTTACCATTGTACAGGAGGCAAGATAGCTATTTCCAGATAACAGAAAGTATCCCTCAATGAGACTCCTTCAGAAGTTACTTACTAATCACCACATTTCAATCATTCAAGCTGTAGTTATAATAGTCCCTGCTGTCTGTCATATCTTACCGATAACTCTTTCCAGTTCCTTGTTTTGAATTGTAATGAGATTGGCAGTGACCAAACGTGGAGGGCAGAACCCAATTTTTTGAGCAAGGACAGCAAGTTCCTTCCAGTATAAAGCACCACCCAGACACTCACCTAAAAAACAAACAACAACAAAAAACCACAGACCAGCCAACACTTAATACAGTATTAAGGGAACTATTCTTCTATATAATTAATTAGGACATGGTATTAGTTAAAACATAGATCCTAGCAGTAGAAGCTAACTTGAGCATCCCTCCAAGGTCTAGAAAGCCATGGTTAAGACTGGGTGTGCTAGCTGATGGTCTCTAGGAACCATTCTTCAGGACACTCACTGGTGGATTGGTTCTACTCAGCTGCAAGCATAATATTCATGTATGCAGTACGCCACATTCTGAAAAGCACTGTTATGTGAATAAAGTAGTATAAAAAATAAATCATAGGCCGAGCGCGGTGGCTCATGCCTGTAATCCCAGCACTTTGGGAGGCCGAGGTGGGCAGATCATGAGGTCAGGTGTTGGAGACCAGCCTGGCCAACACAGTGAAACCCCATCTCTACTAAAAATACAAAAATTAGCTGGGCATGGTGGCATGCACCTGTAATCCCAGCTACTTGGGAGGCTGAGGCAGGAGAATCACTTGAACCCGGGAAGTGGAGGTTGCAGTGAGCCAAGATTGCGCCACTGCACTCTAGCCTGGGTGACAGAGCGAGACTCCATCTCAAAAAAAAAAAAAAAAAAAAAAGAAGTTATCACTGGGTTATATGATTATAAGTAATTTTTTTAAGAGATAGGGTTTTACTATGACACCCAGGCTGTACCTGAACTCCTAGGCTCAAGCAATCCTCCTGACTCAGCCTCCCAAATATCTGGGGTTACAGGTGTGTGCCACTGTGTCCAGCTTAGTAATTTTTTCTTTTTTTTTTTTTTTTTTGGCACTTTCCAACTTGTTAACGGTACCTATTTATTATTACATAGTAAGAATAAAGTTAATATTATTTTAAGAATAAGAACTTTTGATTTCATAGACTGATGAAAAGCATGCATTTATCTCAACTTCCAGACTATTAAAATGATAATAAAGGAATAAAGAACACAATAATGATGAGAACATAAGGGGACTAAGAGGACACCAGCTTGGGAACAATTGTCCTCATTTCCACACTAGAGTTTTCAAAGTATTTTTCCCATTCTTTATCCCATTTAATCTTCATAACAGCCCTATAAGGCAGATTGTATTATTATTTACATTTTACAATTTGGAAAACGATAACTCAAAGAGATGAATTAAACTATCCAAAGCCCTATCACTTTTGAATGGCAGAGGAAGAATGGAACCTTGGCCTCATGGCCTAACCCCATGTGATCTCATATAGCCTCATCCTGGCTATTAGCAGAAAGGAGTTCTGCACATGTACAACCATCTGCCTTAATACTAAACTAAACAAAATCACCTACCCCATAAAACTTTGTGTGTCCTGATTTCTTCTGGCAGTTCAAGGCTCGTATAGACGTCACTGAAATATAACTCCCCACCATGCTGAAACAGAGGCATATTAGTCCAAACAAGATGATTAATGATTACATTGACCCCACATAACAAAGAAAGGAATAGGGGAACAAAATCAAATTTAAAAATCAATAGCAATGTTTAAGCTGACCCTTTGTGAACAAATAGCAGCTGCCTCTTTAGTTACAATCAATAGTCAAGTGCCAAGGTTTTTTTTCCTCCCAGTGGCTTATCCAACAGGTAATAAAATCACATTCTAAGAGTGTCTGTCTCCTAAATAAAGATTTTCAGGTTACTTACATTTAAATTTTTAGCCAATCTGAACCAAAAGCAGCCCCAGGTCATTGTAGAACAGAGGATATCATCAGTATTCATAATCTTTTATCTCTTAAGAATAGTATAACTTTGCCAGGTATGATGGCTCAGGCCTCTAATCCCAATGACTCAGGAGGCCGAAGTGGGAGGCTTGCTGGAGGAGAGCAGTTTGAGACTAGCCTTGGCAACACAGCAAGACCCTCTCTCCCATATAGAAATTTAAAAACTAGCTGGGCATGGTGGCATGTGCCTGGAGTCCTAGCTACTCAAGAGGATTGTTTGAGCCCAGGAGTTAGAGGGTACAGTGAGTGTCACTATCTGGACCCCTCTAACTCAGGAGTTAGAGGGGTACAGATAGTGACACTGCATTCCAGCCTGGGTGACAGCAAGACCCCATTTCTATTAAAAAATATAACTTTTTGTAATGTTGTTATTTACTTTTATAACAACACATTTTATCTTTAAAATATTATCCTTAAAATGTAAGGCAAATGAGTGATCAGGAACTTAACATTTTATTTAGCTAATTTCAAAAACCTGGAAACCTGGAGATCTAGATTCTATAATAGTGTTTCTACCTTTTATAAGTACATTTTTGGTGGAGATAGTGAACTGGCGTGTAAAATGACATACTAACAAAGACATCACTAAATCATTAAATCATTTCTATATAGATATTTGTATTTGAGTTCTATGACAGCTTTGTAAACCAAAAATCTCAAAAATCTGTTGTCAATTTAAAAAAAAATTTTGGCCAGGCACAGCGGCTCATGCCTGTAATCCCAGCACTTTGGGAGGCTGAGGCAGATCATGAGATCAGGAGTTCAAGATCAGCCTGACCAATATGGTGAAATCTTGTCTCTACTAAAAGTACAAAAATTAGCTGGGCATGGTGGCACACGCCTGTAGTCCCAGCTACTAGGGAGGCTGAGGCAAAAGAATTGTTTGAACCCAGGAGGCGGAGGTTGCAGTGAGATGAAATCCTGCCACTGCACTACAGCCTGGACAGCAGAGTGAGACTCCATCTCAAAAAAAAAAACATTTTTTTAGAGGCAGTGATCACACTATATTGCCCAAGCTGCACACAAACTCCAGAGCTCAAGCAATCCTCTTGCCTCAGCATCCAAGTAGCTGGGAGTACAGGCATGTACCACCCACCCAGCTAGAATCTTTTTTTTTTTTTTTTTTTTTTGAGATGGAGTCTCGCTCTGTCTCCCAGGCTGGAGTGCAGTGGCACGATCCTGGCTCACTGCAACCTCTGACTTCTGGGTTCAAGCTATTCTCCTACCTCAGCCTCCCGAGGAGCTGGGATTACAGGCACGCACCACCACACCCAGCTAATTTTTGTATTTTTAGTAGAGACAGAGTTTCTCCATGTTGGCCAAGCTGGTCTCAAACTCCTGACCTCAGGTGATCTGCCCGCCTCGGCCTCCCACAGCACTGGGATTACAGGTGTGAGCTACCGCACCTGGCTGAATATTTCATCTACTATCATGAAGATACACATCTCATGATACAATGAAGGCTGTGGAGCTCCTGCAAGCTTTCCTTTTAGCAAGTAGTTAATGTAAAAGTTCCATCTTCTGTAACTTCCCAAAGATCTGAAATCATGACAGATAAGAAATCAGAAGCCCTGAGAAACACTGTACATGCTAGAAGAGAGTATATTCAAAGCAATCATTAGTAGTCAGTGCAAAGATTCCTATAGCTCCACAGATGCTCTTCTAGGATCATGTACAGCAGCAAATAGGAGAGACAGTCAAGAAAGCAAATACCTTAACACATTCAGTGACAACTGTCACCTCGGATTTACTACCTTTTGCAACCTAAGAGGGAAAGTAATCCATATCCGGGGTATTCCTGCCCCTTCCCCCTTTTGCCACCCCTTATTCATTTAATGGATAAATTAAGAGAGTTTGAGCTCTTAGTTCAAGGGGGAACAAACAAGACTTAACCCATCAGCTCTTACTGATGTTCAAAGATAATTTATCTCACTCTCCTCCTCACCTTCAGCACCCGATATGCCTCCTGAAGCACTTGTTGTTTATCAGGCACAAGGTTAATAACACAGTTTGATCTAAAAGAGAACAGATGAAATGTCGAGCAAATCTTCACAACACTCAGAGATCTGCAAATCCTTTCAGACCCTAAAGGTGGTTCCCACCGTTCTGTCAAAGCTACCCCATTCTTACCGCCTCCCTCCTCTCTTTCTAATGCCTTCAACTAAGCTTTTCCCCAAGATCAGAGACAGAGTGCTTAAAATCTCAATAAATTGTTAGCAAGTTTGAATGTGCAGAAAATAACATCAGGCATGATTCTTACTTGTTTCTGTCCTGATGTTCACCATGTAACAAGATGAAACCTCAGACCAGATGCCTACTGCACAAGGCATTTCTTTCTTTTTTTTTTTTTCCCGAGAGGATGTTTCACTCCTGTTGCCCAGGCTGGAGTACAATGGCGCAATCTCGGCTCATTGCAACCTCCGCCTCCCGGGTTCAAGTGATTCTCCTGCCTCAGCCTCCTAAATAGCTGGGATTACAGGCATGTGCCACCACACCCAGCTAATTTTTGTATTTTTAGTAGAGACGGGGTTTCGCCATGTTGTTCAAGCTGGTCTGGAATTCCTGACCTCGTGATCCACCTGCCTCGGCCTCCCAAAATGCTGGGATTATAGGCGTGAGCCACCGCACCTGGCCGGCACAAGGCATTTCTTATGCTTCACGTAAACAGGCTATGTTCCTCAAAGGCAGCTGTCACTTGGGCATGATTTGACAATAACAACTTGAGGGAAAAAAGGAAATAGAATCCTATAATTTACCATGAAAATATTATGAAAGATACAGGTCAGCATGTATTGTAGGAGCAAACTTAGTGGTCCTGCTGGTCTTTTGGGTTCATTGGTTTGTGGTTAAGTTTCAAGTAAGTTCCCTCTTGGTCTGGTGTGTTCTGCTGCTGGTGAGCTCCAGCAGCTCAAACCAGCTCTCTCCCATTAGTAAGCCATGCTAAGTTTAGTTTAACACCCTAAATGAGAGTCAATTCAGCAAACAGTAATAGTGACATCTCTGTGTTCAAAAGGAAATGAGGGCTGAGCACAGTGCCTCACACCTGTAATCCCAGCACTTTGGGAGGTGGAAGCGGGTGGATCACCTGAGATCAGGAGTTTGAGACCAGCCTGGCCAACATGGTGAAACCCTGTCTCTACTAAAAGAAGATTTAAAAAATTAGCTGGATGTGGTAGCGTGTGCCTATAATCCCAGCTACTTGAGAGGCTGAGGCAAGAGAATCAGTTGAACCCGGGAGGCAGAGGTTATCGTGAGCTGACATTGGGCCACTGCACTCTGGCCTGGGTGACAGAGCGAGAGTCCATCTCAATAATAATAATAATAATAATAAAGAAAATGGGCTATAGTCATAACAGTAAGAATATAGACCTACACAACAATATCATGGCTCTCATTCTTGATTCCAGCCTCTCCCAACTTCTCAATGTAGCCATGAATAAAAGTCACATTAGATGCCTGGAAGCCATATTTTTCCATGTGATAGTCAAGATACTTTTCAGCCACTTCCACCTAAAGTAAGAAAAATATAGTTTTGATAACATTTTGAAAAAAATACACAACTTTTTCCTAAAAATTTCCTATCACTAACAGAATATACTTCCCCTAGATTATTTTGGATAAACATACAAGATTCCTGTGGACACGTAGGATATACTACAACCTGGGACATAAACTCCCTGCTGCCCGTGCAGTTTGGCTTGAATAAACTCCTCATTCAATAACAAAATCTTTCAGGATAGATGGCAGCAAGAAGGGAAAGATCAAAGTCCACTCTATCGTCACGATATTCATATCAGAGCAAACCTCCGACTCTTGTGTTCGCCCAGAAGAACCCCTAATTGTTCAAGTTATCAGTTTCCAAGACAGGAAGCACTAGTGGCACAAATGAGCATTGCTAACTAGAAGCTTTCTTAAATTATCCTTGAAGAGCCACGAAGAAAACAACTTTATTTTTCAAATAATGCTTTTGAGAATCTTTTTCTCCTTGTCTTCCAAATCATGCCTCACCTGGCCTTTGGTCATGTCTATTCCAGTCACGTGTCCTTTTTCACCAACCAGCTGGCTAAGTACATAGCAATCTCTGCCACTTCCACTACCCAGATCCAAAATCCAGCAGTTTTCTAGATGCTCAGGGATCACCAGACCACAGCCATAATATCTGGGAAATGGAAAACACATATTTTTTCCCTGGAGACTGTAAGACATGAAACCACTAAATCTTATACATACTTCCCTCCTCCCTCCCTCCCTCCGTTCCTTCCTTCCTTCCTTCTTTCTTGCATCATTCACTCATACTTCTGATGTTTAGTCTCCACTGAACTGGACACCCATGAAGGCTGGGACTGTATCTGCTTTACCACAGTATTGTTGGGCATGTGCTAGGCACTAAGACTTCATAAGCCATCTAAAATAATGTGTTCAGGCTGGGCGCGGTGGCTCACGCCTATAATCACAGCACTTTGGGAGGTCAAGGCAGGCGGATCGCTTGAGGCAAGGAGTTGGAGACCAGCCTGGCCAACATAGTGAAACCCTGTCTCTACTAAAAATACCAAAAAATCAGCTGGGCACGGTAGCAGGTACCTGTAATCCCAGCTCCTCGGGAGGCTGAGGCAGGAGAATGGCTTGAACCCAGGAGGCAGAGGTTGCAGTGAGCAGAGATGGCGCCACTGCACTCCAGCCTAAGGGACAGAGTGAGACTCCGTCTCAAAAATAAATAAATAAAATAAAATAATGTGTTGAATAAATACATTTAATCATTAGCTGAGCTTCTAATTCAGGCCCAGGACTGCGCTAGTTATTGAGGAAAAAATGTAAGGTTTCTGTCCCATAGGCGTTTTTTGTTTTGATTTGTTTTGTTTTGTTTTGTTTTGTTTTGTTTGAGACGGAGTCTCGCTCTGTCGCCCAGGCTGGAGTGCAGTGGCGCGATCTCAGCTCACCGCAAGCTCCGCCTCCCGGGTTGACACCATTCTCCTACCTCAGCCTCCCGAGTAGCTAGGACTACGAGCGCCTGCCACCACTCCTGGCTAATTTTTTTTTTTTTTTTTTTTTTTTTTTTTTTTGAGACGGAGTCTTGCCCTGTCACCCAGGCTGGAGTGCAGTGGCTCGAACTCAGCTCACTGCAAGCTCCGCCTCCCGGGTTCACGCCGTTCTCCTGCCTCAGCCTCCCCAGCAGCCGGAACTACAGGCGCGTGCCGCCACACCCGGATAATATTTTTGTATTTTTAGTAGAGACGGGGTTTCACCATGATAGCCAGGATGGTCTCGATCTCCTGGCCTCGTGATCCTCCCGCCTCGGCCTCCCAAAGTGCTGGGATTACAGACATAAGCCACCACCCCCGGCCTTTTTTTTGTTTTGTTTTGTTTTGACTGAGTTTTTCTCTGTTGCCCAGGCTGGAGTGCAGTGGCACAATCTCCGCTCACTGCGACCTCCGCCTTCCACGTTCAAGTGATTCTCCTCCCTCAGCCTCCCAAGTAGCTGGGACTACAGGCGTGCCCCACTACACCCAGCTAATTTTTGTATTTTCAGTAGAGACAGGGTTTCACTATGTTGACCAGGTCGGTCTTGAACTTCTGACCTCAAGTGATCTACCTGCCTTGGCCTCCCAAGTTCTGGGATGACGGACGTGAGCCACCGCTCCCCGCCGCGTAGGTGTATTTGAGAGGCGAGATAAAACATCGTGCACAGAAAACACTTCCCGTGATTTACGGACAGACCGAGTGACAGAGTGCTGTGGCAGTTTGGGGAAGAGGCCGCTCAAGGATTAGAGAAGGCTCCATGCAGTAGGTGGGACAGCAGCGTGGTGCTGGATGCGCAGGGTTGGGAAGGAAAAAGAAAAGGGAAGACCTTCCAAATTGGTGACTGCCGGCTGGGCAGGCAGTGCTGATGGAGTGAGGAAGGGAAGGGTCAAAAGGGCCAAGGTTGATTAGTGGGTGCTGAACTGCGCATATCTTGAATGGCAGATCCAGTGAGTGTGACTGTATTCTGTGAGCATGGGTAGGGACTACAGAGTGTTCACGCTGGAGGTTCTTTTTTTTAGGCAATTTTTTTAAAGTACGCATTTATTTTAGAGATGCATCTGGCTATGTTGACCAAGCTGGAGTGCAGTGGCTATTCACATCCCGGATCGCACACTACAGCCTGTAACTTCTGGGCTCACGCGATCCTCTGCCTCAGCCTCCCAAGCACTTGGGACTACAGGCTCACTGGCGCGCCCAGACTCATCGGAGGTTCTTAGAGCAGTAAGATGATGGGTGCTGAGATTTAGGATTTTTACAATAGACAAGGCAAGCTGATGGGTTGGTGGCTACGGGTTAATTCCCTAGTGACCTGCATCATTATCTTTTGGGAAAACTGCTGTTTGGGGTCTTCCTGGGGACAGCACAGGGCACTCTACCTTAGGGCTACTTCTTCGTGTACATTTTGCAAGGCTTCCCGGATGTGCTTGGGGACCGGCCTGGCTGTGGTGACACAGCCGTTGGTCTGGAGGTCTGCCGATCTCTTCAGCACCTGCCCGTAGTAGGTCTGACCCAGCGTCCCACAGTGGAGTGAGGGGTAGAGAGGGAGAAGAGCTGTGACTGCAGCGCGAGGGCTCCGTCACCACCTCCACCTCCACTTGGCCGACCTCAGTTCCCTGGAAAGGTCGAAGCCTAGACCCTGCCCTACCCCGACTCCAGGAGTCCCGGGGGACAGGGTGCGGGCCAGGCCAGACTTCCATTAGCCTAGGCTCCACTTGGGCCATTCCAGGCCCTACAGCTCTCACCTGCACGTCCTTCTGTATCTCAGCGTCACGAAGTGCAGCCACTGTCGGGAGCGGGAAAGTTAGTTGAAAGGAGAGGGTGCTGAGGGACGGGCATGAGGGAGGGGGCCAGTAAAGGGCAGGCAGCGGGCCGAGGGGTGAGGGGAGGACAAAGGTCTCGAGACACAGCTCGGGGGAGGCGCTCGCGTTCCCGCCTTGCGGGGGCCCAGGGAAGGGGCTGGGGGCTGGGGCGGGGCGCCCAGGGCGCGCACTCACTGTCTCCTCGGCCTGCGACTCAGGGCGCGCACTCACTGTCTCCTCGGCCTGCGACTCAGGGCGCGCACTCACTGTCTCCTCGGCCTGCGACTCAGGACGGCGGGCTCCCGCAGCCAGCTCCTGTGCCGAGGCCCCGCCCAGGCTGGCAGGCTTGCTCCGCCCGCCCATCCCGCTCTAGCCCCTCGCTCAGGCGCCCACCGCCTGACCCGCTGTTCCACTGTCATCCGCGCTGCTCTACAGGCTTTCCAACCAGGAGGTCGGTATCAGCATCCCCCTTGTTCGCTCCACTGCGATTTTCACGGATAAATCTCGTACTCTGATTTAAATGAACACTCACCTATATAATGATCTTCCCCCCTCCCCCTTTTTGGGAATAGAATCATCTTTTCTCGATCTGTTTTTTGAAGTCAAGTTTGTTGAGATATAATTCACATTCCGTGAAATCCATCTTTCTTCAGTGTGCAGTTCTGTGAACTCTGGCAAACGTATATACATCACCAAAACGGAGACCAAAATAGCTCTGGCCCACAAGTTTCTTCGTGCCTCTTTGTAGTAAATTCCCTCTTCCCACCCCTAGCTCCTGGGCAACCACAGATGTTTTCCCTCCCTATAGTTCTGCCTTTTCTAGAATGTCACATAGAGGGAACCATTAACAGTATGTAGCTGTTCCCAGTCTATTTTGGGTTGTATTTAGGAAAGCAACTTTGCTAAATTTATTTTCACCTATAGTAATTTTTGGTCAAGTCACATGTATTTTCCAGGTATTGTCACTTCATCTTGCAGAAAGTTTTTTTTTTAATTTTTAAATTTTTTTGAGACGGTCTCTGTTACCCAGGCCCAACCTCCTGGCTCAAGCGATCCTCCCGCCTCAGCCTCCCAAGTACCTTGGATTACAGGCGTGCACCACCACACCTGGTTAATTTTTGTATTTTTTTATAGAGACGGGATTTCACCATGTTGTCCAGGCTGGTCTCCAACTCCTGGGTTCAAGCAATCCGCCCGCCTCAGCCTCCCAAAGTGTTTGGATTACAGGCATGAGCCACAGTGCCAGGCCCAAAAGTATTTTTTGTTTTTTTAAATATGGAACACTTCACGAATTTGTATGTCATCTTGCGCAGGGGCCATGCAAATCTTCTCTATCATTCCAACTATATGTGCTGCCGAAGCGAGCACCCAAAAGTATTTTTAAATTATTTATTTTTACTTCCACAATTATATGTGTATATCTTGTTTCCCTTTGTGGTTGTAACAAGCATTTCTCTTTTTATAATTTAAATTAAAAAAAAATTTTTAGAGACAGGGTCTCAACTCTGTGGCCCAAGCTTAGCGTCACTGCGCAATCATCTCTGGATCCTTCAACTCTGGCCTCAAGCCATCCTCCCTCCTCAGCCTCCCCAGTAGCTGGGACTACAGGTGCAAGCCACCATGCCCAGCTTGTAACGATCATTTCTATTCATTAGGACAGTAAGGAAACAGGGAGATCCAAGTGAAAGGATATCTAAATGGATGAAGTAGACTCTTTCATTCATTTTTCAATCTCAGTTGCCAATAATACAAAAATCTGGTTGATATCCAGCTAGTAAATTTTCATCTTCTCTGATGTCAATTAGTTGTTACAAATTAATAGAAAGGTGGTGTCTTTTATATTTTTAACAAATTAACCCCATGGAAATAATCCTTGTTGGAATATTTCTACAGCTTGGAATATTTCCAACTAGTATATGTATAAAACTTAGTGTTTTTATAAGTATCACTTAGTTTTTGGGCAATCATAGAATGGTGAAAACACTCCTAAATATTAGTTTTCAAAATATTATCTTCATAAAATGAGCTCCTTTAGAAAAGCAGTTACCTTCTCATAGTTAAAATGATATCTTTATCTTAAAAGGGCAGATTAGTGAGAGGTCAAGGAAAGGGCTGTATCATTTTTCTCTTGTGCTTGTTTTGTTATCTTTAATTTATGGTTTACTTACAAGAATCATTTGACAATCCTTTTTTTTTTTTTTTTTTTTTGAGACAGAGTTTCGCTCTTGTTGCCCAAGCTGGAGCGCAATGGCGCAATCTCGGCTCACTGCAACCTCTGCCTCCCCGGTTCAAGCGATTCTCCTGCCTCAGCCTCCCAAGTAGCTGGAATTACAGGCATGCACTACCATGCCTGGCTAATTTGTATTTTTAGTAGAGACAGGGTTTCACCATGTTGGCCAGGCTGTCTCGAACTCCTGATCTCAAGTGATCCGCCTGCCTCTGCCTCCTAAAAGTGCTGGGATTCCAGGTGTGAGCCACCACACCTGGCCAACAATCCTTAAATCTACCTATTCACACACAGATAAACTGCAATAAAACAAACCACTGTCAACTTAAATTGAGTTACTCTCACTTTTCCTCCATGGTGTCTGGTGTGGGGGCTAATTTTGGACCAGACTGTGACCATCAATCATTCTGATTGGTCAGTGCCTCACCACAGGTTTTGTGGGGTTTTTTGTTTTTTTGTTTTACTATCACCCCTGCTAAATGACAGGAATGCTATATATCTGTATACTGCGTAGAAGAAATTAAGACTCTCACATCAAGTCATATTTTAAATATTGGCAAAAGCTTTTTTATTTTTTTGAGACAGAGTCTCGCTCTGTCACCCAGGCTGGAGTGCAGTGGCAGGATCTCAGCTCACTGCAAGCTCCGCCTCCCGGGTTCATGCCATTCTACTGCCTCACCTCCCGAATAGCTGGGACTACAGGCGCCCGCCACCACGCCCAGCTAATTTTTTGTATTTTTAGTAGAGACGGGGTTTCACTGTGTTAGCCAGGACGGTCTCAATCTCCAGACCTCGTGATCTGCCCGCCTCGGCCTCCCAAAGTGCTGGGATTACAGGCGTGAGCCACCACGCCCAGCCTCACAAAAGCTAATTTTTTTAAGATAAAAAACTAACATACATAGAAATTTTCTCCCCTACCCTTTAACAGAGGCCTGTGCACACCGTCACACATTCTATCTTGGAAGCTACTGGAGTGACAATTCCAGGATTATCCAGAAAGGCAGATTTTGGTTAATTACACAGAACCATCTTTCAAGAAGTGGAGATTTCCAAAAGGATCAGCACTCCTAAGTAAAGGATTCCCCAAATATCGGAAGCAGAAGCAGATGAATGACTGGATGATGGCTCACCTGAGATGCAGAAGCAGGGGCAAATGGATTGGATTCAGCTACTTCAAGATCCTTTCCTTTTCTAAGAGCTCTTTAGTATTATGTTGAAGACTAGTAATGAAGGTGGCACCCTTGTTTCTATGCATAAGGAAACTAACAGGTAATAGAGCCAGACTAGTAGTCAAAAGACCTACCATCAAGCTCAGTGACCTTGGGTAAGTCATTTCATCTTCCTGGCTGTGTTTTTTTCATCTGTAAAACATGGGGCCAGAATTTAATAACTTTTAAGGCCCCATACAGCTCTAATATTCTGGGGTTTTATACGACTCTTCTTCATCAAATATTATGTTGGGTTTTAAAACATACCCTTTTAAAAAATTCTTTTAGTTTTTTTGAAATAGAAAGTGTATTTTAAATGCCTTTTTGGTATATATTATAGTGACAAAAGATTTTATTATTTCTTATTAATGTAATGTGTTTTGTAACTATTACATCAACTTTGAAATTCTGGAGTTACATGAACAATTATTCAAAATATTTCTCTATTCAGTTTTCTAAGATTTTATTCGGATTTTTGCATCTATACTCATAAAAAAATCACCTACATTATCTTACATCCTCTTGCATCATCTTTCTTACATAATTTTATTTTTAAAATGAAAATCCTGTTTACTTCATTAAATGAATTAGTGTCTTATGATCATTTTCTATATTTTGGGAGTATAGGGGTTTTTTGTTTTGTTTTGTTTTGTTTTTTGAGATGGAGTCTTGCTCTGCCACCCAGGCTGGAGTGCAGTGGCTCGATCTCGGCTCACTGCAACCTCTGCCTCCTGGGTTCAAGCAATTCTCCTGTCTCAGCCTCCTGAGTAGCTGGGATTACAGGCATGTGCCACCATGCCTGGTTAATTTTTGTATTTTTTAAGTAGAGACGGGGTTTCACCATGTTGGCCAGGCTGGTCTCGAACTCCTGACTCTGTGATCCGCCTGCCTCGGCCTCCCAAAGTGGTGGGATTACAGGCGTGAGCCACCACACCCGGCCAGGAGTATATGTTCTTTGACAGTTTGGAAAAGTCTCATGAAAGCTTTCACAAGCAAATGCCATTTTAATTGGTTATTCTTAGTTTGTGGGTTATTTCTCATAACCAATCTGGAATATTCTCTGTTAAAAGTGTCAGTTTCATAATTTTTTATCTTTATAAGGAGCTGGGCATATATTAATCACATTTTTTGCAGCAAACTGATAACTCTTTTCAAATCTCATTGATTTTATGTATTGCCTATTCAATTACGAATTTACTAATTTGTACTTTTCTGGCTGAGCTGACACTTTACCCATTTAATCTACAAGAACTACTTAATACTTTTTATTTTTTCTAATTTGTTATTTTTTTCTAATTTGTTTAGTTTTATTATTTCCATTTCCATTCTTTCTAAATTCTAACTATATACCCCTTAAAAAAAACAAAAATATTTCCACTCTATCCCTAATACAGGGATTTAAAGCATGCTTATTTTCTTATAGTACTGCTTTGGTATTATCACACAAATTTTCTTTTATGGCATTTGAACATTTGTTATTTTAAAAATATTATCTTCCGGCACAACCTCTACAACTTAGACGTTATTTAGTGAAGTATTTTTTCCATGTTTTTGATCACCATTTAATTCTATGTATGTTGTTTATTTCCATAAAAAAACAAACCATCAAATAATGTATACATTTCCACCTGTTCTAACATTTCTGGCTACTTTTGTTTCATGTATTTTGTTACGATGTTCTCTAGTGACTAAATTCAGTACAAATACGTTTTCATTATTTAATATAAATTTTATCTTATATTTACTATTAAAATTTTGATTGTGAAAGGTATTATTTTATCACATACATTGTAAGCAATCACTGCTTCTTTAACATTTGTTCCAGCATGAAGAAAACTTAGACCATCCCTTCATTTTAATTTTTTTCTAACTTAAGTATTTCTTTGCTTCTTGTAATGACTGCACTTAGCTTTGTTTTCTAAATTAGTGGTCTTTTCAAAGGTACATTGAGTCCATCTGTATTTAATAATACTGCAATTATTAATACATGTTTATAGAATTAGTACATAAATTAATGCCTTTTCAGATCCTTCACATCCAGCTTTTTTACCTTAAGTTAATATCCATATGTATGAGAAATAAACGTAATCTGATAATGCTTAGTTAACTTGATGATTGGACAATAACAATATGAACTATATTGGATTCACTGTTACTTCCTCTTTATTCCTGCAGTGAAAACAATATTTTCTTATGTCAGATTTCTCTCAATCTCTTAGTCAATGAAGACCTGAACTACAACAATATAGAGTCCCATTTTAAATTCAAACAAAGATATTTAGGTTTGACAACAGACTCATGGTAATGTCATTTAAAAAGATGGATCCAATGAACACAGACAAACATCAAAGTTTTCACCATGGCACAAACCTCTGCCACAATCACTCATAATAATTCAACTGCCTTCATATTTGGCAGTAACGTCATGCAAGTGAATTTGCTGATGATTAGCAAAATTACAAAATGAAAGTCAAGGTCACTTAATCAAGAATTACAGCAACAAAGAAATTCTAGGAATGCAGGTCAAGGCAAGAGGCTGCAGCTGGCCTGATAATGATACCACTTGCCTAATGTTCATTTAGGAATTTGCTATCACAAATAAAACACGTATCTCCTCTGAGTTACTAGAACAGAAAAGGAAACAATCAGGTATTACTTATCACCATTATATGACCATGAAATTAAAATATTTCCTTAATAATGATTAAGAGAAAAAAATCATTCTCATGTGTTCATAATAGAAGCTCTATTTCTGAATTTAAAACACTACTCAGTATTTGCTTAAGTACTGAAATTTAGACAATATAGCTTTTGACATATTAAAAGTTCTATAGGAAAAACTAAGACCTCTTAATTTTGCTTTAATATCAAACTAAACAGAGCAGATGAAAAAATTCAATAAGAGCATGGGTTAATCCGATTCAAGAAGTGCTTCCAAAATTCAACCACCTCGCTTCTTCTTAGGAGAAACTGTACATCAACACAGAACTTTTCTTTTTTTTTTCTTTTTTTTTTTTTGGAGATGGAATCTCACTCTGTCGCCCAGGCTGGAGTGCAGTGGCGCGATCTTGGCTCACTGCAACCTCCACCTCCTGGGTTCAAGCGATTCTCTTGCCTCAGCTTCCCGAGTAGCTGGGATTACAGGCGCCCGCCACCACGCCCAGCTAATTCTTTGTATTTTTAGTAGAGACGGGGTTTCACCATCTTGGCCAGGCTGGTCTCGAACTCCTGACCTCGTGATCCACCCGCCTCGGCCTCCCAAAGTGCTGGGATTACAGGCGTGAGCTACCGCGCCCGGCCCTAACACAGAACTTTTCTAACTTAACTTTTGGAGAAGAAAATAGAAAACCAAACCCAGAGGACAGCTGTGTAAGGTATTTACTCCTCAGCATTAGGCAAAGGAGTCCTACAGCACTCTTACATGTCATTCTATTTCAACAGATGATTCAACTGGTCCTGTAGATCCGATGACTGTTCAACACTAGGAATTAGAATAGAGACAGGGTTTATCTGAAATGAGCAATAATAAAGACATCTTTGTACAACTATTTACAAATTTTTTTTTTCCATTACAGACAGGGTCTCACTATGCTGCACAAGGCAATCTCAAACTCTGGGCTCAAGCAATCCTCCAGCCTCAGCCTTCCAAAGTCCTGCAATTACAGGCATGAGCCAGCCACTACACCTGTCCTGTACAAGCTATCTGTACTTTAATGCATAAATACTGTTGCATGTAAATCAAAATTTATATTGGTCCAGTTGTGTCCCAGAAGTGTTTAAACTCTGAAGAAAGGTTTGCAAAGCCAATTAGTAATGTAAACAATGTTGCAAGGGACAAATTTAATCCATTTTAGAAAACAAGGCTGTTTAATGGTTTTTGCACATTTACTCTGCTTAATGAATATTACCAATGTAAAAGGTTTTCTACTCCTTAAGGTTGGTCTCTATACCCCATAACTTTTAGAAAGTTTTACTATTAATAGCAGTGAGTTGAGTTACTGCACACCTTTGAAATATGCTGTATCTTTAAATCCCAAGTGAGTATCCCAGAGCATATTTCAATTTGAGGGCAGGTGTCAACCAGGGTTTTGTATTGATTCTGGACCCAGCAGTATAAATCCCCCCAGCCTGCTTCAGTTGGTTCCCTACTCCTCTACCTTTGGGGTTACTTACTTCTTCTGAATAGCTTCTTGCCTAAATCAGAAAAGGAAAGAGGAAAATACACATAAGTGAACTAATAAGTTTCATTTATGACCAGATAATACATATAGGCAGAAGAAATTTCAGCTTATGTCACATCCTGTATTTCTGTCCATCCTATCCTAAGATTGTGCTATTGAACAGGGATTCCTGTCTGAGTGCAGAGCTGCTGAAAAGATGGAATCTAAACCCAAACAGATAGTAACATTCTCCCAGAGTGAGAAATGTGGTTCAACAGACTACATGCATGGCTTAAAATTAGTCTGTGTATATGGAATCAAATGGTCACATACCTAATACCTAATATGTAGATACCCAAAGAATGACTAATGATTATGACAAACATTAGCTATTTAAATATCGAAGAGTGAAATTCCTAACCATATATATATATTTTGTTTGTTTGCTTTTGTTTTTGTTTTTTTGTTTTTTTTTTGAGACAGAGTCTCACTCTGTCGCCAGGATGCAGTGGAGTGGTGCCCGATCTCAGCTCACTGCCATTTCCGTCTCCCGGGCTCAAGCAGTTCTCCTGCCTCAGCCTCCCGAGTAGCTGGGATTACAGGTGTGTGCCACCACACCCGGCTAATTTTTGTATTTTTAGTAGAGACGGGGTTTTGCCGTGTTGGCCAGGCTAATCTAGAACTCCTGACCTCAGGTGATCCACCTGCCTCAGCCTCCCAAAGTGCTGGAATTACAGGCATGAGCCACTGTGCCCAGCCTCTTTTTTTTTTTTTCTGGAGGCAGAGTTTCACTTTTGTCACCCTGGCTAGAGTGCAGAGGTGCAATCTCCACTCACTGCAAACTCCACCTCCCAGGTTCAAGCAATTCTCATGCTTCAGCCTTCTGAGTATCTGGGATTACAGGCACCCACCACCACACCCGGCTACTTTTTTGTATCTTTAGTAGAGACGGGGTTTCACCATGTTGGCCAGGCTGGTCTTGAACCCCTGATCTCAGGTGATCCGCCCTCCTCGGCCTCCCAAAGTGCTGGGATTACAGGTGTGAGCCACCATGCCCAGCCCCAACCATATATTTCTAAGAGGTACATAAGTATAATATCAAGTACATAAAATATAAAACAACATGAAATAAGATGAAGAGCAAATTATAATGGAGAAAGAGGGGGTCTTATATTTCAAAATTCCCTACATGATTTATATGTAGCAGGTGCCACACTTACCTATGTACCATGTAGGATACAGGTATGTTATACTTCATTCCCTAGTAGAGGACCCAACTTAACTTCCCAGAAGAGACCTTGGGCACAGTCAGTCATCAAATACTGATCAACGGCCTCACAGGTGCCAAGTACAGTGCTAGCATGGTCCTGGCACGGGCCCTGCCTTTACAGGGTTTATAGTCTCTCTCTGAGGAGCCCTCAATTTAACATGGGGAGGTTCATAAAGGGTGGACTCTGCTCCTGATTCTCATCCTTTACCCCCACTTCTTCTGTAGTCTCAGGCATCTTTGCCATCGAGAAAGTCATCCTTGGCCACCCCCACCTTTACTCCCACTCTGGCCTCCACAGGAAAGTGCTGAAGCACAAAGTCCATGAAAGCAGACCAGGGATAATGATTCTGCAGCAAATAGTTGCTGGAGGGGGCATACTCACTGGTATTGAAGATGTGTTGTTATTATTGCCATCTTCCTTAAACTCTGCATAAAAAAGAGAGAGAGAAATAGAACATTTCCACTTCCCTGTGGCCACACAAACCATATACATAAACCCAAATCATTAAAAAAAAAAGTTGTTTCTTACATCTTCTGAGTGCAAGATGGCATCTTCCTGGAGTACCATGTTTCGAGCTGCCTGACCTAGCAGCTGGAAGACAAAAATAAAATGGTAATAATCAAAATTCCCAAACTTCCTGTAATCTTCTCTCTGCAGCTGTTACACTACTACCCTCTCTCCTCTCCCACTCCTCCACCCTATACAACCACAAACACTCAAAATGTAATGAAGGATAATTTTCTATTTGTTCATGTTGAAAATTCATTTCATTGGCACTATGGCAGTTCTGGCATGGACCCGACATCTGTTTCAAAGGCCACTGCCTGAGAAATCAAGTGCTTCCTAACTGCTGGGCTGTTGGCACAGTGTATTCATTAAGTGCTAAGAGAAGTCTGCAAAAAAACTTTGGCTCCACAAGTCCAGTGAGAGAACATGACTCGTAATTCTTTAAAGGCAGATTTGAGATTTGGGGTTGTTTGAAAGTAGTAAAGATGCAAGAGTTAGAATGGGGCTGAAAAGGACAGAGGAATACAGCTATTTAGAAATGAAATAAGAGAAGGCCAGGTGCGGTGGCTCATGCCCGTAATCTCAGCACTTCGGGAGGCCAAGGTGGGTGGATCACTTGAGGTCAGGAGTTTAAGACCAGCCTGGGCAACATGGTGAAACCGCATCTCTACCGAAAAATACAAGTTAGCTGGGCATGGTGGCTGCGCTTGTAATCCCAGCTACTTGGGAGGCTGAGGTGGGAGAATTGCTTGAACCCAGGAGGCGAAAGTTGCAGTGAGCCAAGATCTCACCACTGTACTCCAGCCTGGGCGACAAAGCAAGACCCTGTCTCAAAAAAAAAAAAAGAAAAAAAAAATGGAATAAGAGAAACAGTGGGGGGTGTGGGGAAGCCATGAGGAGAAGCTCAGGGCTTAAAATGGGGAACCACCCCATAAAAGATGACCAGACAGGGCTGGGAAAAAGAAAAGAAAGGAGATGGCCAGGTGCGGTGGCTCACACCTGTAATCCCAGCACTTTCGGAGGCCGAGGCAGGCAATCACCTGAGATCAGGAGTTCAAGACCAGCCTGGCCAACATGGCAAAACCCCTCTACCAAAATTACAAAAATTAGCCAGGCGTGGTGGCACGTGCCTGTAATCCCAGTTATTCAGGAGGCTGAGGCAGGAGAATCTCTTGAACTTGGGAGGCAGAGGTTGCAGTGAGCCGAGATCGCACCATTGCACTCCAGCCTGGCAACAGAGTGAGACTCTGTCTCAAAAAAAAAAAAAAGAAAAGAAAAGAAAGGAGAAATGTGCAGGCAGAATTTAATGAGGTTACTGAGTTTAATGGGTCCTGAGTCCAAAAGAGAAAAGCAGAGCTTGGATTTGGCTGGATGGTCTACAGTCAAGGAGAGCTGACCACATTAGCACTGAGAGGCAAGCAGAGACCAACAGAGATTTCTGGCCTAATACTGCACCCTGCTCCTGGCATACCTAAATTCAGCCAAGTAAAAGGAGCTACTGTTATGTGTATCCTACCGGCCCTTCCCTGTTCTCTTGGGTCAGGGAGACTCTAGTGAAAAGGGTAGCGTGACTTCAAAGTAACTAGGATTGCCAGATTTCTTCCCCAACACAGGGCAACTTTATTTAAAGTTTTAAAGTTAGTAACCCCTTCTGGATGTCTAAAGTCAAAACAATAAAATAGGATTTTCCATCTCTGTCCCTTTCTTTCCCTGTTCTCTCCCCCATATGCAAAACTATTTTTTTATTTTTTAATTTTCATTTTTTTGAAACAGGGTATCACTCTGTCACCCAGGCTGGAGTGCAGTGATGCGATCTTGGCTCACTGCAACCTCCGCATCCTGGATTCAAGAGATTCTCCTGCAGCAGCCTCCTGAGTAGCTGGGATTATAGGTACATGCCACCACGCTCACCTAATTTTTATATTTTTAGTAGAGACGAGGTTTCACTGTGTTGGCCAGGCTGGTCTCAAACTCCCATCCTCAGGTGATCCACCCGCCTCAGCCTCCCAAAGTACTGGGATTACAGGCATGAGCCCCTACACCCAGCCCCATGCATAACTATTTTTATTAGCTTTGTGGTTTTCTTTCCATTGTTCCTTTTTAAACAATGGACACATGTATTTATTTTCCTCCATACCACTTTCCTACTTAAAATGTAACATACTATGTGTACTTGTTTACACCTTGCTCTCTCTCTCTCTCTCTCTCGCTCGCTCTCTCTCTCTATATATATATATATTTTTTTTTTTTTGAGACATGGTCTCACTCTGTCACCCAGGCTGGAGCGCAGTGGCACCATCACTGTTCACTGAAGCCTCAACCTCCCGGACTCAGGTGATCCTTCCACCTTAGCCTCCAGAGTAGCTGGGACTACAAGTGCATGCCACCATGCGCAGATAGTTTTTTGTATTTTTTTGTAGAGATGGGGTTTTGCCATGTTGCCCAAGCTGGTTTCAAACTCCTGGGCTCAAGTGATTTGCCTGCCTCAGCCTCCCAAAGTGCTGGGATTATAAGCATGAGCCACCGTGCCCAGCCTACACCTTGCTGTTTTCACTTTGCAATAGATCCCTGAGGGTTATCTGCAGCAATACATATTGAATCTCCTATTCAATTGCTATCTCCTAATGAATCCATTGCTCTTTTACAACTGCAGAGTACCACACTCTACAGGTGACCATAACATTATTCAGTCAGTTCTCTGCTGACGGATTTGGAGGCTGTTCCCAGTCTTTTGCCACGGTAAGTAGTGGTACAAAAAATTCTCAAATCTTGGATCTTATCTCATAGCTTTTACTGTTACAAATATCTCCTATCTTTGCATCTTTTTGCCAGCATATGTTTGGGATGGACTCACAGGACTGTGATTTGTGACTGTGGGGTTTTAATTTTGCTACATATTGCCAAATTCCTCTCCTTTAGGGCTGTACCACTTTGCATTCCCACCAACAATTATGAGAGTACCTGTTCCTCCTGTGGCTACTTTTAAGGGTAAACTTCAAACTCCTATAGATGGGAGATGGTGACTTACAAACCGATGGCAGAAAAAAAAGGGTTCCAACAATCTACTTCATTCACTTACTCATTTAATAAACATTTGTTGAGTGTTTAACATATGCCCTTACTCTGGTTAAGAGTGATAACGGGGCTCAGAATCTGGAGGGGTTACAAAGGGAACATAGGCACTTACATCACCTTATGGTAAGTGCTGATGGGGAAGCATTGGCTGCTCCGGGAGCATGTAGTGGGGCAGGAGTGTCTAACTGATTACAGGGGTAGGTGTTCAGGAAAGGTCCCTAAAAGAAGTGACTTCTAATCTGAGACTTAAAAGTTAGGGTTTAGAATTCATCTTTGTGTGTAATTCTAGAGAAAAATGGCATGATCCATTTTTCTGTTTTAGAAATGTGGTAAGCAGGTGGACTAGAGTGGGGAATGAGGCAGAGAGATTGGTTAGGATGACACAGCAGTACTCTAAGCAAGGAATGAGGATGGCCTGAAACACAGAAGTAGCCAAGAAAAAAAGAAACAAAGGATTTGTGAGACATTTAGAAAACAGACTCAATGGGAGTTGTGGTTGCCTTGAAGGCAGGGGCTGTTGTAATGTAAAGCCAAGGCTTTTCCTTGATATATTCATTGGCATTCTGCATCACTTTCCTACATAAACAGACCAGACACATAACATACCATCTGAGATTTCTAGTTTTGCTTTCTTTAAAATGGAAGAACATCTTGAATACACCTGTAAAACAATCTTCACTACAGAATCTTTTTAGATTTCTATAAATTTTTCTCCTAGGCTTTTACCATTAACTTGTTCATAATTAACTCAATAACAATTTGTCTTAGCTACTCATCTTCAACAAGTGTTTCTGATTTTCAACTTAGTTTTCATAGCAATAGCAACCCTCTTTTTTGGTACTCATATTTCATTTTTCGTATTATTTCATTAAATTACGTAGTTGCAACTGTAAGCATAAGTGCCATACACACATTTAAAAAATTGTTTTCATTCTTTTTTTTTTTCCTTTTTTTACAGAGACAAGATATCACTATGTGGCCCAGGCTGGTCTCGAACCCCTGGGCTTAAGCAATCCTGCCTCGGCCTCCCAAAGTGTTAGGATTACAGGCATGAGCCACTGCGCCCAGCCCACAGACACATGATGTTTAGAAAAAAACACAATGGACCCTCACTAAGCACACAACTCAAATGGAGGAGGAGAAGCGCAGGCATGCAAGAGACAAGCCTATGAGTCATAACCACTCATTATGCTGTGGGCAAATGTCAGTGTGTTTCTCCTCACAGGCTCTCTCCCCAGAGACCCCTTCCCTGATCATCTGTTTAAGATTAACCCTTTCGACCGGGTGTGGTGGCTCATGCCTGTAATCCCAGCACTTTAGGGGGCCAAAGCGGGAAGGATCACTTGAGGTCAGGAGTTTGAGACCAGCCTGGCCAACATGGTGAAACCCCATCTCTACTAAAAACACAAAAATTAGCTGGGTGTGGTGGCAGGCGCCTATAATCCCAGCTACTCAGGAGGCTGAGGCAGGAGAATCGCTTGAACCCAGGAGGCAGAGGTTGCAGTGAGCCCGAGATCGGGCCACTGCACTTTAGCCTGGGTGACAGAGCTAGTGGGACTCCTCCTCTGTCTCAAAACAAACAAACAAACAAAGATTAACCCTTTCATCACTCTCTATTCCCAGATTAATTTTGCTTCACAGGATTTACCACCACCTGATTTTTTTCTGTTTCACTTGTTTATCGTCTGTCTCTTCACTAAAATGTAAACTTCCCAAGTAGAGGGATTTAGTTTTGTTTATTCCGTGTACCTAGAGCAGTTCCTGGCACATAGCAGACACCCAATAAGTATTTGTTAAATGAATACTGTGGAATGAGTTTTTTACACATGAAATTCTCAGCTAATCAAACAAAATAGCTATGTGGAGACTGCTCAAGAAGCAATGCTGCCAGGAGCGGTGGCTCACGCCTGTAATCCCAGCACTTTGGAAGGCTGATGCAGGCAGATCATGAGGTCAAGAGTTCGAGACCAGCCTGGCCAACATGGTGAAACCTCATCTCTACTAAGAATACAAAAATAGCCAGGTGTGGTGGTGCGTGCCTGTAATCCCAGCTACTCAGGAGGCTGAGGCGGGAGAATCACTTGAACCCAGGAGGCGGAAGTTGCAGTGAGCCAAGATCACACCACTACACTCCAGCCTGGCGACAGAGCTAGACTCCGTCTCAAAAAAAAAAAAAAAAAAGGAAAAGTACTTCCTTCAATTAGTCATTCTAAAGACTTCATGAATTAAACTCCATAAAAGACAACAGTGTCTAGCATATATAAAATGCTAAATAAATGTACGTTTATTATGATGAATATGTTGAATATTTACAGGTGGTTAACTATAAACACCTCTAGTTGAAAATATATATAATATATATTACATATATTATATATAATATATATGTATATTATATATGTAATATATACATACACATTATATATAATATATACGTATATATATTATATAATACGTAATATATAATACTTATATATATAATTCGCCTCCCAGGTTCAAGCAATTCTCCTGCCTCAGCCTCCCAAGTAACTGGGATTACAGGCATGTGCCACCACGCTCGGCTATATATTTTTTTAATTATTATTTTTTAGTAGAGACGGGGGTTTCTCCATGATTGTCAGGCTAGTTTCGAACTCCCGACCTCAGGTGATCCGCCCGCCTCGGCCTCCCAAAGAGCTGTTTTAAAGCACAGGTTCCCATGGCATCGCTTCTTCCCCCAACCCTCACACACTGTCCCTAACCAAAGAGACTGCACACCCCAGAATGCAACACGCGCCTCCGCGAAGAAGACCTACTCATAGCAAGTACTTCACAGCCTACAATTCCCAAGATGCAACGCGACCTCCTTCCCACAGCAACGAAAGACTGCGACTCCCCGGACTATCAGGCCGGGAGAGTCCACTTCCAGCTCACCTCGGAGCTCCGGGAGCCTTTCAGCACCTGCTTGGTGAGCGCGATTACGTCAGTACCACAGGTGGTCACCTTCTCCGTGAGAAGCCCCTTCACGGACTGACCGAACCGCGCTTGAGACTCTGGCGTTCCAGTCGCCATCATTTCAGTTAGCGAACGGTTGCGCACTGACGATGGTGAGTCGCCGGGGCCAAAAGACAAGCAAAGCGGAAGGAAAAGAGGCGTCTCTTCCTCCATGGGAAAAGGAAGGGACGCATGCGCCTGATGGAGGTTGACCTTTGCTCACTAAACTCATGAACTATTCATTGATATCCTGAGGAAAACAGGGTCCAGGCAAACATCTCTGGAGGGGATGGAGGACAGTTTCATTGACTCTATGGTTCAGAATCGGAAAGCCTGCGGCAGGGCATGGCGGCGCACGCCTGAAATCCCAGCCCTTTGGGAGACCCAGGCAGGAGGATCACCTGAGCCTGAGAGTTCCAGACCACCCTGGGCAACATAGCGAAACTCCATCTCTTTAAAAATAAAATAAAATTAAAATTAATACAAATAATTAAAAAGAATCAGAAGGCCCGGATTACAGTCCCAATGCTACCATTTAGCAGTGTGTGGCTGCAAATTACTCAGCTTCTGTCTTATATTCCTCATCTGTTAAACAGAAGTAATAATGTTTCCAAGGGGTTATGAGAATATCATTCCATTCATATATATATACACATATATATATATACACATATATATACACATATATACACATATATACATATATATACATATATATACACATATATATATACATATATATTTTTTTTTCCCCAGAGTCTTGTTCTGTTGCCTAGGCCTTTTTTTGATTAATTGAGACAAGGGGCCAGGCGTGGTGGCTCACGCCTGTAATCCCAACACTTTGAAAGGCCAAGGTGGATCACTTGAGGTCAGGAGTTCAAGGCCAACCTATCCATATGGTGACACACCTGTAGTCCCAGCACTTTGGGAGGCCGAGGCAGAAGGGTCACTCAAGGCCAGGAGTTCAGTATCAGCAGCCTGGGCAACATAGCGATAACTTGTCTCATTTTATTTAATTTTATTTTATTTTATTTTTTTTTTGAGATGGAGTCTCGCTTTGTTGCCCAGGCTGGAGTGCAGTGGCTCGATCTCAGCTCACTGCAACATCCGCCTCCTGAGTTCAAGTGATTCTCCTGCCTCAGCCTCCCAAGTAGCTGGGATTACAGGTGCTTGCCACCAGGCCCGGCTAATTTTTGTATTTTTAGTAGAGATAGGGTTTCACCATGTTGGCCAGGCTGGTCTCAAATTCCTGACATCTAATGATCCACCAGCCTTGGCCTTCCAAAATGGTGGGATTACAGGCGTGAGCCACTGCACCTGGCCTCATTCCATTCAATTTTAACAAACATTTCATGAACTAAATACCAGACACTGTACTAGGCTGGGGATAGAGAAAGAAATGAAATACAGTTCTTGTCTCTGTGGAACTCCCAGGCTGATGAGGCAGATAGGCCTGTAAACAAATGAAGAAGGAAAAACAATCTAATAGAAAAATTGGCAAAAGGCACAAGTAGGCAATTCAAAAAAAAAAATCAACTGGCTGATAAATGTGAAAAATGCTCAACATCACTAGTAATTTTTATTGATAACCTCTTTATTGTATTAATACCAAACTGATGGTAACCACCTTGTAAGTGAATTAATATGTAAAATATTTCAAGTAGGCCAGGTGCCGTGGCTCACGCCTGTAATCCCAGCACTTTGGGAAGTTGAGGCGGGAGGATCACCTGAGGTCAGGAGTTCGAGACCAGCCTGCCCAACATGGTGGAACCCCGTCTCTACTAAAAATACAAAAATTAGCCGGGCGTGGTGGTGGGCACCTGTAGTCCCAGCTACTCTGGAGGCTGAGGCAGGAGAATTTCTTGAACCCGGGAGGCAGAGGTTGCAGTGAGCCGAGATCATGCCACTGTATTCCAGCCTAGGCGACAGAGTGAGACTCTGTCTCAAAAAAAAAATAAAATATTTCAAGTAGCTCCATTTCTTTTTTAGTTAATAAAAGATGTGAGAATGTTATTGTATTGAAAATTTTGTTCAAAATTACCTGTATTCAATATCAACATTACTTCCTCTTCCAAGTGTCTAGATTCATATGTCTCCGTTGAATCTCATTTACTGTTTACTTTTTGTCCTTAATAAACTTTATTGAGTTTATGTGCATGAATTTATGTTATAATTTATGTACAATAACAACATTATTTTTTGAGATGGAGTCTTGCTTTGTCACCCAGGCTGGAGTGCAGTGGCACGATCTTGGCTCACTGCAACCTTTGCCTCCCTGGTTCAAGCGATTCTCCTGCCTCAGCCTCCCGAGTAGCTGGGATTACAGGTGCCCACTATCACGCCTGGCTAATTTTTGTATTTTTAGTAGAGATGGGTTTCACCATGTTGGCTAGGCTGGTCTTGAACTCCTGACCTCAGGTGATCCACCTGCCTTGGCCTCCCAAAGTGCTGGGATTACAGGCGTTGAGCCACCACGCCCGGCCTGCACAATAACCACATTCTTTAAAGTGTACGATTTGATGAGTGTGACAGACGTATACATCTGTGAACCACCACCACTATTAAGATACAGAACAGGGTGGGAGCAGTAGCTCATGCCTGTATTCCCAGCACTTTGGGAGGCCGAGGCAGAAAGATTGCTTGAGGCCAGGAGTTCAATATCAGCAGCCTGGGCAACATAGCGATAACTTGTCTCATTTTATTTATTTATTTTTATTATTTATTTACTTTATTTTGAGACGGAGTCTTGCCCTGTCACCCAGGCTGGAGTACACGGGTGTGATCTTGGCTCACTGCAACCTCCGCCTCCCGGGTTCAAGCGATTCTCCTGCCTCAGCCTCCCAAGTAGCTGGGACTACAGGTACGCACCATCGCGCCCGGCTAATTTTTGTATTTTTAGTAGAGGTGGGGTTTCACCATGTTGGCCAGGCTGGTCTTGAACTCCTGACCTCATGATCGGCCCACCTTGGCCTCCCAAAGTGCTGGGATTACAGACATGAGCCACCACGCCCGGCCCCTTGTCTCAATTAAAAAAAAAAAAAAAAAGATGCAAAACATTTCATCACCCTCAGAAGTTTCCAAGTGCCCTTTAAAGTCCATCTCTCCTTCTCTGTCTCACCCGGGCAACCACTGCCCTGCTTTTGGGAACTATAGATTAATTTGCATTTCTAGAATGGCAAATAAATAGCATCATACAGGCTTTTTTGAGGGGAGGGGGGTCTTTTTTTGTCTGGCTTCATTCTTGCAGCATGATGATTTGACATGTTGTTGTGCATATAACTAGCCTGTTCATTTTTATTGCTGAGAAATATTCCACTGCATGGATAGTTCTCACTGTGTTTATTCACTCTCTTGTTGATGGACACTTGGGTTGTTTCCACTTTTGGGTTTTTGTTTTGTTTTGTTGTTTTTTGGTTTTGGTTTTTGTCGTTGTTTTTGAGACAGAGTCACTCCTCTGTCATCCAGGCTGGAGTGTATGGCATAACCACAGCTCAAGCTCCCAGGCTCAAGCAATCCTCCCACCTCAACCTCCGGAATAGCTGGAACTACAGGTTCATGCCACCATGCCTGGCTAATTTTTACAATTTTTTCTGTAAAGACAGGGTCTCCCTATGTTGCCTGGGCTCAAGTGATTTTCCTGCCTTGCCCTCCCAAAGTTCTGGGATTACAGGCATAAGCCCATCACACCTGGCCTCCACTTTTGGAATATTATGAATATTCTGCTATGAACATTTGTACACAAGTCTTTATGTGGGTTGTTTTCATTTCTCTTGGGTAACTATCTAGTAGTGGAATGGCTGGATCATATGGTAAGTGTTTCAGTTTTCAAGAAACTGCCAAACCATTTTCCAAAGTGGTTTAACACTTTACATTTCCGATAGCAGTGTATGCCACTCCAGTTGCTCCACATCCACAAACTTAGGAAAAGATGGAATGTTCTATAGCCATGGTAACACGTAGCTACCTGTGGTGGACAGACTGGCCGCTCAGGGTAGCCTTTGACCCCACCTCCTGGTGTTCTTGCTCTTGTGTGATCCTCTTCTCTTCCTTGTGGACATGATCTTTGATTTGCTTCTAATCGATAGTGTATGCACAGGTGATAGGAAACACATGATGATGTTACATAAGATTACATGTTACATCACCATTCCCCTCATCTTGCTGGAGCCTCTCTCTTGCCAGAGCCTCTCTCTCTTGCCGGCTGTGAGTAAGCGAGTGGCCACGTTGGAGAACTCCACGTGACAAGGAACTGCAAGTACCATCTAGTCACCTACCTCTGGGCCTCCAGCTGACAGCCAGCGGAAAAAAAAAAAAAAAGCTCTCAGTCCAACAATCAAAAGGAACTCAATCCTGCTAACAACCAGGCACATAGGAAGCAGATTCTTCCCCAGTAGAGCCTCCAGATGGAACCCAACCCTGGCCCACACCTTTACTGCAGCCTGTGAGACACTAAGTAGATGGCCCAGAGAAGCTATACTTAGGTTCCTAACCCACCAAGACTGTAAGATAATACATGTGTGTTGTTTTAAGCCACAAAGTTTCTGGTAATATTCATGGTAATGTGGTAGTAGAAAACTAATATATTACCAGAACTCATTTGAAATCTGTTCAGCTGGGCGCAGTGGCTCACACTGGTAATCCCAGCACTTTGGGAGGCCAAGTAGGGAGGATCACTTGAGCTCAGGAATTCAAGACCAGCCTGGGGATCATGGTGAAACCCCATCCCTATGAAAAATTCAAACATTAGCTGAGCGTGAAGATGTGCGCCTGTAGTCCCAGCTACTTGGGAGGCTGAGGTGGGAGGATCACCTGAACCCAGGAAGTCGAGGCTGAAGTGAGCCGTGATTGCACCACTGCGCTCAGACTAAGTGACAGAACCAGACCCTGTCTCAAAAAAAAAAAAAAGAAAAGAAACAGAAAAAGAAATCTGTTCAATCAATTTATGACAACTCACCTCAGTGAACCCCCTTTTGCAAACCAAACAATCAGGATCTGCCCCTTCACTTCTGAATATCAATCATTCAGGAGTTTGAGTCCTGCCTGGGCAACATAGAAAGACATTGTCAAAAGAGGCTGGGCGCAATGGCTCACACCTGCAATCCCAGGCAGAGGTGGGTGGATTGCCTGAGATCAGGAGCTTGAGACCAGCCTGGCCAACATGGTGAAACCCCGTCTCTACTAAAAATACAAAAATTAGCCAGGCATGGTGGCACGCATCTGTAGTTCCAGCTACACAGGAGGGTGAGGCAGGAGAATCGCTCGAACCCGGGAGGCGGACGTTGAAGTGAGCCAAGATCGCGCCATTCCACTCCAACCTGGGTAACAGAGTGAGACTCCATCTAAAAATAAAAAAATAAGACGGACATTGTCAAAAGTGAGAGAAGAAAGAGAAATAATAATAGGAAAGTTATAGAAAAATATTCATGCCAAAAATACAGCCTCATTTAGGTTAAAAAATACAGTTTAAAAATATTTAGTTTTAGTAATTTGTGTTTTCCAAATTTCTGCAATTATGATGTATAACTTTTATAATATGGTGATGAGAGTGTGAAGCAACACATTTTGTGTGTGTGTGTGTTTTAAATTCCCATTTCTTGTTTCTGATTGGGGTGAAATATCAGGTCAGCTTGGCAGTCTCTGTAGGAGTAGAAAGTAGCCATTCATATTTCCCTACCAGCTGGTTGACCCGACTGAGGCCCCTGCCTGGATCTTAGGATTCAGGCCTCTCCACTTGTCAGTCCAGCTCTCAGGCTTTACACACGATCTCCTCATCCAGCCTACCCCATGCACCAACACCAGTTTCACCCTCCTAAAACACCACTGTCACCTTGCTGCTCCCTGCTGCAGTGCTCTCAATAGCTCCTACAGCCTCCCTATACCCTTTATACCCTTCCATTCCAGGGCTCCAGAGCCTGACACAATGTACCCCTCAGATCTTTCTCAGGGATCCCCCACAACACACCTCTTTGTCTCTTCAGCTAAGGCCATCACCATTCCCCTCCTGCCATGCTCCTTCCAGCCTCTGCTACTCTCCCTTCCAGCAACACCCTTCTCTCCCTACTCCTTCACATCTCTACCTAACAGTTCTGAGGTAGGAGGTAGGACTGGACTCAGGAAGGTGAACCTTACTCTGGAGGCAGGGCTCAGACACCTGACCAAATTGAGGACCAGTTAAACAGATCTAGGGCAGGCCGGGCACAGTGGCTCACACCTGTAATCCTAGCACTTTGGGAGGCTGATGCAGGCAGATTGCCTGAGCTCAGGAGTTCAAGATCACCCTAGTCAACATGGTGAAACCCCATCTCTACTAAAATACAAAAATTAGCCAGTGTGGTGGTGGGTGCCTGTAGTCCCACCTGCTTGGGAGGCCGAGGCATGAGAATCGCTTGCACATGGGAGGTGGAGGTTGCAGTGAGCCAACAAAGTGAGGTTCCATCTCAAAAAAAAACAAAACAAAACAAAACAAAAAACCAGGTCCAGGGCAGAAGCAGCTTTCCATAAGACCCACCCACCAGTGTGCCATGTCACTTTACCATTGCCTTGGCAACACCCGGATATTAACACCCCTTTCCATGGCAATAACTTGATGGCCTGAAAATTACTACCTCATCCTAGAAATTTCTACATAAACCACCCCTTAATTTGCATATAATTAAAAGTGACTGTAAATGTGAGTGCAGCTCTGCCTCTGAGCTGTGACTTTGGGGGCACTGCCCCTGGGTAGCCCTGCTCCACGAGGAGCAGTACCTCTTCTGCTCTGTGCGCTGCTGCTTGCTGGCTACCACCACCAGCTTGCCCTGGAATTCTTTCCTGGGTGAAGCCAAGAACCCTCCTGGGCTAAGCCCCAGTTTAGAGGTTTGCCTGTCTGTCTGTCCTGCATCAGTCCTAGCTCTCCTTCAAGGCCTACCTCAAATCCCCTTTCTTGCATGAAGGTTTCTCATAGGTTTCATCCCAGCCCATACCTCTGGCTGCAAATGGCCTTAAAAATCTGAACAACATTTGAAAATTCTGAGTAATGGGCAACCAGGCAGTCTGGCTTATGAGGCCTGGCCAGCTCTTCTTCATCATGAGGCCCCCTACCTGCTGCCTTCCTGCCTAATTCCAGCAGCCTTCACTCCATCCTTACTAAACTTGCAGACAGACCACTCCCAGAGAGTGGGACAGATGCCATCAGATGCCATCTCCCACCTCTGTGAGCCTCAACTAACAACTCCTGTTTGGCCCATCTCTTCTATAATGATTGACACCAAGAATGTCTGCTACCTTGGGGCTGTGATTTCATCTGGTAATATAAAAAAAATTTTTTTTTTGAGAGTCTCACTCTGTCATCCAGGCTGGAGTGCAGTGGCATGATCTCAGCTCACTGCAACCTGTACCTCCCGGGTTCAAGCGATTCTCCTGCCTCAGCCTCCCAAGTAGCTGGGATTGCAGATGCACGCCACCATGACCAGCTAATTTGTGTATTTTTAGTAGAGATGGGGTTTTGGCGTGTCAGTCAGGCTGGTCTTGAACTCCTGGCCTCATGTGATCCACCTGCATTGGCCTCCCAAAGTGCTGGGATTATAGGCGTGGGCCACTGCGCCCAGCCCGAGAGGTAAATTTTTTGAAATAAGCTTTAGTGGAACAATCCTGAAGAATAACACAAGAGGAATAACAGGTTACCAGTAAGGTGTCAGCCAATTTGTTCCAGTCACTTTTGAATCCATGTCCTATAATCTAAAATTTAGTTCTCTTTCCCTAAGCTGAGAGCTTTCTATCATGTCAGTATGTATGTTATGAAGAAAAGGAGACTTAGGTGAGATGTTTGTATTTATCACAACTGCTGCATCAATTGCCTAGGACTTCAACAGCTTCATGGAAGTCTGGGAAATGTTCAGGCATAAGGTTATTGCCTTAGCTGACTGAAAATTGCCCCATACAGTGGTACATATCAACCCTTAGTGAGGCCTTTTAAAAAACAAACAGGTTGAAAAATAGATTAAAGTAGGCAAATACAGCATCTGTCTTTAGAGCTATCAACTCAGGAATTCTCTCAATTTTTTTTTTTTTTTTTTTTTTTTTGAGATGGAGTCTTGCTCTGTCACCCAGGCTGGAGTGCAGTGGTGCAATCTCGGCTCACTACAAGCTCTGCCTCCCAGGTTCACACCATTCTCCTGCCTCAGTCTCCGGAGTAGCTGGGACTACAGGTGCCCGCCACCACGCCCGGCTAATTTTTTGTACTTTTAGTAGAGACGGAGTTTCACCGTGTTAGCCAGGATGGTCTCGATCTCCTGACCTTGTGATCTGCTGGCGTCAGCCTCCCAAAGTGCTGGGATTACAGGCGTGAGCCACCATGCCCGGCCAGGAATTCTCTCAATTATGAAATCTTGCAGAGAAGTTATTTTTCTTTCTCAAAATCCAGATGATGACAATATTCCTTACTCCAGATCTGGCATTTTTTCATCATCACTGTCTTGTGAATGATCATCTGCTCCATCTGCTAAATCTACATCCTCTTCACCACCCATGTGGTTCATCATCTCAGAGAAATAATCAAAATCAGACATGGCTTCATCTGAACCATCTTCCCAGTCTTTCCAATGATTGGAGTCCACACTAAGCCAGTTAAGCTTTGCCCTTTGTTTTGTTAACCTTGGCCATGACTGGCCCCATTTTCCTTTTTGTAAACAAACAAAACCGATCTGTCCATTCTCTTATGCTTGAAATCATTTGGATCAATACAGTGAAAAAGATTGATGCCATATAAATGCTTAAAATGATCACTTCCAGGAAGTGGCAGTACAAGGGCTTCTGCACGGATAGCAGAGCAGTGGTCCCGACCACAGTGCATGCCCTGAGCTCTCCGCCTCCCCTGCCTGTCTGCGAGGTGGCAGCAGTGCCACAAGCAGCCCACGGCAGGGTGGAACACCCACATCGACAACCTCGTGGTGGAAGGGACCTGTAGGATGCAGCCATCGTGGGCTACAAGGACTTGCCTTCCATCCAGGCCACCATCCCTGGGAAAACCTTCATCAACGTCAAGCCAGCTGAGGTTGATGTCCTGGTTGGCAAAGACTGGTCAAGTTTTTTTGTGAATGAGGTGACACTTGGGGGCCAGAAATGTTCTGTGATCTGGGACCTACTGCTGCAGGATGGGGAACTGACCTATCTTTATACCAAGAGCACCGATGGAGCCCCCACCTTCAATGTCACTGTCACCATGACTGCTAGGATGCTAGTGTTGTAGGAAGTCAGGGACCCAAATGGAGGGATGGGCTGGAGGCATGGCAGAGGAACAGAAATTGTGAAGATTTCATTTTAATATGGACATTTATCAGTTCCCAAATAATACTTTTATAATTTCTTATGCCTGTCTTTAATCTCTTAATCCTGTTATCTTCATAAGCTGAGGGTGTATGTCACCTCAGGACCACTGTGATAATTGTGTTAACTGTACAAATTGATTGTAAAACATGTGTGTTTGAACAATATGAAATCAGTGCACCTTGAAAAAGAACAGAATAATAGCGATTTTTAGGGAACAAGGGAAGACAACCATAAGGTCTGACTGCCTGTGGGGTCGGGCAAAAAGAGCCATATTTTCTTTCTTGCAGAGAGGATATAAATGGACGTGCAAGTAGGAAAGATATTGCTAAATTCTTTTCCTAGCAAGGAATATTAATATTAATACCCTGTGAAAGGAATGCATTCCTCCGGGGAGGTCTATAAACGGCCACTCTGGGAATGTCTGTCTTGTACAGTTGAGATAAGGACTGAGATATGCCCTGGTCTCCTGCAGTACCCTCAGGCTTACTAGGGTGGGGAAAAACTCTGCCCTGGTAAATTTGTGGTCAGACTGGTTCTCTGCTCTCGAACCCTGTTTTCTGTTGTTTAAGATGTTTCTCAAGACAATATGTGCACCGCTGAACATAGACCCTCATCTGTAGTTCTGCTTTTGCCCTTTGCCTTGTGATCTTTGTTGGACCCTTATCAGTGGTTCTGCTTTTGCCCTTTGTCCTGTTCCCTGAGAAGCATGTGATCTTTGTTAGACCCATATTAGTAGTTCTGCTTTTTGCCCTTTGAAGCATGTGATCTTTGTACCTACTCCCTGTTCTTACACCCCCTCCCCTTTTTGAAACCCTTAATAAAAACTTGCTGGTTTGAGGCTCAGGCGGGCATCACAGTCCTACTGATATGTGATGCCACCCCCGGTGGCCTAGCTGTAAAATTCCTCTCTTTATACTGTCTCTCTTTATTTCTCAGCCAGCCGACACTTATGGAAAATAGAAAGAACCTATGTTGAAATATTGGGGGCTGGTTCCCCCAATATCTGGCACACCAATGTGGTTTTCTTTCTCCTAATTGCATGTGGGAACCTGATTCCCTTTGGTAGGTGCGGAGAAACGTTCATTGGTCTGGTCCACAGAAATGCTTGTTCAGCTCTCTGATGATTGGTAAGTTGTCTGTGTATTGTCCAGGCTAACTTTGGGTCACTCAGAGTCTAAACATTATGCTTATCTCTGCCATATTAAACTCCTGTTAAAACAGGGGGGAGTTTGGGTACCCATGGAAAATATGGTCACCCTATTCAGGGCAGTGGAAGAACATTGTCCTTTGTTTCCTGAAAAGGGAACATTAGACGTGGAACTATGGGATCGTGTTGGTGCAAAATTCCGGGAACTGGTCCCAACAGGAAATTATGTTCCCGTCACTGTTTGGGGTGACTGGGCCTTGGTATGTGCCGTCCTAATGACATACCAATCCCATCACCCCCTGCAGTTACCACAGTTTTCTGAATCTGGAAACCCTCCACCTCTTCCTCAACCTTCCTCTCCCGCACGGCCTTCGTTACCTGATCAGCCTCTCCCTTCGCCTACTCCTTCCCCACCTGAGGATATTGAAGATTCAATATCTAACTCCAGTGACTTTGGCTTAACGTCACCCCCTGATGATCTTATTTCTTTTCACGAACAGCCAGTACTTGTAGCTCCCACGGCCCCGACTTGGACAGCCCAGGACTGTATCTATGCTAACTCTTCCCTCTTCAAACCTTTGCAGCCTTTGCCTCCGGAGCCATCTAATGGCTCCGGAACTAAACTACAATTTACCTGTAATTCTGCAGGCCCTCCCCCATCCACCACAGCCCCTCACCCTCCTGTCATTTCGGTTCCTCAACTGGTCACTTTGCCATCCACTCAACCTGCTTCTCTGTACCCTTCTTCACATGTGGACACCCCTGCCACTCTGGTTGCACAGGATTGGGCAATAATCACCAGTATGCTTCTGCCTCTTCTGCTCCTCTGGTGCCCCTTTCTCACGCTCTCATACTGGTCCAACCTCCTCAGCCTCAGTTTCCCTTATCTACACATAATTTTCCTGTCACTTCTGTGCCAACTCTGTCTCATGTGCCTGTTGTTGAAATTTCCATGCAATGCTTATTACGCCAAAACAAACAAGTGGATTAGAGGCGTGGGCTTATCCGTTCATGCTGGAACCTTGCAATGCTCAAGGGGTACAAGTGCATCGATAGGCGCTGCTCAATCTTACCTTTTTAAAAGAATTCAAGGATGCTTGTACTCAGTATGGTCCTACTTCTCCATATGTTAAAATGGTATTACAGACTCTTTGTACTGAGGTCATTTTGCTTCCTTTAGACTGGGACTTTTGGCAAAAGCTGTTCTAACTCCATCTCAACATTTACAATTCTGTACCTGGTGGTCACGGGAGGCCCATCTGCAGGCTCAGCTAAATCGGGCTGATGGCATTCTAATTACTCAGGCTCAGCTCACAGGCTCCAATAATTACTCTGACACTACTGCCCAATTAGGCTTTGATGCTCTCACCGTGGAACAAGTAACAAAGGTGTGTATGAGAGCTTGGGATAAATTACGCGCCCCAGGCCAAGCTCCTGTTTCTTTTACTACTGTTAAACAGGGTCACAATGAATTATATCCTGATTTTTTAGCTAAATTACAAGATGCTGTTGAAAAATCTGTCTCTGATGAGCACGCTCAAGGTATTCTTCTTCGAATGTTAGCTTTTGAGAATGCGAACCATGAGTGTAAAATGGCCATGCATTCCGTCCAACAACAAAATTTACCTGATCGTGAGGTGTTGCCTGAGTATATTAAATATGAAGGCATTGGATCAGACACAAAGCTATTCTGTGCCCACAAAGCTATTCTGTGGGCACGGGCCATGAAGGACGGCAATCAAACTGGCTCGACTGATTCTTTTCTTGGAGCCTGCTATAATTGTGGTCAACTTGGTCATACTCGAAAAAATTGCACAGTTAAAAACTTAAAGGCAGCCAAGCCGGCTCAAAAAACACAGCCAAATGCTCCTGCTACTGTTTGCCCTTGTTGTTGTAAAGGTAAACATTGGGCAAGTACTTGCCACTCTAAGTCTGATATAGATGGAAATCCCTTGCCACAGAACCAGGGAAATGGGAAATGGGGCCAGTCCTAGGCCCCAATTTCAAATGGGACACCTCAGACTCAGACGAATGTTGCCTTTCTGCTTCAATCGGTCCCAACGCAGCCCCCAGCACAAACAAATTTACCTACAGCCAACCCAGATGTGTCCCAGCCTCTTCTTCTGTCTCAGTACAACGCTTATCTATGCTCCAGAGTAAGGGGAGGGGCGGTCAATCTCTGTAGTACCATTCCTCTAAATTTACTACCTAATTCTTTGCCTTTAATTCCCAGACCAATACCTGGAAACCTGGAACGATTATAACATGGGGAAGAGGGTATGCTTGTGTTTCACCAGGAGATCATCAATCCCCTGTCTGGGTGCCCACTAGAAGACTTAAACTTCATGTGAATACTGACAATAAAAACCACAGGGAAGAGACGTCCACGTCAGAGACCACCCTCATACCTGGTGAGATCTGTGCCAACTCCTCAGAAACTGGCACGCCAAATCAAAATGGGTCTGGTTCAATCCTCCCTAATGGCAACAGAAACCCCTCTAACTAATCCCACTTCTCCTAATTCCCTTTCTTTTTCTCCTTACGAACCTAAAAATCTCACCATTTCTATTAGCCTGAAAATAACATCCCCTTATTCTTCTATTCCTCCTTCAGCACTGGATCTTGCTTACAATAGGTTTTATTTAATAATTCTCTTCCTTATACTTTCTGTCTCACCAGTTTCCCCTCACATTGATTTACCTGCTACACAAAATTATTCTTGCTGGGCTTATGTGCCTTTTCCTCCACTTATTCAACCTCTCACCTGGATGGATGCTCCTGCGGAAATCTATACTAATGATAGTGTGTGGATGCCTGGAGCTACAGATGACCGTTGCCCCACTCAACCAGGAAAAGAAGGCACTGCATTTAATGTTCCTACGGTTATAAATACCCTCCTCTGTGCCTCGGACATGCACCTTGTTGTATCCATCTAGAAACTCAAGTCTGGGCTGCGTACCTTCTGGAGAGATCAGCCACAGGGGAACGGGGACATTTGGTCTCCAGCCTCTCCCTTTCTCCTTTAAGACAAATGAAAGGGGGAGTAATAGGAGATACCCCCTACTTTCAATATAAACCTGTAGGAAAACCATGTCCTAAAATTTTTGAGGGCCCATCTAAATCTTTAATTTGGGAAGATTGTGTTAATTCACATGCAGTACTATTAAAAAATGACTCATATGGTTTAGTAAGAGACTGGGCACCAAAGGGCTATTTGAAAAGCAGTTGCTCTTCTGCTGGAAGGGAATGCCTGGAGGCTACTTGTTTTATTTCTTATTGGGAGGACGAGGATCATCATCCTACTTTGCATAGGAGGTTCAGCTCATTCTGTCCCTTAAAATGGGAAGATAAGAGCATTACCCCCTGCCACCCGAGGCCTCTTATGATATCCCCCATTCTGAGCCCAGAACACCCAGAACTTTGGAAATTGGCTATTGCCATGTCCAGACTGCGAGTATGGGAAGGGGAAACTTTTCTTTCTGTTGTCCCCACTACCACCCCTCACATCCGTGATTCTGAAACCCATGATAAATCCCCTTTGGACCATTTTCCTCTTTTTGATGCCAGTCCTCCTTTATGGGACTCTGATTGGCATTATGATAATTCTTCTGGACCCAGGTATGTCCCCCTACCTCTTCAGAATCCCCGGGCACCTCGGATTGCTTCTTTACGGCATCAAACATTGGGCGTTGCCACCGCCACTCCTCCCCCTCGGTATCAACGTAGATTCAAACATTCTGCTTTGTTTACCTCCAGCCTGACTATTATACAGAGTTGTGTTAAGCCTCCTTACATGCTGTTAGTGGGAAATATCAAAATTTGGATGAACAATCAAACCGTCCAATGCATTAATTGTCATTTATCCACTTGTGTTAACTCCCGTTTTGACTCAGGAAAAGTGTAATGTTGGTTCGAGCTTGAGAAGGAATCTGGATACCAGTAACTTTACCCAGAACTTGGGAATCTTCCCCCTCAGTACATTTAATTAATGAAGTGTTACAACGAATTCTCAAAAGATCAAGAGATTTGTTTTCACTTTAATCACTGTGATCATGGGCCTAATTACAGTCACTGCACTGGCCACCACTGCCGGAGTGGCATTACACCAATCTATTCAAATGGCTAATTTTGTTAATGATTGGTAAGGCAATTCCACCCAAATGTGGAATCCTCAACAAGGCATTGATCAAAAATTAGCTAATGATTTAAGACAGTCTGTTATTTGGCTTGGGGACCAGCTAATGAGTCTCGAACATCACATGCAAATGCAGTTCGATTGCAACACTTCTGATTTCTATAGCACACCATATTCCTACAACGAGACTGATCATGGGAAATGGTCAAAGGACACCTTCTGGGTAGGGAAGATAATTTATCCTTGGACATAACTAAATTAAAGAAACAAATTTTTGAAGCCTCTCAAGCTCATTTATCCATTGTGCCTGGAGCTGAGGCGTTAGATCAGGTGGCAGAAAGTCTTTCTGGACTAAACTCCACAACTTGGATTAAGTCTACTGGGGGCTCCACTGTAGGAAATTTTGGAATCATGTTTCTCTGTTTAATCGGCTTGTTTTTAGTGTGCCAGACCAGTCAAAGAATCCTGCATCAAAACCGAGAGAACGAGCAAGCCTTCATCGCCACGGCACATTTATATAAAAAGAAAGGGAGAGATGTTGCGGGAAGTCAGGGACCCTGAATGGAGGGACTGGCTGGAGCCATGGCAGAGGAACATAAATTGTGAAGATTTCATTTTAATATGGACATTTATCAGTTCCCAAATAATACTTTTATAATTTCTTATGCCTGTCTTTACTTTAATCTCTTAATCCTGTTATCTTTGTAAGCTGAGGATGTTTGTCACTTCAGGACCACTGTGATAATTGTGTTAACTGTACAAATTGATTGTAAGACATGTGTTTGAACAATATGAAATTAGTGCACCTTGAAAAAGAACAGAATAAGAGCAATTTTTAGGGAACAAGGGAAAACAACCATAAGGTCTGACTGCCTGCAGGGTCGGGCAGAAAGAGCCATATTTTCCTTCTTGAGAGAGGCTATAAATGGACATGCAAGTAGGGAAGATATCACTAAATTCTTTTCCTAGCAAGGAGTATTATTATTAATACCCTGGGAAAGGAATGCATTCCTGGGGGGAGGTCTATAAACAGCCGCTCTGGGAATGTCTATCTTGTGCAGTTGAGATAAGGACTGAGATACGCCCTGGTCTCCTGCAGTACCCTCAGGCTTACTAGGGTGGGGAAAAACTCCGCCCTGGTAAATTTGTGGTCAGACCGGTTCTCTGCTGTCGAACCCTGTTTGCTGTTGTTTAAGGTGTTTATCAAGACAGTATGTGCACCGCTGAACATAGACCCTCATCTGTAGTTCTGCTTTTGCCCTTTGCCTTGTGATCTTTGTTGGACCCTTATCAGTGGTTCTGCTTTTGCCCTTTGCCTTGTGATCTTTGTTGGACCCTTATCGGTAGTTCTGCTTTTGCCCTTTGTCCTTTCCCTCAGAAGCATGTGATCTTTGTTAGACACTTATTAGTAGTTCTGCTTTTCGCCCTTTGAAGCATGTGATCTTTGTACCTACTCCCTGTTCTTACACCCCCTCCCCTTTTTGAAACCCTTAATAAAAACTTGCTGGTTTGAGGCTCAGGTGGGTATCACAGTCCTACCGATATGTGATGCCACCCCCGGCGGCCCAGCTGTAAAATTCCTCTCTTTATACTGTCTCTCTTTATTTCTCAGCCGGCTGACACTTATAGAAAGAACCTACGTTGAAATATTGGGGGTGGGTTCCCCCAGTACGCTAGTCCTGCTGATGAGCAAAGAAGGTGTTGATGGCATTTTGATCAACAAGAAATGTTATGAAACGGCCTCCCACCTCTGGCATTCCTAGTACTGACCTATCTCTCCCTTCCCTTCCACCGCTCCCCACAGCTTAGCACCCCTTTCGTTCCCATACACATGTACATTTTTATTTTGGGGACCATTAACCCACAGCCCTTATCGCTGCCAAAACCACATGGGCTGGAGGGCCAGGGCTGCATGGACAGTCACACCACTGCACACCAGCCTGGTGATGGAGCAAGACTCTGAAAAAAAAAAAAAGAAGCATAAAAGACCTTTAACAGTCCCTGCTACTTGTGACCCTCCTGAATCTGTCATCTGTCCAGTGATTTTGATTTTGCAACATGGAAAGTTCCAAGCCTTGACTCCTGAGCCCAGATACCATTCGCACTCTGGAGTCATTCAAGCATGGGGAGCTCCTCAGAGGGTGATCAACTGACCTCCCTTACCTAGCTCCTCCTCCGGAGGTTTGCCCTGGAGTTGAGCCAGCCCTTGAGGAGGCCTTCACTCCCACCGCCTCTCTCCCTTCTGGATATGAGCTCAGGCCTGGCTGGGCTCCAGGAGAATCTTTCCACAAGGCAAGAGATAACACAAAGTCAAGGTGAAGATCAGGGTAGCCCTTTAAAAGGCCTCCTTGTGCCCTAGAGTTGCCACAGCTCTTCTACTCCACTGCTGTCTATCTTGCCTGCCGGCACCCAGCCACCATGTGGGAGCTCGTGGCTCTCTTGCTGCTTACCCTAGCTTATTTGTTTTGGCCCAAGAGAAGGTGCCCTGGTGCCAAGTACCCCAAGAGCCTCCTGTCCCTGCCCCTGGTGGGCAGCCTGCCATTCCTCCCCAGACACGGCCATATGCATAACAACTTCTTCAAGCTGCAGAAAAAATATGGCCCCATCTATTCGGTTCGTATGGGCACCAAGACTACAGTGATTGTCGGCCACCACCAGCTGGCCAAGGAGGTGCTTATTAAGAAGGGCAAGGACTTCTCTGGGCGGCCTCAAATGGTAAGTGGTGCCCATCTCCTCCCTGCCCCCTTCACCACCCCCTGGGATTGTTCAGGTCTTCAGACCATGCCTAGAATGGGGCTTCCAGCTCCAACAACCTGTAATTCTTCCCAAAGTAGACTAGTGGGATGATGTGAAGGGAGTGAACCTTCAGACCCCCACCCAGCCTCTAAATTAGGCAGGAAGAATTAAAGGAATGTCTCCTCTACCAGGCTGCCCAGGAGGTGGGATGGGAGGACCACAGTGGTCTGAGGGGTCAAGGAATCCTCACTCCACTCCTCTCTCTGAGCCTAGACTTCTCTAATGGACTGAGAAGGTGCATGTACAGCACTTAGCCTAGCACCCAGCACAGTAAGTGCCCCTTATACAGCCAGGATTCATGTTACTTTTCATGGAAAATGGGGGCAGTGACTACTGTCCTCCATGAAAGCTGCTGGGGAGAATTAGCCTAGCTATTGCAGGCTGGGATTGCTGCTTTCCTGGTGCTATTTCCAGCTACTCAGGCTCACAGGGGCAGTTTTCTACAATGACATTTCAGGGTTGCTGATGAGCCTCCCACTCAGCAGGGCCCCCAGCCTCTCAGCATTTTTTTTTTTTTTTTTTTTTTTTGAGACAGAGTCTCTCTCTGTCGCCCAGCCTGGAGTGCAGTGGCCAATCTCAGCTCACTGCAACCTCTGCCTCCCGGGTTCAAGTGATTCTCCTGCCTCAGCCTCCTGAGTACCTGGGACTACAGGAGCATGCCACCATGCCCGCTAATTTTTTGTATTTTTAGTAGAGATGGTGTTTCACCATGTTAGCCAGGATGGTCTCGATCTCCTGACCTCGTGATCCTCCCACCTTAGCCTCCCAAAGTGCTAGGATTATAGGCGTAAGCCACTGTGCCCTGCCAGCCTCTCAGCTTTGATCAAGCCAAGGGTTGGTTTATTTTTTCTTGGACCAATCAGCCAGGTCTGCTGACCAACTACCTAGCTCCCACCTCTGCTGGCTTCCTCCCGGGGGCAGAGAAGATGGAGAAGGCTAGTCATGTGGATCTTCAGGGTCAGGAAATGGAAAAGGGAGGCTTTGGACCCTTTTGCTTTGGGGGGCACCTCTAGGAGGAGGCGGCTCGGCCCAAGTCCAGACTGGGTAGACAAAACATCTGCACTCTCCAAATGTGGGCTTGTGGCTGGGTATGCAGGCTTGCAATGGAAGGGTAAACCTGAGTGAGGTGAGCTGTGCCTTTAGCTCAGCTAAGGGCTCAGGGAAAAGCAGAGATCTGTGCAGTCCTCAGCCTCTACAAGCTCACCTGCTCCCTACCCTCTGGACAGGCATAGTTTAGAGAGTTTATCCCATCCAGAGTTGCCTTCCTGTGGTCAGAAACTGATGAGCAAAAAGAAGCCCAGAGGGCACCCTGTCAGCGAAAAGAACCCCAATGCTGCTGCATTCTAATTAAGGGTTCTTTCTTTCTCCTTGATCTACTGTATTTCTGAAGGAATTGGGAGTAGGAGGCCTTAGGGTCTGTCCTACCAAGTCCTTGCAGTCATGGTGGAGTGCAGTGGGGCTGTGCCCACATGGGAGTCAGCATGCCAGGTACCTGCCTTCTCCTCCAGGAAGGAAAGCAGGGACCAGAGGTGTAAGGGCAAGAGTGGGGTGGATGGTGTGAGATTCCTACAGCCTTGCCTGCTCTCTAAAGGCAACTCTAGACATCGCGTCCAACAACCGTAAGGGTATCGCCTTCGCTGACTCTGGCGCACACTGGCAGCTGCATCGAAGGCTGGCGATGGCCACCTTTGCCCTGTTCAAGGATGGCGATCAGAAGCTGGAGAAGATCAGTGAGTGCCAGGCTGGCCCCTGGGGCTGGGGCTGGATCCCACAGGAGCTGCTGGAGGGAGAGGAGGGTTGGGCAGGGGTAAGGGTTAGGACTAGAGCGCAATGCAGCCTTTTCTTGGCTACTGCTGCCATCTAGTGGCCATCTGCTATCTGTCCCCCGCTCCTGTTAAGAGGCAACTGGTACAGAGAGGGGGTAAGGGTGCTGATTCATTTCCCACCCTCATGCCCCCTCTCCCTTCAGTTTGTCAGGAAATCAGTACATTGTGTGATATGCTGGCCACCCACAACGGACAGTCCATAGACATCTCCTTTCCTGTCTTCGTGGCGGTAACCAATGTCATCTCCTTGATCTGCTTCAATACCTCCTACAAGAATGGGGACCCTGAGTTGAATGTCATACAGAATTACAATGAAGGCATCATAGACAACCTGAGCAAAGACAGCCTGGTGGACCTAGTCCCCTGGTTGAAGGTGAGATGCTGCCAGCCCTGCCTTCAGGTTCTAGTAGACCCTGACATTGTCCCCAATCTTCCTTCCTTTTTACTTCCCTGCTCCAGCCGCAATGACCCATCTTTTTCCTGATTACCTCCGCCACCTCTACCTCCTCTGCCACTTAAAACCTTTGCCATTTCTCTGCAGAGATAGATTTAGCCTTTTAATTATGCACCTTAGTACTCCAGATAATGACCTTCATTTCTTTTCCAATTACCATGTGCCAGTACTAAGCATTCTATACGCATTCATCGCTGAATTCCCCTTGGAAGTAGGTTTTATTATCCCCATTGTGCAGGTGAGAAGCAGGCTTAGCGGGGTTAAGGAGCTTGTCTGAGCCTTCAGGCTCATGTCTCTCTCACTCCTAAGGGCTGGACACATAGCAGAGTCAGCGCTTGATGTTTGATTGAATGGGGAAGGAGAGGTGGAGACCACGCCCTCCTCCCTTGTTTAGAATTGTCTTCGTCGTCATGATAAACCCGTTCTGTGTCCCCATCTTGCCTTCCATTCTGGCTGAAGGTCAGGGGTGGAGTAGGAACTTCCAGAGACAGAAAGCTAAGATCCGCCTCCAGGAGAGACTCTGGCAGCTGGAGAAGCAAAATGGAAGAAGGGTGGATTTAACATTTCTTTTTATTTCCCAGATTTTCCCCAACAAAACCCTGGAAAAATTAAAGAGCCATGTTAAAATACGAAATGATCTGCTGAATAAAATACTTGAAAATTACAAGGTAGGTGATAGAGCAGAAGAGAATATGAGTTAGGCTAAAAGTAATCACAAGAGCAGGGTGGAGTCCATTCTACACACTGTAGAAGCTTCAAAACCAAGCAGAGAACCTGGCACATAGTAGGTGTACAATAAAAACTGACTTAAGGGCTGGGCGCGGTGGCTCACGCCTGTAATCCCAACACTTTGGGAGGCCGAGGTGGGCAGATCAATTGAGGTCAGGAGTTCGAGATGAGCCTGGCCAATATGGTGAAACCCCGTCTGTACTAAAAATACAAAAACTAGGCCAGGCAAGATGGCTCACACCTGTAATCCCAACATTTTGGGAGGCCAAGGTGGGCAGATCACCTGAGGTTGGGAGTTCGAGACCAGCCTGACCAACATGGAGAAACTCTGTCTCTACTAAAAATACAAAATTAGCCGGGCACGGTGGCGCATGCCTATAATCCCAGCTATTTGGGAGGCTGAGGCAGGAGACTCACTTGAACCCGAGAAGCAGAGGTTGCAGTGAGCTGAGATCATGCCATTGCACTCCAGCCTGGGCATTGCACCAAGATTCTGTCTCAAAAAAAAAAAAAAAACTGACTCAAGGAGTTGGGATCGAAAAGTGAGGAACTGAAGAGGATCCTAGAAGAGACCTAACCTCTCCACCAAATTTAAAGAGGGCCCGGGGCTGCCTCCTACCTCCACAAGTTCGTAGGTCCTGCCCAGACTTGCTCTACTTCCAAGTGGAAGGAGCCTTGTTATCTCTAGTCAGGGACAGAAGTATGGCAGGAGTGTCACAGATGGGGCTCCTTCCTTATTAATGTCTCCCAACCTCACCCAACCCAGGAGAAATTCCGGAGTGACTCTATCACCAACATGCTGGACACACTGATGCAAGCCAAGATGAACTCAGATAATGGCAATGCTGGCCCAGATCAAGACTCAGAGCTGCTTTCAGATAACCACATTCTCACCACCATAGGGGACATCTTTGGGGCTGGCGTGGAGACCACCACCTCTGTGGTTAAATGGACCCTGGCCTTCCTGCTGCACAATCCTCAGGTGTGCTTCCCCCTCATTGATCCTAGACCCCAGCCAGCCCAATCTCTGGGCTCCAGAGAAAGGGAGAGCCAATTCTCTCAGGCTTTCTGTGCAGGAAGACTAGGCCTGCCCTGCTCCTTACCCAAGCAGTAGTTGGCTTTGACCCCAGAGTAGAGCTGCCCCATCTTCTGGAAGCCGGGCCTGGGCCCCAGAGCCACTACTGGGAAGGGACTGGACAGGCTCTTCTCGATGTCACAGTTGGATTCTTCTCTAAGCCCTTGCTTCTCCTGGGCTTACACACACTAGTCACCTCCAACCTACTCTGGTCTTCAGGTGAAGAAGAAGCTCTACGAGGAGATTGACCAGAATGTGGGTTTCAGCCGCACACCAACTATCAGTGACCGTAACCGTCTCCTCCTGCTGGAGGCCACCATCCGAGAGGTGCTTCGCCTCAGGCCCGTGGCCCCTATGCTCATCCCCCACAAGGCCAACGTTGACTCCAGGTGTGCCTGCCCTCCCAGTGACATCTAGCCCCATGATGCATTCAACACTGCTTGCCAGCCCACCTGGCTCCCCCTACCCCCGGCCCCTGCTGGCCAACCTAAAGTCAGTCAACCATCAACTACTAAAAATCATCCTGCCGGCCGGGCACGGTGGCTCACACCTGTCATCCCAACACTTTGGGAGGTCGAGGCGGGTGGATCATGAGGTCAGGGGTTCAAGACCAGCCTGACCAATATGGTGAAACCCCGTCTCTACTAAAAATACAAAAATTAGCCATGCATCGTGGCGCGTGCCTGTAGTCCCAGCTACTCAGGAGGCTGAGGCAGGAGAATCACTTGAACCAAGGCGGCGGAGGTTGCAGTGAGCCAAGATTGCACCACTGCACTCCAGCCTGGGTGACAGAGCGGGACTCTGTCTCAAAATAAATAATTAATTAATTAAATATAAAAATCATCCTGCCCCCAGCCCCGTGGCTCCATGTCTCTACCACCTACAGACACGCATTGACTCATCCACAGATCTGCCTGACTTCCCAGAGGAGCTTCCTGCTGCCCTCAGAGACATGTGGTCTGGGATGAAAGGCTGGGAGCTCCATGTTCCAACCAGCTGCAGCACGCACATAACATGCGCTGCAGCTCCAAACGCACACCCACATACACTGCCAGACACCAAAGTCCACAGACACAGGTGTTCAGACAGAAGCGCCTGTTAGGAGGGAAGGGATGGAGAAGGGCTGGATTTAGGTTTGATCTGGCAGAAGCTGAGGAAAACATGAGTGAGTGGGAATGAGGGAGTAAAGGGCATTTTCCTCACGGCGGAAGAATGAGGGGGCATGAGGCTGAGCAAGGAAGGGAGTACGAAGTCCCAGACCCACTTTTCCTCTTCCACTCTGGAGCAGCATCGGTGAGTTTGCTGTGGACAAGGGCACAGAAGTTATCATCAATCTGTGGGCGCTGCATCACAATGAGAAGGAGTGGCACCAGCCGGATCAGTTCATGCCTGGTGAGTCTGTCCTGTCCTGCGCCCTGGGCCACACAGCGAGCCTGGACTCTGCTCCACCACCCCAGTACCCCTTCACCTCTGCCAAGCTTGCTGCTAGAAAACTCTTGGCTCCAACTATACGGACCTGTTGACACCCTCATCCTGCCATAGACTTACCCAAACTCTTCACAGCTGGGTTTCCCACGCTCTTCTTCCAACCAACTGCAAATTCACCCTCCAAGAAGCCCTCTACGCCTCTGTCTGCCATTAAGTCTGTCCCTTCTCCCCTCGGATGGTGCTATTTTCATAGGTTAATTCCATCTCTTTTCCATCCTTCCTGAATATTTCATTTCCTCTGTGTCGTTAAGGGCTACCTGAAAGCAGGGCTGTATCTCTCCCCAGGCGGGGGTTCCCCCATAATAAGGCTACATCCTCAGATCAGGGTTCCCTGGGCAGGGCCATGTCTCCCCCTCAACCAGGGCAGAACCATGCCTCTCCTCCCTCCTGCCCTAACCCCTGGCTGATGCCACTCCTTGCCTGCAGAGCGTTTCTTGAATCCAGCGGGGACCCAGCTCATCTCACCGTCAGTAAGCTATTTGCCCTTCGGAGCAGGACCTCGCTCCTGTATAGGTGAGATCCTGGCCCGCCAGGAGCTCTTCCTCATCATGGCCTGGCTGCTGCAGAGGTTCGACCTGGAGGTGCCAGATGATGGGCAGCTGCCCTCCCTGGAAGGCATCCCCAAGGTGGTCTTTCTGATCGACTCTTTCAAAGTGAAGATCAAGGTGCGCCAGGCCTGGAGGGAAGCCCAGGCTGAGGGTAGCACCTAAAGGCTGTAACTCACAGCCCCTGTCCACCCTATGTGGCCCCACAACACAGATTTAGAGATACAACCCCCCACCCTTCTCCGCCATTCTTCCCTACTCCCAACCCACTCTGCCTTCTTTTTCAGCTTGTGGCAATGCCAGTGATGTGCATAAACAGTTTTTTTTTTTCCATAAGGTCCCTGAGTAGTTCATTTATGTATTCATTTGCTCACTCATTCTTTCAACACCGATTTTATTGAGCACCTACTATGTGCCATTCACTTTCTCAGGACACTCGAGCTCCGTGGTCTCTGAAGCTTACATTCTAGTGAGGGCTAACAAGTGAATAAGTTCAGAGACTCGTAAGTGCTTTGAAGTCAATCACAATTTGTGTGATGTGATGAGAAAATGGCAGAGGCAGTGGGTGGCTGCTTTGAACAAGGGGTCAGGAAAAGTGTTGCATGCTGAGAAGCAGGTAAAAAGGCCTCCAGGTGGGAGAGGTCAGCATGGCCAGTGAAGGGGAGAGTGGGCCCTGATGAGGTCAGAGTGGACATAGTGGTCCGTTCCCACTGTAGCTGGGATTACAGGAGGCCAGGAGGGAGGTTGGGTTTTATTCTAATTATGACAGGAAGTCACTGGAGGATTTTAAGTATGTAAGTGGAACAATCTGTTTTTTTGTTTTTGTTTTTGTTTGAGAAGGAGTTTCGCTCTTGTTGCCCTGGCTGGAGTGCAATGGCATGATCTTGGCTCACTGCAACCCCTGCCTCCTGAGTTCAAGTGATTCTCCTGCCTCAGCCTCCAAAATAGCTGGGATTGCAGGCGTGTGCCACCATGCCCAGCTAATTTTGTATTTTTAGTAGAGATGAGGTTTTGCCATGTTGGTCAGGCTGGTCTCGAACTCCTGACCTCAGGTGATCCACCCATCTCGGCCTCCCAAAGTGCTGGGATTATAGACATGAGCCACAGCGCCTAGCCTGTTTTTTGTTTTGTTTTGTTTGGGTTTTTTTGTTGTTGTTTTTTGTTCTGTTTTTTGAGTGACATGGTCTCACTCTGTTGCCAGGCTGATTGCAGTGGCACAATCATGGCTCACTGCAGCCTCAACCTCCCAGGCTCAAGTGATCCTCCCACCTCAGCATCCCAAGTAACTAGGACTACAGGCACACATCACCAGGCCTGACTAATGTTTTACTTTTTGTAGAGATGGGGTTTTGCTGTGTTTTCTAGGCTGGTCTCAAACTCCTAAGCTCAAGCGCTTCTCCCACCTCAGCCTCCCAAAGTGTTTGGATTATAGGCATGAGCCGCTGTGCCCAGCTGGTTTGTATTTCTGAAAGATCGCCGTAGTTGCTGTGTGGAGAATGTTCTGCTAAGGGATGGGAGTGGGAGCAGGAGAACAGTTAGGAAGGAGGCTGTTGTGCTGGTCCAGGAAAGCCAGATGTTGATGAGTTAAACCACGGCCACAGCAGTGGAAACAGTGAGAAGTGGTAGGATTGAGTTTATCTTTTGTTTTCTGTTTGTTTGTGTGTGTGTGTGTGTGTGTGTGTGTGTGTGTGTGTGTGTGTGTTTTGAGACAGACTCTTGCTCTTTCACACAGGCTGGACTGCAATGGCACAATCTCAGCTCACTACAACCTCCACCTCCCTTGAGCGATTCTGCTGCCTCAGTCTCCCAAGTAGCTGGAATTACAGGCGCCTGGATAATTTTTTTATTTTTACCAGAGATGGGGTTTCGCCATGTTGGCCAGGCTGGTCTCGAACTCCTGACCTCAAGTGATCCCACCTCAGCCTCCCAAAGTGCCAGGACTACAGGTGTGAGCCACCGAGCCTGGCCTGAGTTTATATTTTGAAAGTAGGGCAGGCCGGGCGTGGTGGCTCGTGCCTGTAATTCCAGCACTTTGGGAGTCCGAGATGGGTGGATCGCCTGAGGTGTGGAGTTCTAGACTAGCCTGCCCAACATGGCAAAACCCCGTCTCTACTAAAAATACAAAAAATTACCCGGGCGTGGTGGCAGGCACCTGTAGTCCCAGCTACTCGGGAGGCTGAGACAGGAGAATGGCGTGAACCCCGGAGGCGGAGCTTGCAGTGAGCGGAGATCGCGCCACTGCACTCCAGCCTGGGCAACAGTTCAAGACTCTGTCTCAAAAAAAAGAAAAAAGGAAAAGAAAAAGAAAGTAGGGCAAAAGTGTTGTTTGTTTTGATCCAAATAGGCTTCACTGCATGTTACCTCACAGGTTCGACCTTGGGGGAGTGTATGTGACCCACAGACTGGACCTGCCGTTGCCATCCCTCTGTCTTGGTCTGCAAAGACCAAGACTGGTGTGTCCCCCTTTCCTCACCCTTCCCTGGGGTAAACACTGCCAGGTAAGGGCTTCTACAGCTGTCTTCTGCAGCAGTGCCTGGGTTCCACCTCCTTCTCCCCACTCAAAAACCCCAGGAAGTCTGTAAAAGCTTCCTCACTAGGGCTGGGTGCAGTGGCTCACGCCTGTAATCCCAGCACTTTGGGAGGCCGAGGCGGGCAGATCACGAGGTCAGGAGATCGAGACTGTCCTGGCTAACACGATGAAACCCCGTCTCTACTAAAAATACAAAAAATTAGCCGGGCATGGTGGCGGGCACCTATAGTCCTAGCTACTCGGGAGGCTGAGGCAGGAGAATGGCATGAACCCGGGAGGGGGAGCTTGCAGTGAGCTGAGATCGCGCCACTGCACTCCAGCCTGGGCAACAGTGCGAGACTCCGTCTCAAAAAAAAAAAAAAAAAAACAAAGCTTCCTCACTAGAAAATGAAGCCCTGACTCCTTTATATCTGGAAACTGGTATATTTAAACCTTGGTCATTGGCCAGTCTGCAAATGAATGTCCTGAGACATCCCGGAAGAAACTGACCCTTTTAGCCTAGAGAGAGGCCCCATCCCCAGCTCCCTGGTGCCAGCCAGACCAGGGTCAGGTCATCAACAACCCAGTCCTTCCCCTCTGACTAGACAGAAGGACGTCAGCAGAGCATGGCTGATACCCTGCCTAGCTAAGTCTTAGAGAGAAGACGTCCCTATAGGGAGCAAGACAAGGTTTTCAGTTACGACACTACCTTCTTCCTTATAAAGAGCTTTGTTAATCAGGTGGCAGTGGACCGTTCCCTACTATTCCCTAACTCGGTCTTGGCCTTCATCTGCCATTTACCCTGGGACTTTGCTAAAGAGCCTGCAGGAGGCCAAGTGTGGTGGCTTATGCCTGGAATTCCAGCACTTTGGGGGGCCTAGGCAGGAGGATCCCTTGAGCCCAGGAGTTCGAGAGCAGCCTGGGCAACAGAGTGAGGCCCTGTTTCTACAACACTTAAAAAAAAATTGGCCGGGCGCGGTGGCTCATGCCTGTAATCTCAGCACTTTGGGAGGCCGAGGCAGGCAGATCACAAGATCAGGAGATCGAGACCATCCTGGCTAACACGATGAAACCCTGTCTCTACTAATGATACAAAAAATTAGCCGGGCGTGCTGGCAGGCGCCTGTAGTCCCAGCTAATCGGGAGGCTGAGGCAGGAGAATGGCGTGAACCTGGGAGGCGGAGCTTGCAGTGAGCAGAGATCGCGCCACTGTACTCCAGCGTGGGCGACAGAGCAAGACTCTGTCTCAAAAAAAAAAAAAAAAATTACCCAGGCATGGTGGCATACCTGTAGTCTCAGCTACTCAGGAGGCTGAGGTGGGAGGATTGCTGGACCCCAGGAGGCCGAGGCTGCAGTGATCTGAGATCGTGCCACTGCACTGCATCCTAGAGCAAGACCCAATCTCTAAAGAAAAAGAAAGAAAGAAGAAGAAGGATTAGTATTTCACTTTCCTGCCATTCAATGTTCTGGTTCAATAGTTGGAGAATGAAAGAGTGCATATGTGTGTTGGGGGGCAGAGTGAGAGAGAGAAAGAGATGAAGATATATGGGAACCTATAGACAGACAAACAGATATAGATAGATGTAATATGCACCAGGTCAGTATCTGTCAAAGTGTGGCTCACAGACCCCTTGAGCCAGACTCATCTGAGAAACTTACTTAAGAACACAGACTCTGGTCCCTATCTTTCATGCATTGAGTACACTCTGGGAGCAGGGCCTGGAAATCTGCATTTTACAGGCTATCCAGGTGAATCTTGTACACACTGCTGCGCACCCCCCCCGAGTCCTCAAGTGACATTGTGTGAGATTCTTGCAAACTTGCGATGTTTTCCATCCCAGTTAAACCCACCCACCACTTCCACAGAGGACACAGATCTTCTGCTAATTGCTTATCTCTTCATCACTAGTCTACAAAATGCCTTTCAGGCCAAGCACAGTGGCTCACACCTGTAATCCCAACACTATGGGAGGCCAAGGTGGGCACAACGCTTGAGCTCAGGAATCTGAGACCAGCCTGGCCAACATGGTGAAACCTCGTCTCTAGCTGGGCATGTTGGCGCACACCTCTAGTTCCAGCTACTCAGGAGGCTGAGGTGGGAGAATCGCTTGAACCCAGGAGGTGGAAGTTGCAGTGAGCCAAGATTGTGCCACTGCACTCCAACTGGGTGACAGAGTGAGTGAGAGAGACGCCGTCTCAAAAAAAAAAAAAAAAAAAAAAAAAAAAAGCCTTTCAAATTCTGAGCAAATCTGAAATACTTAACTTTCCTCCAGCCAATCTTATTCCCCTCTGCTTTGAGCTGAGGATAGCTTGACTCGATCCAGCACCCAGCTGATGGGGGCAGAGGAACCGGGAGAGGGAAGGGACAAACTCCAGTATAGCCTTTCCCTTGGGCTCACTGTGGTGTCAGCATCTCTCCCAGGCTGCTTGTGATGGGGGCTGGGGTCAGCTGCCCACAAGCTCTCCTACGGACTTCATTTTTTTTTTGAGACAGGGTCTCACTCTGTCACCCAGGCTGGAGTGCAGTGGTGCAATCATGGCTCACCGCAGTCTGGAACACCTGGGCTCAAGAGAGCTTCCTGCCTCAGCTTCCTGGGTAGCTGGGACTACAGGTGTGTGCCACCACTCTGGCTAATTTTTAAGTTTTTTGAAGAGATGGGGATCTTATTATGTTGCCCAGGCTGGTCTCAAACTCATGGCCCCTAGTGATCCTTCTGCCTTGGCCTCCCAAAATTCTAGGATTACAGATGTGAGCCACTGTGTCCTGTCTAAACCTTCATTTTGAAGGAAACTGAGGGCCATTGTGTGGGCTGGGTATAGGGTATGACTTGCCCCAGATCACACAGCTACGTAGCAGCAGGGCTGGGACCAGAACTCAAGATTTCAATGGTGCATGGTGGGGAGCCAGCCATGCTTTCCCACCTGTCCCCTGTGGTCATGCAGAAGGGCTCTTGGGATATTTGGCCGGGAGAGTACCTTTCAGGCAAGCGGAGTGACCTTTTAGAAAATGACTTTATGAACTTTGACTCCTGCCCAAACTGTGCTCTCCCGTCTGGAAGGCCTTTTCACCACTGATCTAAACCCACCTGCCTTGAGGCTCAGACACATTTTTTATGACTCCTGAGTCCACCATGACCATCCCTCTTCAGCACTCAGCTTCTGTTCCTTGGTACTGAACCTAAACTGAACCTTGGCATCTGAGCATCTGCCTGGACTTGAAATGGGTGGGGCCCCCCACAGACACTGTCCACCTCCTGTACCTCTGGAGTTCAAGACTGAGCCTTCTCATGTTCTTTATCCTGCATATCAGCACCTGACAAATAGAAGGGTAGACAAACAAGAGTGATGCAGGACAGGCAAGCCCTAAAATTGGGGCTTAGCCCAGGAGGGTTCATGGCTTCACCCAGAAAGAATTCCAGCAAGCAGCAGTGGTGGTAGCCAGCAAGCCGCAGTGCACAGAGCAGCAGAGGTACTGCTCCTTGTGGAGCAGGGCTACCCAGAGGCAGTGTGCCCAGAAGAGCAACGCAGGGGCAGGGCTGCACTCATATGGACATCTACTTTTAATTATATGCAAATTAAGGGGTGGATTATGCAGAGATTTCCAGGATGAGGGTAGTAACTTCCAGGTCATCAGGTCGTTGCCACGAAAAGGGATGGTAACTCCTAGGTTTTGCCATGGCAATGGTAAACTGACATGGCACACTGGCAGGCATGTCATGGAAAGCTGCTTCTGCCCCCCTACCTGTTTTAGCTAGTCCTTAATTTGGTTCCATGTCCGAGCCCCGCCTCCTACCTCAAGAGGACTGAATCAAATGCTCTAAATCACTTGGTTAATTGGCCCAATGATAGTAAATAAATTCTATCTCCTTATGCAGAAGGAAGCCCAGATCTTTGACAAAACTGGAAGGTCTTTGCCAAGACCCCACAGTTAACCGTCTGAGCCTCAGACTGTCCTTAACCAGTGATGTGATGATAAATAAATGTTTAACAACCAGGTCTGGGAGGGGCGGGGGTGTGCGGAATAGCCTTGATTTGTAATGTTTGCTGATTACTGTGGTGTAGATACTCCCAACGTGACCAATTTTAAACTACCAATGTGATGCCAGTAAACAGGGTTGGAAAGAGACACATAGTAGCATTATATGTTCTTTACCGTTGTTATTATTACATAGTAAATGCCATTATGTAGTATTTCCACCATACTGATAGGTAAATGTAAATAACCTCAAGGGCACAGATAACAGTAACATGTAGTAAAATAACTAGGAAATGATCAGTTTTGAGTATCTATTACCTTTGTTTTTAATATAACTCAATTGTAGGTTTAAGTTTTTTAAATTGGCTGTTTCATATAAACAGCTCATAAAATTCCTGAAAATTTAAAAATCAGTTCTAGTGAGCTATTAAGAGCCAACCCTCCCAGGAGAAATGGGCCACGCTTGTCTTAAAGAAAAGCAGTTCCTGGCTGGGCGAAGTGGCTCATGCCTGTAATCTCAGCACTTTGGGAGGCCGAGGCAGGTGGATCACCTGAGGTCAGGAGTTTGAGACCAGCCTGGCCAACTTGGTGAAACCCCGTCTCTACTAAAAATACAAAAATTAGCGGGGTGTGGTGGCGTGCACCTGTAGTCCCAGCTACTCGGGAGGCTGAGGCAGGAGAATCACTAGAACTAGGTGGAGGTTGCAGTGAGCCGAGATTGTGCCACTGCACTCCAGCCTGTGAGACAGAACAAGACTCCGTCTCAAAACAGACAAACAAAAAACGAAAAGGAGTTCCTGGGCTGGGGACAGTGGCTCACCACACCAGCACTTTGTAATCCCACCACTTTGGGAAGTCAAGGTGGGTGGATCTCTTGAGCTCTGGAGTTCCAGACCAGCTGGGCAACATGGTAAAACCCCATCACTACAAAAAAATACAAAAAATTAGCCAGGTGTAGTGGCACATACCTGTGGTCCCAGCTGGTCCCAGTTACTTGGGAGGCTGAAGTGGGAGGATCACATTGAACCCAGGAGGTCAAGGCTGGCAGTGAGTGCGCCACTGCGCTCCAGCCTGGGTGACATAGCAAGAACTTGTCTCAAAAAAAAAAAAAAGAAAAAAGAGAAAGAAAAGCAGTTCCCCTGAGTCTCCTTGTTGACAGGAGGGAAATCCTTCCCTATTGTGGGAGGGTGAGAGTGAGTGAATGTTCTATCAGCCTCTGGTGGCCACAAAACCTGAGGCAAATGAGGAGCCCTCTCTGCAGTCACACTCGTAGATGTTAGCGCCCTTCTCTGGAGGGTGGGGATCCAGTCACAGAGGCCGTGCAGTGGGGTGGGAAGCGCAACGGATAAATTGGACCCAGACCACCCCGGTGCTCTGCCCCAGCTCCCGTTTCCTGACCCTGGATCTTAGGCCCATCACTAACTTCCTGAGCCTCAATTTCCCCATGGATAATGTGGGGGAACCTAACACCTGCGCTGCCCATCTTCCGAGGCTCTGGTGAGGATGAGAGGCAGAAAAGAGTGTGTGGGCAGGAGAGTCCCACACAGACGGGAATGCAAATGACTCGAAGTCAGGTTGCAGAGACAAATCCTCCCAGTGTTGTCATTTACAGACTGCGTGGCCATGGACACCTTAGGTGGCCTTAAGCCTTGGTTTTCCCATCTGTAATATGGCGGGGGCGGGTGGTAGGGAACTGGGATGTTTGTGTCATAGCGTTACTGTGAGGATGAAATGTGAACCTATGAAATACATTTAGTGCCTTGATAAATATTGGGTTTCTCGTCGTTGTCTATATCCAAACCCACGAAATGAGTCCTTCTCAGGGTTTTATACAAACCTCCCCAAAAGCCACCAGTTTGGTCAGGAGGGGGAGCGGGTGTGTGCAGATGAGTCCCTCCGCAGGATGGAACCCTGGGGAACCCACCCTCCCCGTTCCATCCCTGCAGGGCCCACTACAGCCCCTGGCCTGCCACCTGCCCACTCCGTCCCCGCAGAGCCAGGGCTGATGGACTGCCGGGCAGCGGGTGGAGAACCCAAAGACAAACTCACGGCTCCAGCACAGGTGTTCCGTCACAGTTTCTGTGGGATTGGGTTTCTTGAGCCTTCTTGGTGAAAAAACATGAAATGAAGGGAATCTGAAGCTATGGTGAGGAACAGGCTTATAACAGAGTAAGGAGAGGCCAGGTGTGGTGGCTCATGCCCGTAATCTCAGCACTTTGGGAGGCCGAGGCGGGCGGATCACCTGAGGTCAGGAGTTCAAGACCAGCCTGCCCAACGTGGCGAAACCTCGTCTCTACTAAAAATACAAAAAATTAGCCAGGTGTGTTGGTGGGTGCTTGTTAATCCCAGCTACTTGAGAGGCTGAGACAGGAGAATCACTTGAACCCGGGAGGCGGAGATTGCAGTGAGCCAAGATTGCGCTACTGCACTCCAGCCTGGGCGACAAGAGCAAAACTCCATCTCAAAGGAAGAAAAAAAAGCCAAAAACAAACAAAACAGAGTGAGGAGAAATTTCAGGTCAAACAAAAATCCTCTTCTCCCCTCACAAACACAGAAAGCTGTACTTTCATCACCTTGGAGGAAGAACAAAAACACTCTTTCAAGGAAAAGAGACAAAGAAGATCCAAACTGTAACTCCTGAGAATTTTACAGTGTTTCCAAGGGGTTACACCGTCCCTGGAAGTTGACATTGGTCCGAATACTGGTGGCAAGCAGCATCACCTGTCCCAGGGGTGACGCCATTTTAGCACTGAATTGCTCTTGGAGGTGAAGCCTGGCTGGGTGTGGGGGGGTCTGCCCCCTGGAGCAAGAGGAGATAGGGTAGCTCCTGAGGAAATGGTGTCTGTTTCATCTTTCACCATGTTACTCTTAGCTCAATATATTGTTCTCTAGTTCTCCCTCACCTTTGAAAAGAAATTACAAGGCTCATGCCTGTAATCCCAGCACTTTGGGAGGCCAAGGCAGGTGGATCGCTTGAGCCCAGGAGTTCAAGAGCAGCCTAGGCAACATGGCAAAATCCTGTCTCTACAAAAAATACAGAAATTAGCTGGGCATGACGGTGTGCGCCTGTAGTCTCACCTGCTTGGGGAGGATGAAGTGGGAAGATCACTTGAGCCTGGGAAGTTGAGGCTGCAGTGAGCTGAGATTGTGCCACTGCACTCCAGCCTGGGCCAAAAGAGAAGAGAAGAGAGAGAGGAAGAAGTCACAAGTTCTTCAGGTGGCTTGTGAGTACCTACATTACAGCTCTTCACTGTCCTGCCTTCTGGTTATTACATTGGCCTTGGAGCCATTAGACCTGGCTTCAAATCCTAGCTCTGCCACTTATTAGCTATGTGATCTTATAAAGTTAGTTAAGTCCTCTGGATGCCACAATCCCATTAATAAAGCAGGAATAATTGCAGCCTATATACCTCAGAGACCTGTTTTGAGGCTACATTTTTTTATTTTTTTGAGATGGAGTTTCGCTCTTGTTACCCAGGCTGGAGTACAATGGCGTGATCTCGGCTCACTGCAACCTGAGCCCCCCGGGTTCAAGCGATTCTCCTGCCTCAGCCTCCTGAGTAGCTGGGACTACAGGCATGCACCACCACACCTGGCTAATTTCGTATTTTTAGTAGAGACGGGGTTTCTCTGTGTTGGTCAGGCTGGTCTCGAACTCCCGACCTCAGGTGATCCGCCCACCTCGGCCTCCCAAAGTGCTAGGATTACAGGTGTGAGCCACCGTGCCCGGCCTGAGGCTAATTTTTTTTTTTAAATGTAGCTAAGATGCTCACACAAGACTGGCATTGTGGAAACCGTCAACCAACAAAACAATAAAGACAAATTAAATTAAAATATTTTGCTAGGTGCAGTGGCTCACGCTTGTAATCCCAGCACTTCGGGAGGCTGAGGCAGAAGGATCATTTGAGCTCAGGAGTTTGAGACCAGCCTGGGCAACATAGCAAAACCCCATCTCTACTAAAAATATGAAAATTAGCCAGGCATGGTGGTGTGCGCCTATAATTCCAGCTACTCAGGAGGCTAAGGCAGGAGAATCACTTCAACCCGGGGGGCGGAGGTTGCCGTAAGCCAAGATTGCACCACTGCACTCCAGCCTGGGTGACAGAGCAAGACCCCCTCTCAAAAAATTAAAATAAAATAAAATAAAATAAAATAAAATAAAATAAAATAAAATTAAAATAAATAATATAAAATAAAATAAAACAACCTGCTTCTCTCTCCAGTTTGATCTCTTGCTACTTCCCAGAATGCAGTGATAAATTGCTCGCAGCTTTCTACATGCCATGCAGAGTCTCCCATTCTAGGCCTCCCATGCTTTTTTGTGCTTTTCAGCACCAGGCACATAGTAAGCACTCAATAGTCTGCAGAAAAAACATTTGCCTAGAATTCCCTTGCACCTTTCTTCACCTGATAAACTCAATTTAGAGGTATCTCCTCCAGGAAGCCTGCCTTAATCCCCTAGTTTGGCTAGATTCTCCTCTGTGCACACATGCTTCGTGGTGCTTTCCATGTGGTACTAAAACTGCCGATGTGCCTGCCTTCCTCTCGAGAATACCATTAGCTCTTCTAAAGAGGAGCCAGGGCCAGGCGTGGTGGCTCCACACCTGTAATCCCAGCACTTTGGGAGGCTGAGACAGGCAGATCACTTGAGGTCAGGAGTTTGAGACCAGCCTGGCCAACATGGTGAAACCCCGTCTCTACCCCAAATACAAAAATTAGCCAGGCGTCGTGGTGCACATCTGTAATCCCAGTTACTCAGGAGGCTAAGACAGGAGAATCGCTTGAACCTGGGAGGCGGAGGTTATAGTGAGCCGAGATCGCACCACTGCACTCCAGAGCAAGACTCTGTCTCAAAAAAAGGAAAGGAGCCAGTCCTAAGGCATCTTTGAATTCTCATGCCTTGGCACCTGCTAGGTGCTCAGTAAAGGCTCAGCTCTTCAGTGAGGCCACACTTGCCCCCAGGCCAGAACCCAAATCCTCCCAAGACCCACAACCCTTCCCAGCAGGTTCAGCAAGAAGCTACCAACCAAACCCACTTCTCCCTCCTTTTCCGAGTCAAACCCCGGTTTTCGCCCCTGGCTGAAAACAGGAAACTGAAGAATGTGGAGTTTCTTGAAATTCTTGTTCACCAAAAGTACTCTGTTTTGCAGTTCTGGGCGTTGGTACTGTCGCCATCTGCACTTGGTCACATGGGGCAACAGAGACAAACAACGTCATACTTCATTACAGAAATGAGGAACTCAGTGACCCACCAGCCTGGGGTTCAATGGCATGGTGTCCCCTCTAGACCTGGGCACCCAGGGTACATGCACAGCCTCTGGCAACCAGCCCCTAAGAGTTACACCATTTTGTTTTTGTGCCACTCAGATATTAGCTCAAAGGCAAGAATGATATACTCCCAGTTCTTTCCCGTGGTTTTAGAACAGAACTGTCTCTAGATGCTAGCATGGCCCTACTGGGGTTGCCTGAAGGAACCCAACAGTTTAGAAAGAACAAGTCAGCAACCACTCCACTAGTGTCACCGAGAGGCCAGGAATGTCCTCTGCCAGAGGGTCAAAGACAGGGGTGGCGGCATGTCTGGCTAAAACTGGCCTTCAGAAAAAACAGCGCTGACTGCTGGGCAAGCCAGGGCCTAGGGAGGACAACACTCACTTGCCAGCACCCCCTGGGTGCCAGCCCACCAGTGAGCACTCCACTTATGGAGGCAGGAACCCCTTCCTGGAGGGTTCCTAGGATGTGTACTACCTTGCTTTGCCCATCTGCAGTCTTGCTGGGTAGGGGTGTCCTCCCTGGGCAGAGAAGTAGCAAGCTGTTCTTCAAACAAGGACTTATACCTGGCCAGGCACAGTGGTTCACGCCTGTAATCCCAGGACTTTGGGAGGCTGAGGCAGGTGGATCACTTGAGGCCAGGAGTTCGAGACCAGTCTGGGCAACATGGTGAAACCCCATCCTTACTAAAAATACAAAAATAAGCTGGGCGTCATGGCAGGCACCTGTAATCCCAGCTACTTGGGAGGCTGAGGCAGGAGAATTACTTGAACCCAGGAGGTGGAGGTTGCACTGAGCAAAAATGGCACGACTGCACTCCAGCCTGGGCGACAGAGCGAGACTCCATCTCAAAAAAAAAAAAAAAAAGCACTTACACCTAAGAGGTCAGTCTTAAGCAGATGGTAAAATGAACAAAGGAACTCTCCTTGTATTAGGAAAGAATCATTGGCCCACAATGACAGATTCTGGCACACTGGTGGCTTCCTCACTACCTAAAATCAGCTCCGAGACCTCTTGCTTGGCATTCAAGACCTCAAACTACCTCCCACTATTCCCTGAAAAGCTCCAAATCTGTACCATTCACTTCACCTCAAACTTAACTTATATTGTTAATTAACTATTTCACACAAGTATGTTTTTTTTTTTTTTTTTTTGAGATGGAGTTTCGCTCTTGTTGTCCAGGCTGGAGCGCAATGGTGCGATCTCAGCTCACCACAACCTCCACTTCCCGAGTTAAAGCGATTCTCCTGCCTCAGGCTCCCAAGTAGCTGGGATTACAGTCGCATGCCACCACACCTGGCTAATTTTTTAATATTTTTAGTAGAGACGGGGTTTCTCCATGTTGGTCAGGCTGGTCTCGAACTCCTAACCTCAGGTAATCCACCCGCCTCAGCCTCCCAAAGTGCTGGGATTACAGGCATGAGCCACCATGCTCGGCCATGTTTTGTCTTTCTGACTGTAAGTTCTGGAGGGCAGAGGCCTCATCTTCTATGTCTTTGACATTATCCTGAGCCTCTGACACAGTGCTGGGCAGAAAGTGGGCAACTCGATACATTATACTGTGTGTTAAATTCCAAGGCCAAGCATATACCCCCATGTCTATCATATCAACAAAAAAGATCTCTCAGAGTGCTTGCTTTCTTTTAAATGCCATGTTTTGGCCGGGCACAGTGACTTACACCTGTAATCCCAGCACTTTGGGAAACCAAGCCAGTACGATCACTTGAGCCCAGCCTGGGCAACATAGTTAGACTCTATAGGATCACTTGAGCCCAGCCTGGGCAACACAGTCAGACCCTATCTCTCTCTCTCTATATATATATATATATACATACATATAGTTTTTTTCTTTTTTTTTTTTTTTTTTTTTGATACAGGGTCTCGCTCTGTTGCCCAGGCTGGAGTGCAGTGGTGTGATCTCAGCTCACTACAGCCTCCACTTCCTGGGCTCAAGCCATCCTCCCACCTCAGCCTCCCACATAGCTGGGACCACAGGCACACAGCACCACACCCAGCCAAGTTTTGTATTTTTTGTAGAGATGGTGTTTTGCCATGTTACCCAGACTGGTCTCAAACTCCTGAGCTCAAGTGATCTGCCTAGCTTGGCCTCCCAAAATGCTGGGATTACAGGCGTGAGCCACCTCGCCCAGCCCATCTCTGTTATTTAAAAAATAAAAATAAAAAAATAGCTGGGCACAGTGGCTCATGCCTATAGTCCCAGGCCAGGGTGGCTGGCCTGTTATCCCAGCACTTTGGGAGCTCAAGGCAGGCGGATCACCTGAGGTCAGGAGATTTGAGACCAGCCTGGCCAACATGGTGAAACCTCGTCTCTACTAAAAATACAAAAATGAGCCGGGCGTGGTGGTAGGCACCTGTAATCCCAGCTACTCAGGAGGCTGAGGCAGGAGAATCACTTGAACCTGGGAGGCAGAGGCTGCGTGAGACAAGATCGCGCCACTGCACTCCAGCCTGGGCGGCAGAGTGAGACTGTGTCTCAAAAAAAAGCCATGTTTTAGCAACAGGGTATCTGACAAAACTTGTCTCTGCTTTCTCGGGATCTGATTTTAGCCTGTTTGTGGGACTTTCCAAAGTATTCCAAACATCAGGAACACACCCTGACAGAGAGAGGGGAGGACTCCTCAGAACAGAGTGTGGACCCAGCAGCACTGTCCAGCTGCCCTTGGCCCTGTGGTTTCTCTTTGGCCCAGGGCCCTATCCTCAATGACTGTGTGACAACCTCTCAGTCTCTGTGTGGAGAAAAGTGCTTGTGGTTTAGGATCTTGAGGTGCAATTTCCTGAAGACTGAGGAAGAAGAAGAGGGAACAAAGTGCAGCAAGAAAGAGCAGTAGCATTTTTGGGATCAATTTTTATTTGGGCTTCTCACAGTGGTTAGAGCCACTCTGTCTTCAGAACAATCACAGCACAGGAAATGCGTCACTGAGACTGCCCAGAAAAGTCTGACCAGCTGAATCTTATTGCTTAAAATACACATATTCACAATAACTGACAAAGGGTAACGTGCCTCACACAGGAATGTGTTCGCATTTGCAAATCTTCTGACTGGCTGTAGCACCAAACCCTCCACCGACCCCGTCTCATTCACGTGGAAAGCCAGCCTCAGTCACATCTCCCTGGCCCCCTAACGATTCCTTCAGCTCCCTATTAAATCTCTCTCTGAGCAGGGCAGCATCCTGTAGCGGGGGCCAAACTGTGACCTGGGAACCAAGCCCAGCTCCGCAGGTTGCATTTCCGTCTTCTCGTGCCTTTAGGATAGGACGCTGCAGTGAGTCCCACAGTTAACACTTGCCCAGTTCCCCACTCTAACTGGGGAAAGGAACTTGAGAGGCTCAGAACTCATCCATTTGATCTGTTAACTGAAAAAGGATTCATTTTGGTAAAACTTGTTCGCCTTTGAGACACTTCAGTGAGTTATTTGGGATTCTTAAAAAATAAAAAAAGGTGGAAGGAAAGGCATCTGAGGGGCTGTGACACACTCCGGCTACCTCTGGCCACACGCCAGCTTGCTTGTGCCTGTTGGACTCACCAGAGGCAGGCAGGCCCTGCGGCTCCTCTAGAGCCTGCAAAGCCTCCTCCTGGCAATTCTGGGCAGGGCCGATGTCTGGGCCACAGCTAGTCCAAGCCTGTCATTGAAGACCCAGTCAAGCTTCTGTCTGAAATTCCACCTTCTTCTGTCCCAAGTGGTTGTGGACACCCCCGGGCGCTGGTACTGAGGACCAGCAGCAGCCGAGGGAGGCAGACAGGCTCAGAGCACGCTTCCATTTATAGGGAACAGAACGCAGGCCTCCGAGTGTCCACGGAGCAATGTGCAAATCGCAGTGATGAGTAGAGTAAAACCTCTACTTCGAGCACAGTATCTCTGGCAAACACAGGGGACTGCAGTCGACAATGCTGCGGAGTACACCCGAGTACACAGTCAGACATTTGTTCGGTAAACAGTAAATGCGTAAGATCAATGACCTTGAGAGGCCTGTCTGTGCTCCAGACGTGTGGTTCACGTGGAGAGAATGGCTGCCACTCAAAGTATCTTCACAGGAAAACAGGGCTTGAGGCACACACACAACAGACAGACACACACGGCTCACCCAAAAAGTCACTGTGTACGGACTTAACTTTGTTCAACATGGATTTTGGTTTTGTGGAATCTAAATGCAGACACTCGTTTACCTCACACCCTTGGATTTGTCTGTTTTTGGACATATATATATATATTTTGTTTGTTTCTTTCTTTCTTCCATAACATCAATGCTTCGTCTGAATATCATCATCGTTCAAGAGTTGGGGGAAGAAAGACTTCATATGCACAGGGCCGGGTGGGGAATGTTTGTTTTGGCTGTTTGCTGCCTCCATTCAGATTTTCCTATCGCAGCTCAGCTGGTGACCTGAAGGCGAGCAACAGGCACAAGGGTCCCCAGGGCCTTCCGGATGGCTGCTTTCACCTCCTGCCTGGGCCACCGAGTCTCTACACAGAAAAATGAGTCACCCGACTCAAAAGGGGTGGGGGTAGAGGCAGGGACAAGGCATGAAAACCACAGATAACCAAGGTGTTTCTTCCAAGTGGTCAGTTTAAAACAAACAACTGCCACCAAAAAAAAAAAAAAAACCCCACAAAAAATATTTATTCAGAATCAAAGATAAAATACTGTGTGAGAGCCAGGCTACAGGGGCCCTTTCTCTGGGGCCATCGCTTCCTCAGTCCGCTGTCTGTTTCCTCATACGGAACAGTGAGACTTGAAGGCCCGCAGGGTGTGTGCTTGCGATGCAGGCTGACACGGGTCACCTGTGAACACAGACCAAAGGGCAGAGAGGCAGAGAGCTGCACCTCTATCCACTGCTGCGGCTTAGGGCCTCCTGCTCACAGAGGTTCCAAGACAGCCGCCACCCCAGCCTTCACACGAGACATCTTCTGGCTCAACAGCAGGCAGGCTCTTTGAAGGCCAACTTGGGAAAGAGCCACAAACGTCATTTTCCAGAAGAGAATTCTTGCCTGCCCACCGGTGAAGTTCTTGTTTTCAGCTGTCTTTTGCTGTTTGTTTTTAGAGAAAAAAACAAACAAACAAAGAAAAGGCAGTATAACCTTTCACACCAGAACCAGCCTGCGGCCAGCCAGAGCCTGCGGGGAAGAGGCCCCTCAAGGACGCATGGGGTGCATAGATCTTGTCACCTGGAATTTGACAGATCAACAAGCCCCTACCAACCTATCATACAACGGCCCAGTAGCTCTCATCCTCCCACAGGATTAGCTCAATGCTGGCTTGGCAGACACTGGCAGCCCAATGACAAGCCCTGGGCCTCTGTGGGTTTCCTTCTTCATCCAGGGCCAAGATGGGCTGCCTCTCCTGGACTGAGATACAGCAACGTTCTCTTAAACTAGAATCAGAGCACAAACCTATTCCATCACCAAGAATCATGTCAGGGCACAGTCCCAGCCTCCTTCCTTGGGGGCTTTTAAAACACATCTCTCTGACCCAAACAGGTAGGTGAGATTTGACTTTAAAGAAAGGAGATGGAGTTAGGGTATGAGGAATGAGTCACAGAACCAACTTAGCCCTCCACAACACTGTGCCCTTGTGGAGGAAGAGGCATCCACACCCCGAACTGTACCTGGAGATGGAGGAAAATGCAGGAGAGGAGAAGGAAAACAAACAAAAAGGAACCAAGTGGCTGTACTCTGAAAGTCTTTGAAAGTCACTTAATGCTTCTCTCGTGGTTCTCCCCTACCCTGGTTGCTTTGCCAAGTTGCTGGGTGCTGGCAGGACCTGCTCTAGCTGGGGGAGCTGCTGCTCTGGGAGTTGGGAGAGTCCTGCTCGTTGATGGTGTTCAGCAGCAGGCATGCGGGCGGCCGTGGCAGGTGCGGGTGCCCAGGCTCTCGAGCCTGCTCCTCAGAGGACTGACAGAGGCCTTCCTCCTCATCACCAGGGGGCCGCACATGGCAGCTGTCGCAGAAGTCCAGGGGCCCATCCAGAGCATCATCGATGAGTGTGTTGAACTCTTTGAGGTCATCGTCATGGTGGCCCCGGTTGCACACACACACTTCAATGCCCGAGTCACCTGTGAAGCGGCGATGTCTCCCAGGCGTCTTCTCTTTGCTGTCGGGTGCGCCGTGTTCAGAGCTGTCATCTTTCAGCAGCTCCTCCCTACATTCTGCATCTTTGTCCAGGAAGGCCCCCGGGTCCAGCTCCCCCAGGCCAGCCACAGAGCCACTGGGCTCCATCCCTGGGGCTTTGGTGGCTGCTCGGTCAACTGGTAGGTCAGAGGGATCAGGGTCAGCGATGCTTGGGGGTCTTGTGCTGCTTCTGCTGGGCTCAGACAAGGGGCTGCTCTGTGCCCCCTGGGATCCCCTGGTGGGATCGATGCCCGGGGGACTGCCACCTGCAGGGCCACACTGTGGAGGCAGCAGCTGCTGCTGCTGTAGCTGGAAGGCACTGTATGGTGGGGGAGGAGTTGGAGGTCGGTTCACCACTTCCTCATAAGGAGGTAGTAAATAGTTTGGCAAAAACCCTAAAATGGGGAGGTAGGAAGGAGAAATTACTGCACTGGTCATTGTTCTAGGCAGACTGCAAAGCTCCCACTGAATATTTGCATTGTCTCTTCCCACCCCAGAGCACCCAACAAGTGATGGCTACAGCTCTTGGTTGTGAGCAGAGGAGAGACAGCTGCGAGCAATTCTGCAGAGAGAGAGGGGCAGTTTGGGAAGGGCCTAACCTAGCTTCTTGAAATCTGAGAGCCCCTAAAGCTGCTTCGTAGGCAAGGACTTCACGCCTGTTGGGAGTTAAGGCAGAGAATTAGGCAAACGTGGTAGATGGCCAAAAAATAACTTCTGCCTGGAATGGACCCACTTCCACATGCACACAAGTCTCATGTTCTTGCTTAGAGTGTGTCCTTCATCCAAGTCCCACAGGCCTCAGGGCCAGGGTCCCTAACTTCAGACTTCTTAACTACTTTTCTTCCTCCTAACCTTCCAAATGCACTATGTAGGGTCTTTTGCTAGGGGGTTAGAAATCTCTGTTGTCTCTACTGTGGCTGGAGGTGGTCTGGAAACACAAACCAAGCTTCACCTTGACTCAGATCAGGAGCAGATGGGTGACCGGCAAAGGGTAAGGGGCCTCTGCCATCCAAGGCTTATTAAAAACATGCTAGGTGAGTTATCTTTTGAATGTGCTGAATGCCTTATGACACAGATAATTTAATTATAATATAACATTACTAACATTTATTGAGCACTTACTATATGCCAGGCACTGTGCTAAGCACTTAACCCCTCTAGATGTGGAACTGAAATAATGGTGGGTCACAGTGGCTTACGCCTGTAATCTCAGCACTGTGGGAAGCCGAGGCGGGCAGATCACTTGAGCTCAGGAGTTTGAGAACAGCCTGACCAACATGGTAAAACCCCATCTCTACTAAAAATACAAACATTAGCTAGGTGTGATGGCATGGTCTTGTAGTCCCAGCTACTTGGGAAGCTCAGGCACAAGAATCACTTGAACCCCAGAGGAGGAGGTTGCAGTGAGCCAAGATCACGCCACTGCAGTCAAGCCTGGGTGACAGAGCGAGATTCTGTCTTAAAAAGAAAAAAAGAAACAATTGTAAAGAAACAATTGTGAAAGTTTATTTTGTAGAATACACTGTAGACTGGCTTTGGAAAACTGGCACAGCTGGGCCTCCACTGACCATATGAGAGGTCACATGTAAGGAGCCCCAGGGAAGTCCGGGAAGTGCTCTTCAGAGAGTCACTAAGTTTCTTGGTGCTCAGAAGTCCCAATGCCACCCCCCAACCCGCCCCTTTCATGGCAGCCTCTGCTCAGGCATATCACACAGAAATAAGCAAAATGGGAGGAATTCAGGCCAATGAACCCCAAGTCTCAATTCACTCACGTTATAACTGACTCCTGACCTCAAATGATCTGCCCGCCTCGGCCTCCCAAAGTGCTGAGCCACCGAGCCCGGTGTGAGCCACTGAGCCCGGCCCACAATTGTTTCAATTCCACATCTAGAAGGACTAGGTGCTTAGCACAGTACCTGGCATATAGTAAGTGCTCAATAAATGTTAATAATTATTGTTCTATTATCTGACTATCTGCCATTAAAGAGAGAGAGAGAGATGGATGAATGAAGGGAGGGAGGGAAGAAGGAAGGGAAAGAAAGGAAGGGTAAGAAAGAGAAAGGAAAAGAAAGAGGAAGGGGAGGGGAGGGGAGGGAAAGGAAAAGAGGGGAGGGAAGGGGAGGGCAGGGGCACGGTGGCTCACGCCTGTAATCCCAGCACTTTGGGAGGCCGAGACGAGCAGATCACTTGAGGTCAGGAGTTCGAGGCCAGCCTGACCAACATGGAGAAACCCTGTCTCTACTAAAAACACAAAAATTAGCTGGGTGTGGTGGTGCATGCCTGTAATCCCAGCTACTTTGGAGGCTGAGGCGGGAGAATCGCTTGAACCTGGAAAGCAGAGGTTGCAGTGAGCCAAGATTGCGCCACTGCACTCCAGCCTGGGCAACAAGAGAGAAACTCCATCTCAAAAAAAAAAAAAAAAAAAGAAATAGAGAGAGAGAGAGGGAGGGAGGATGGATGGAAGGAAGGAAGGAAGGAAGGAAGGAAGGAAGGAAGGAGGGAAGGAAGGAAGGAGGGAAGGAAGGAAGGAAAAGAAGGGAGGGAGGGAGGGATGGAAAGGCAGGCAGGCAGGGAAAGAAAGAAAGAAAGAAAGAGAGAAAGAGGGAGGGAGGAAGGAAGGGAGGGAGGAAGGGAGGAAGTTAGGTAGGTAGGTATGTACGCAGGTGCTAAAGAAGCAGAGATCCAGCCAGAACCCAGCCACTGTGAGCTTTGGAATGGCCCAGTGGCTTCAGGGAACTGCACCCCTAGCACATGCTCCTCTGTGCTGAAGGAGTGTCCCCTTGTTCCTGTACTTTCAAGACCTTGCTCTACGGAGGGGCAGGGAGAGGACAAACCCCCTATGCCTACAGGAGCCTGGCCACCAATATTCAGTGTGAGCCCTGGGTCTGTGCACCTGAGCTCCTGAGGGTGGGTATGGGGGCTTGGGTGTACGTACTGAAATAAAATGGCAGCGCTGAGTAATTGTGGGCTTCTCGGTAAGCGATCAGGTTGATTTCATGTTGCCGCTGCTGGGCCTGAAGGCGGTGCTTGGCTCGGCGGTGGTGGCAAACACAGCAGCAGCTCAGGATGATGATGATGGTCCACACCAGCCAGAACCCTGGGGGGTGGGCAAGGCAAGACAGAGAGGCACACAGTGAGTACCAGCCAGAGGGGCAGCTTGCGGAACAGGGAGGTCCCTGGACGGTGCCCACGTGGTTGAAGCTGGCATGGCTGGGCCTCACCCAGTTAATTTACATTGAAGCCATGTGATCAATTTCCATAAATGCTTGTGCCAGAGTGAAAGACACATGGGATAGAAGTGGGCAGGAATGTAAGAATGATGACAACAGGCCGGGCGTGGTGGCTCATGCCTGTAATCCCAGGCCAAGATGGGTGGATCACTTGAGGTCAGGAGTTCGAGACCAGCCTGGCCAACATGGTGAAACCCCCATCTCTACTAAAAATACAAAAATCAGCCAGGTATGGTGGCAGGCGCCTGTAATCCCAGCTACTCAGGAGGCTGAGGCACGAGAATCACTTAAAACCAGGAGATAGAGGTTGTAGTGAGCCAAGATTGCGCCACTGCACTCCAGCCTGGGCGACAGAGCAAGACTCTGTCTCAAAAAAAAGAATGGCTGGGTGCAGTGGCTCATGCCTGTAATCCCAGCATTTTGGGAGGCCGAGGCGTGCAGATCACCTGAGGTCAGGAGTTCAAGACCAGCCTGGCCAACATGGTGAAACCCTGTCTCTACTAAAAATACAAAAATTAGCCAGGCGTGATGGCATGCACCTATAATCCCAGCTACTCAGGAGGCTGAGGCAGGAGAATTGCTTGAACCCAGGAGGCGGAGGCTGCAGTGAGCCGAGATTGCACCATTGCACTCCAGCCTGGGTGAGCAAGACACCGTCACAAAACAAAACAAAACAAAACAGAATGATGACAGCAAAGCAGGTCTCTCACTCCAGGACGCCTCCAGCACCTTGGGGGAAGGCACAAGTGCCAAGGCATCTCTCCAGCACCACTGATGGGTCCCCCCGTATTATAGGTTTTGTGAGCATTAAATATGCAGACCTTCTGGGATGGTCTCCTCCTCCTCTCTTAAGAGATTTCTGAGAAAATGCTTCACTTTCTTAGTGCCCATCTCCCCTCCCCCGCAACTCAGAAGATCAGCACTTGCAAGGGGCCTCAGAGGGGCCCCCTGACAAAAGAAGTCTTATGATTCTCCTGATAGCATCAAAAAAATCAGGTGCTTTTCTCTATCATGTATGCCTCTGTAATACAAGAATCACTAAAGTTAGAGGTGGAAAAATTCTAATTGCCTCAGGTCCATCTCCTCCCTAGAGAGTGTAAATGATTTCCTCTGCTCTCGACATAATCCTAATCGGGTACAATTCCATCTCCCACTGCCACAATCAACTCTCCCTCCCTTTGGCCTGCCCTTGCAGTAGATGCAGGGCCATTAGCAGCCGCTTCTTCCTCCCTGCTCCAGGGAAGGGTGGCGGAACAGAGGCCAAGCCCCACAGCTCTTTACTTCCCTCTGTGCTGTCTCTGGGATCATACTCAGAGAATCTCAGCAAACCCCAATATAAGACCTCCTCTCCAATTTTTAAATGTGTGGCACAAAAGGCTTTTAAATTTTTTTTTTAATTAATGAGGAATTTTGCTTTTCACATAACACACATACACATATACGCACGAGGGGGAAAGAACTGAAAGGAAAACAAAAATAATGACATCTTTAAATGACAGAATAAGAAATTTAAATTTTCTTCTTTTGATTATTTTCTTTCAAAATATAAAACTAGAAACAAATTAATTTTCTTTTTTTCTGAGACAGGGTCTTGCTCTGTCACCCAGGATGGAGTACAGTGGTGCGATCACAGCTCAACCGAAGCCTCAACCTTCTGGGCGCAAGCTGTCCTCCCACCTCCACCTTCTGAGTAGCTGGGACTACAAGCATATGCCACCATGCCTGGCTTTCTCCCTGTGTTGCCCAGGCTGGTCTTGAACCCTGGGCTCAAGAGATCCTCACGTCTCAGCCTCCCAAAGTGCTAGGATTACAGGTGTGAGCCACCGCGCCCGGCCAAAACAAATTAAATTTTAAAAATATCTATGACTAATTTTACTTTGGCTAGCTTTTTTTTTTTAATCAATAATTTCTGGGTAGGTTTTTAAATTCCTCTAGGAATATGGCTATACAATGAAATAATATGAATCATTAAAAAATTACTCACATAATATTATTTTTGACATACAAAGAGTTTCTGATATTAAATGAAAAAAAGCAGATGACAAAATAAAATATGATCCTAACTTTTGCTTAAAAAAAGTACGTATGGCTGGGCGCAGGGGCTCACACCCTGTAATCCCAGCACTTTGGGAGGCCAAGGTGGGCGGATCACGACATCAAGAGATCGAGACCATCCTGGCCAACATGGTGAAACCCCATCTCTACTAAAAATAAATACAAAAATTAGCTGGGCATGGTGGCACACACCTATAGTCCCAGCTACTTGGGAGGCTGAGAATCGCTTGAACCCAGGAGGGGAGGTTGCAGTGAGCTGAGATCACGCCACTGCACTCCAGCCTGGCAACCGAGTGAGATTCAGTCTTAAAAAAAAAAGTATATATGGACAGAAAAAGGAGGGGTATGGTCAGGAAGCTCTAACCATGGGGTAACTCTGGATGACAGACAGTACCTGCTCCTTTGTTCTATTTCCTAATTTTTCTAAGATGGACATGTGCTTCTCTGTAGTAAAAAGAATATTTTTTTCTCAACTAAAAATGTATCAAAGGAATAATTTTAAGATGAGTTGTTACTAAATGAGAATAGATAATATTGTTTGTTCTCTATTCTTGAAAAACTTCCATTGTTTTCCATTCCAAATGCTATGTGTATTTTTTATCATCTGCTTTGTAATTATAAATTTGTGTTTAAAATTTTAAAAGTAGTTCCACATGTATCTCTTGTCAGAATGAGTTAAATCAAGTTAACCTTGTTTAAAAAAAGAAAAAAATGCCTCCCTCCCCCACAAAACAGACTTGTAAAAATGAATAAATCCTTGATGTTTTTCCCCCTTATTTGTATATACACAATTTTCCAAAAGATCCCTTGGCATTTAGGGTGTGGCATCTGGCGACAGCTCTTTCTCTGTCCCCCTGGAATGCCCCCATTGAATCTCCTCACAAAGCTGCCCTCCACCAAGTGGGGCAGGACAGTGACATGCCCCCCAGCCCCGGCAGGCTGGCAGTACCATTCCACGGCACTTAATTGCTTTCAGTGGGTATCGCTGTTCAACCAAAGCTTCATGCTGCAGCCTTGCAGCAAGAGAACAGACAGAGGATTTTTTTCCCTGTTACCCATCAGCAGACAGGAAAATCCATTCCTAACCAGAGACCATAAAGTGAACTTAGCAGTCTCCTTTTTGGTCTTTCCCGGTTCACTAGTCAAACTTGCTTAACTTATGTTTCTTTCTTTATGAATTCTGGCTGACTTAAGAGTAGACACTGGCAGAGGAACCCTTGCAGAAGGGTGGAGAGGCTGGAAAGGAGTTATGGAGGTGAAACTGGCTACAGATGCAGTTTGATAACATCTCCTAGGGTTGTTGGGGTGGACACTCTGCTTAAGAACCTGGCTGCATGTGTATTTCGGAGTCAAGTCTAAATTATTCTGGGCTGACAACCATTTTGTATTACCTATACTTCTCTTACTTTCTCAGTGTAATCTCACAGTCCATTATACTTCTGTGTTACTTTATAACTTTTTTTTTTTTTACTTTATTGTTATTTATTTATTTTTTGAGACAGGGTCTCATTCTGTCGCTTAGGCTGGAGTGGCAAGGGAACTCAGCTCACTGCAACCTCCGCCTCCCAGGCTCACGTGATTCTTGTGCCTCAGCCTCCTCAGCAGCTGCAACTACAGGTGCGTGCCACTACACCCATCTAATTGGTTTTTTTTTTTTTGTATTTTTAGTAGAGACAGGGTTTCACCATGTTGGCCAGGCTGGTCTCAAAATCCTGAGCTCAAGTGATCCGCCCGCCTCAGCCTCCCAAAGTGCTGGGATTACAGGTGTGAGCCACCGTGCCAGGCCAATTTTTTTTAACTTATTTTTAAGAGACAAGGTCTCACTGTCACCCAGGGTAGAGTGCAGTGGTGTGAACGCAGCTCACTGCAGCCTTGATCTCCTGGGCTCAGGTGATCCTCCCGCTCTGGCCTCCTGAGTAGCTGGGACTACGGGCATGCACCACCACACCCCACTAATTTTGTTGTTGTTGTTGTTGAGATGAGGTCTCACAAGGTTGCCCAGGCTGGTCTCAAACAAACTCTGGTCTCAAGCAATCCCCCTGCCTCAGCCTCCCAAAGTGCTGGGATTACAGGTGTGAAATACCAGAGATGGCCAAACTTTAAAATTTTAAAAGTACATTCTCCCGTTAGGTAATCAGCATCTGCTTGGCGCAGTGGCTCACAACTAAAATCCTAGCTACTTGGGAGGCTGAGATGAGAGGATTGCTTCTTGTGAGGTCAGCCTGGGTAACACAGCGAGATCCCATCTCTAAAAAAAAAAAAGATAGCCAGCATCTAACTCTACTAGTTTTTTACCTGGCCACCAGTCATTTTTTCAATAGTTCTCTACCTAAAGGTAAACCAACTTCTAACTTTTATACTGCAATATATATGATCTATTTCACAGCTTTTACAATTTTTTAAAAAATTTAATTAAAATAAATTTTTGAGACAGGTATTACTCTGTCACCCAGGCTGGAGTACAGTAGAGACCAGAACTCACTACAGCCTCCAACTCCTGGGCTCAAGGAGCCCACTTTAGCCTCTCTAGTAGCTAGGACTACAGGTGCACACCACACCTGGCTAATTTTTAAATTTTTTGTAGATATAGGGGGGTGGTCTCACTTTGTTGCCCAGGCTGCTCTCAAACTCCTGGCTTCAAGTAATCCTCCCACCTTGGCTCCCAAAGTGCTAGGATTACAGGTATGAGCCACCACACCTGGCCAACATGGTTGTTTTTGTTTTGTTTTGTTTTGTTTTGTTTTCCCCGTTTTAAAGAAAATCTCATGCATTGGTTTTCATGTTTGCCAAGTATTTCTGCTTCTTCTCCTTCTAGGCATGTGGGTAGGCTTGAACTTCCTGACCCCCTTGTGACTGGGTGAGGCTTTGGGACTAAGTCTAACTAATGAATTGAGATTGGATGTGATATATGTCACTTAGAGGCCAAAATGTGTCTTGCTAATATGAGACCCTCCATTAGTCTTCCTTCTGTTTTGGCAACTGGCAACATCCCAGATGGTGATTTCACATCAGTCTGGGTCCCAGAGGATGGTGAAGTGGAAACAAAACTCTCATCCAACCTTCGATGGACACACAGTGTGAGTGAGGAATAAACCTGCTGTTTTTAGGTCACTAGGATTTTGGACTTGCTTGTTCCTGTGGCACAACTTAGCCTATCCTGACTACTGCAGTGTGATTACAAGTTTTTCTTGGGGAGAGAATTTAAAGTGTTCATCAGATTTTTAAAGGAATCCTTGATCCAGAAAAAGGCTAGATTCACTGAACCAGAAGTATAATTTTTTTTTTAAAAAAAAAAGGGCTTTTTTTTTTTTTTTTTTGAGACAGGGTCTTGCTCTGTCACCCAGGCTGGAGTGGAGTGGTGTGATCTCGGCTCACTGCAACCTCCGCCTCTCGGGTTCAAACGAATCTCCTGCCTCAGCCTCCCAAGTAGCTGGAACTACAGGCATGCACCACCACACCCAGCTAATTTTGTATTTTTAGTGGAGATGGCATTTCACCATGTTGGCCAGGCTGGTCTCGAACTCCTGACCTCAAGTGATCCACCCACCTCAGCCTCCCAAAGTGCTGGGATTACAGGTGTGAGTCACCACACCTGGCCAACTTAGGAAAAATTTTAATCTTTTAGCTAGATTTCAAAACCAAGGAAGAAAGTTCATTTTTACATTTTTTACTTTTTTTTATGGAGTGCTTCACAAATTTGCCTGCTATCCTTGGCCGGGGCCACACTAATCTCAGTATCATTCCAATTTTAGTATAGGTGCTGCTGAAGTAAGCACAAAGAAGAAAACTTTAAAAAAAAGGAAAACCTGGCTGGGCGCGGTGGCTCAAGGCTAGAATCCCAGCACTTTGGGAGGACAAGGCGGGCGAATCACGAGGAGACCATCCTAGCTAACACAGTGAAACCTCGTCTCCACTAAAAATACAAAAAATTAGCTGGGCGTAGTGGCAGGCACCTATAGTCCCAGCCACTCGGGAGGCTGAGGCAGGAGAATGGCGTGAACCTGGGAGGCGGAGCTTGCAGTGAGCCAAGATAGCGCCACTGCACTCCAGCCTGGGCAACAGACAGAGCAAGACCCTGCCTCCAAAAAAAAAAAAAAGGAAAACCCAACAAAAGACACACCAGAGACAGAAATATGACCCTCCTTTCCCCAACAAACACACACCTACCAAGAGACTACATTCCTCAAAGACAAGTTTTGAAAATTGTGAGTTCACTGTGGGGTGCATTTGTCATGCTAAGCAAAATGGAAAACATGTTTTTAAAAACAATCACAGTCCAGTGTAGGAACTGAGTCATGTGCCCCATGACTACACTACAAACCCCAAGAGTTCACTACAAACTTGGGAAAACACCACTCTTCAACTGGCAGGAAATTCCCCATTAGGAGGCTCAAGCATACTGTAAGTGAGCTCTCCTCCCATCCTGCAGGACGGTGGGTGACTGGCTCCCCTGGCCCTTCCTTGCTCTCAGCAAGAGCTCCTGCCACTGCCACAGTGGAAAAGGCCTGAATTTGGGAAATGAAGACGTCAGAGACTCGCAACTTCTTCTGAAAGCCCAGCCAACTTTCCTACAAGCATGACTGCAGACGTGGAAGAGAAAAGGCAGATGGCCTGGGTTCAAAGCCCAGCTTAAAAACACATATTCTAGCTTTGTGACCTTGGTCATTTTGGTTTTACTTCCCTCATCTGTAAAACGGGGAGAATAAAGGTCTCTAACTTATCTGGTCACTGTGAGGACTAAATGAGTTAATATATGTAGTATACGCAGAACTATGCCTGATGTATGGTAAGTTCTTAGTGTGTTTATTGTTGTTGTTACAGGCTTAACCATAGATGGGCAGGGTTTCCTTTAAAATTTCCTTTCAATTTCCCTTTTAACCCCCAAAAAGTATTCCATAAAGAAACACAGGGCCCAGTGTGGTGGCTCATGCCTGTAATCCCAGCACTTTGGGAGGCTGAGGCAGGTGGATCACTTGAGGTCAGAATTTGGAGACCAGCCTGGCCAACATGGTGAAACCCCATCTCTACTAAAAATACAAAAATTAGCTGGGCATGCTGGCGCACACCTGTAATTCCAGCTATTTGGGAGGCTGAGGTGGGAGAATCGCTTGGACCTGGGAAGCGAGATCATGCCACTGCACTTCAGCCTGGGCGAGGGAGTGAGACGCTGTCTCAAGAAAGAAAAGGAAAAAAGAAACACAGGTTAGGAACAAGTCCAAAGTCTGCTTTTAGGTTCTGTTCTTGGCACTGGAAATTCAATCAACTCCTATTTACTGAGCTCTTGCTAACAATGGGTATCTTAAGACAAACTAAAAACAAAACAAAAAAAAACGGCAGGTAAAAAACGAAGCTTGGGCAACATGGCGAAACCTTATCTCTACAAAAAAATACAAAAATTAGATGGGCATGGTGGCACATACTCATAGTCCCAGCTACTTAAGTGGCTGAGGCAGGAGGATCCCTTGAGTCCAGGAGGTTAAGGCTGCAGTGACCAAAGATCATACCACTACACTCCAGCCTGGGTGATAGAGTGAAACCTTGTCTCACACACACAAAAAGAGGAAGGAAGGAAGGAAGGAAGGAAGGAAGGAGAAGGTGGAAGGAGGAGGGGGAAGGGGGAAAGGGAAAGGCTGGGGGAAGGGTAGGGGAGGGTGGAGGAAGGGGAGGGGAGGGTGGGGGGAAGGGTGGGAAGGTGGGGGAGGGGTGGCAGGGTGGGGGAAGGGTGGGGGTGGGGGGAAGGGTAGGGAAGGGTGGGAGGGAGGGGGGAGGAAAAGTGGGGAGGGAGGGGAGAGGAAGAGTGGAGAGGGAGGGGAGAGAGGAGGAGGGAGATGGGAGGGAGGGAAAGGAAAGAGAGAGAGAAAGAAAAAAAGAGAGAGAATAAAAAATGAAAAACGAGTTGGGCAGCACTGACAGGATTTGCTAATAGCCTGTTTTGTGTCACTTCAGGGAAATTCCACTGTCCAGAAACATACCCCTCTCCCTCCTAAAGCCCAAACCAGGGGAAACTGATGCCTGGGTGAAATTCTCCCAAATGATCTCAAGGGCAGAAATTCCCAACTTTGATCTCTCCCTGGAAAATGTAGCTTGCTGAGTGGAGAGAGCCCCAGGATGAGAACAGGGAGGAGTGGCTTTGGGGTTTGGGCCAATGCACATCCTATCCCCTCCCCGCTGGATTACCTTCTGAAGGTAAGAATTCTGTCTCTCCAGTTTCCAGCCCAGAGGAGGTCACAGCATCAACTAGGAACTTGTTACAATTGCACATTCTCAGGTTTTTAAATTCTCAGTTTTGAATCAAAAGCTCTGGGAGTAGGGCCCAGAAGTGTGTGTTTTCGGTAGCCCTTCAGGAAATTCTGATGCCTGCTAAAGTTCAAGAGCACTGGAATAAGGGTTTGCTGAATGAATAACTGATGGAATGATGAATTAAAGTACAGGTGCCGTAAAAATGCATGGAGATAATACTAACAACGATCAGGTCCTTAATAGCCTCAACTACTGCCCCTATTAAACAGGATCTGCCGTTCTCAACACATGCAGGCCCAATAACTGGTTTGGGTTATGAAACATTGAAAAGACATGTGGGAAAGGTTGCCGGCCAGAGCTCAGGTCTATGTGTGCTTGTGTGTCTGTGTAAACCGTGTGTGTGTGTAAGTATGTGTGTGAGAATTGAGAATTTTCCTCAGCACACAGGAAAATGCAGTTTAGTAGAGGTAAAGGGTGGGTAGAAATGGCATTTTTTCCCGGAGGCCTTTCCTGTAGGCAACTATAGTTAAGGAGTTGCCCTGTCTGATGAAAACTCTGCCAAAGGATTTCCTGGCTGAGGAATTTTCTTTCCAAAGGAAGGTGGGAAGGAAATCAGCCCAAAGCCCGTGACTTTCACACTTCAGGCAAAGTTGAGAGGCAGTTAGAGGGAACAGGGTTGAAAGCAACAAAAAGTGCCATTTTGATGAGAACTTCAGGTGTTTGTTCCAACATCAACCTCCCTCCCATACACACCAGGCAGAAGCCATGACCTCAATAAAGAGGGAGATCGGAGGACTTCCTGAGAAGGGCGTTTTGCTTTTATGTCTCCCATGCCTCCAGAACGTGGAAAACACATGCCAGCTCATTTAACGGGGCACCTTTTCTCTCCGTCTAGACACTGCTCTCTGCTGGGCCTCCTTTCCTAAACGCCCGTAGCTAGAGAGACACTTAGCCGTTCATGCAGCTCTTTCTCTGACTTTCTTTAAGCCCTTGGGGTGAGGCACCTGCTTTCCCAGACTACCTCCTTGCCCTCTGGGTCTCCCTGTCCCCACCACTCCACCCCCCTGCCCTGGCTTTGGTGACCCAATTCAGGTGGCTCCTGAGTCGGCTCTGCCAAAAGCCCAGGAGGCTCTGTCAATCTGAGACGGGGCCATGAGCAACTTCGTTCCTTTTCACAACTGATGCCGCCTGGCCAGGACCCAGAAAAACAAACTACAGCTCTGTGGCTTTTTGGCAGCCCAGCTTCAACTTTTGTTTTAACAAAGGGTGGGAAGGAGAATTTGAACCCTGTGGTTATCTGCATTTTAAAACATTTAAACAGAGTCTGTCTACCTGCTTGGCACTGTGTGTCCTCTAGTAAGTTTCTCAGCCCCACCCCTTCTAAAATAGCAACAATGACTGTGCCCTCCTTCACTGCTGCTTATATATCTGCAGGTCTGGTGGGGACATCTTGAGCCTTGTGCTCTCCTGCACTGGACTGCTCCTGGAATTCCTCAGAAAGGCAGATGAGCCCGTCCTCAGTCCTCAAAAGGGAAAAGCGAGGGTGAGGGAGAGGTCTTGTTTGGAGGAACCACTCCTGTTGGCTACAAATACAACTGCATTTCAGATGGACAGACCTCCCAGCCAAGAGTCTAATTTCCTTTCTGGACCAAACAATAGTCCTTCTGGCTGCTTTCTTGCCATATCACTGACACAGGGGTTGATGGGGGGGATGAGAAAGGGGAAAGGCGCAGATAGGATGGTGGGGGCAAGGTCATGGTTTGACAAACCCGAAGTCTGTTTCCAAATGGAGGCAGTGATGAGGGCTTAGAATCATCTGGGGAAACCGCCTGCAGTCTCCTTTCTCAAGAGACAATTGTAAGAACTACGGCAATGTCAGTCACCTGGGGCCTCGCTGTCCTAAGCACCACCCCCCCAACACCCTCTCATTCTTTGTCCAGCATCCTACACTGTCTCGTCTGAGTTCCAGGAAGGTCAGAGTACAAAGAGTGTCAGTTGAAGCAACCTTGGGTCACTCCCTGAAGACCCTAACACCATCACCACTGTCGTGCAACTTGAAGAAGCAAGTGGTTCTGGCTTCAGTCAAACCAGTGGCAAGACAAAGATGGTTTCCACATGGCATTTTTCTTTTTTTTTTTTTAGATGGAGCCTCGCTCTGTTGCCCAGGCTGGAGTGCAGTGGCGCAACCTCGGCTCACTGCAACCTCCGCCTCCCGGGTTCAAGTGATTCTCCTGCCTCAGCCTCCTGAGTAGCTGGGACTGCAGGCACACACCACCATGCCCAGATAATTTTTGTATTTTTAGTAGAGAGGGGGTTTCACCATGTTAGCCAGGCTGGTATTGAACTCTTGGGCTCAAGTGATCCACATGCCTTGGCCTCCCAGGGTGCTGGGATTATAAGCGTGAGCTACTGTGCCCAGCCTCCACATGGGATTTAGCTGACAGTAAAAGGTTAGGTACACTGGAGAATCCTCCAGGAACTTCCATGTGAGAACTGGGTAAGAAATAAAAGGAGCTGAGCCTCAAGACTCCCTTTCTCCAGAAGGTCCTCTATAGGCAAGGACCTAGGGAAAGACTGTTCCTTTCCGAAGGACCCTCAGAAACAGAGGCACTCCATGAGGTTCTATGGGAAATTCTGGAAGCCCCTGTGGTCCTTACAAGAAAATGGCATAGTGACCATCTAGAGTGGCCTGGCATTCATAGTAGCTTGGCTTGCAACCTCTCTCTGCAAAAACAGCAAGCCAGCCAGGTGTGGTGGCTCACGCCTCTAATCCCAGCACTTTGGGAAGCCAAGGCGGGCAGATCACGAGGTCAACAGATCGAGACCATCTTGGCCAATACGGTGAAACCCCATCTCTCCTAAAAATACAAAAATTAGTTGGGCATGGTGGTGCACACCTGTAGTACCAGCTACTCAGGAGGCTGAGGGAGGAGAATCAGTTGAACTCGGGAGGCAGAGGCTGCAATGAGCTGAGGTTGCGCCTGCACTCCAGCCTGGTGACAGAGCGAGACTCCGTCAAAAAAAAAAAGAAAGGCAAACCTGGGCTTCTGGGAGGGCCCAAGGAAGCATCTAAGTTGTTGTCAGCTGCTCAGCACACAATGGAGAGGGCAGCCAGGAGAACCTCAGGCAAGAGCTTCTGCAGCAGACCTGGCTAAGACCATATTCTCTAGTCTTCAGCTAACAAAGTCCAAAGAGCACCAGAACTCTCTTCCTCTACAAAGGAAGCACTTCTGGAACCCATAAACAGATTCCACTCACCAACACTGTCCCCAAGAGAATCCGAAAAGGGCTAATGCCCAGAGTTTCCCACTAAGCAGAGGCAGTAACTGGGACCCTGGGATACTGAGAGGCACCCAAGCAAGGACTTACACCAGAGTTCATAGTAGTAGTTGCAGCACTGAGACTGTCCACAGCAGTGTCCTGTGTCACAGATGTAGCTTTGATTGTTGGTACCCACACAGGCTTCCTTATCCTAAAAAATTAAAAAAGCATGTTAGCATATTAAATGACAGCTTTTGAACACTTTCCTTCTCATCATTGTCCTCCTGGTTGTCTATTCACCAGCCCCCAAAACAGTTTGTATCAATGTTTATTCCATTAAGAAAATCAACTTTGGCCAGGCGCGGTGGCTCACACCTGTATTGCCAGCACTTTGGGAGGCCGAGGCAGGCAGATCGCGAGGTCAGGAGTTCGAGACCAGCCTGACCAACATGATGAAATCCCGTCTCTACTAAAAATATAAAAATTAGCCAGGCGTGGTGGTGCGCGCCTGTAATCCCAGCTACTCAGGAGGTTGAGGCAGGAAAATCGCTTGAACAAGAGAGGCAGAGATTGCAGTGAGCCAAGATCACGCCACTGCACTCCAGCCTGGGCGACAGAGCGAGACTCCATCTCAAAAATAAAAAATAAAAAAGACAAACAAACAAAAAAAACTTTAAAAGATTTACACAACAACAACAGAGTTTAGGGGAAAAAATATGGTTTATTAAAGAGGAGAGGAGATTCAGGACACAAAAGCAATTGGCAGAGTGAAGTTTTCCTCAGACAGGACAGGCAAGGGCTGCCTCACTTTAGGTCCAAGTAGAAACATTTCATGTTCCGGTGCTAACCTCAGCCGGTAGGAGGGTGATGATTCCCTGGTAATTAGCAGTACATTTTAAATAAAACTGGCTTTTCTGTGAAACTTCCTGGAATAATTAAAGCGGTATGTATTCTAGGATTAGCATCTGCTCAGTTATTCCATTCTTCTTTTTAAAACACTTTCTCTCCAAGGTTAATTCACAGTGTGATCCTAAAGAGGGCAACAACAAAAAAAATCTACAACTGAAATTCTTTACTTTTCAATAAAGGGCCGAACTGCTCAGATAACCCAGTCTAATTTCAATCTGCTAGATCATTTTTGCTTATTGAAAAAGAATCCTGACTGGATCCAGGATTCATACTGTCCCTTGTCAGGGACACTCACATAAAGGGCACTACTGAGTGGCCATCTAGCTGTCTGCCAAATTCTGTCCACAGCACTGGTGGATGAGGATGGAGGGGAACTTTAAAAAAAAGTTTCACATGTAAGATATAAAATACCTCCCAGACCAACGTTAACCTCAGCCCAAAATGTACTTGGGGCCACTATGCAGATGACGAAACCTGTAAGGCATCTGCTATATGTGGCCTTCAACATTTCTTCATTCTAAACAATAACACAGTCACTTACTGGACGCTGTCTTTGTGCCAAGCATTGTGTTGGGTTCAAGGGATACAAAGATGAATAAGACATTGTCCTTATCCCCAAGAAGCTCAGAGTTAAGAAGGAAAAAAGCCCTGCTCAGCAAATAAACTAAAGCCACAGTATTTGCGGCAACTCAGGCTGGCCCTGCCCACAGTGCACATCCGGCGGACAGCTGCCAGTGGAAACTGAAGTCACATGGTCGGCTCCTCCTCTCTGGGCCATGCTTTACTACACTGTCTACTTGGCCAAGGGTATACACCAGGCACTCCAGTGACTGTCTACAGGGCTAGAGGCTGGGCAGAAACAGGACTGGCACCTGAAGCCACACGGAGAGGACAAGAGAAAGCACAGGACTGAAAACCAGTTCCCCGGCTTAGTGCACGTTTCCACCATAAATCTTTAGGTGTTTCTTGGTCTTAAAAACTTTACATTCTGATATGACAGTTTAGAAAGAAGGAAACGAGAAATTCATAAACCCTGACAATGAGGCCCTCACAACATTGCACGCAGAGTTCCTTCTATGTGCTCCTTCCCCCGCCGCCCCACCACCACCCTCCCATGTCCACCATAAGCAAAATGAGACACTGGCTATCAAGTTGGATTTCTCATACCATCTACTTAATCCTGTACTAAAAGTGAAAAACAGAATGATTTCTACTGGCCATGTATGCCATTCACACCATCATAGCTGAAAAACCATTAAGTTGAACCATCGCAAGTTGTGGACCATCTAAATATCTTGTCCCCTGTACTTCTTCCTCCTTCCGTTTTCACCATCCCATGCCCACCACAAACAAAATGAGACACTGGCTATCTAGTCAACTTCTCCTCTGAAGCCTGGTGCGTGTGGAAAAAGCAGATCTATGCTTGCTACTTTGGCCAGAACACACACTCTTTGACTTCAGAGCAAAACATGCCTTTCATAAAAACATCAGAAAGTTTCTCCCCAGTTTACCAGGCCCTGCGAATGCCATTCTTCCGGCACTGGCTTAAAAGAGCACAGTTCAAAGTGTCCACATAGTTTCTAAAAGAGGCAGTGGTGCCTACACTTGGCACAAGAAAGAATCCAATGACACTTCTGTCTCAGGAAAATTCACCAGAGGCAGCCCAGGCTCGGAACACATGGCTGTCAACTGGTCTTAAGTGAGACATAGAGTGGAATGCATTTGAAATCTAAACAAGTGGCATCCTCATGACCTACTGCTGTCAGTCAGCTTTTCTCTCGGATCTTCTGTGCACCGAGGCAGGGGGCCTGGAATAAACAAGACCTCACTCTGCTTCACCGTTCTGCCTCCGCTTTCCCAGGGAGAGCAGAACAGTGGAAGCATCATTTAATCCAGTGTTCCTCAAACAGTTTTTAACACAGTACGGAAGTTTCTCGGCTTACGATGGGGTCATGTTCTGGTAAACCCATCATAAATTGAAAATATCGTCAGTCAAAAATGCATTTAACACAGTTAATCTACTGAACAGCATAGCTTAGCCTAGCTTACCTTAAACTGCTCGGAACTTACATCAGCCTATGGTTTGGTAAAATCCTCTAACACAAATTATTTTACAATAAAGTATTGAATATCTCATGTCATCTACTTAATACTGTATTAAAAATGAAAAACAAATGATTTCTACTGGCTGCATGTATCAATTGCACCACCATAAAGTTGAAAAATCACTAAGTTGAACCATCACAAGTTGTGGCCATCTATATATCTAGTCCCCTGTGGTCCTTCTCCCTCCTCTAAATACAGAGTCCCTGAGCTGCCTGGGATAGTCTTGGTTATGGGAACTGTCATTTTCTGCTGCAGCGGTACGAAAGAAGGTGTACCTCTAGCAAGGAAGAGGTGAAGGAGGATTCAGGAGATAGTGAGATATGAGTGCCAAAGTGAGTTCCTTCAGAGAGACATGCTGGTGTCAGTCAATAGTGGTATGGAAAACCCAGGAGCCTTGGGTTTGGCCCCAGCTCTCCTCGCACCCCCCTACTTTTTTCTTTTTCACTCAGAGTCTAACTGTTGCCCAGGCTGGAGTAGAGTGGCCTGATCACAGCTAACTGCAGCCTCGACCTCCAGGCTCAACTGATCCTCCTGCCTCAGCCTCCTGAGTAGCTGGGACTACAGGTGCACGCCACCACACCCGGCTAATTTTTGTAGATCCCAGCTCTATCACTACACAGAAATGAACTTTAGGCAAGTTACTCAATGGCCCTAGGTCTGGTTAAGATCACCTGTAATGTCTCCTTAAATTTTCTTTTGTGGGGGTGGGGAGGATGGAGTCTCACTCTGTTGCCCAAGCTGGTATGCAGTGGCGTGATTTTGACTCACTGCAACCTCCACCTCCCGGGTTCAAATGATTCTCCTGCCTCAGCCTCCCGAGTAGCTGGGATTACAGGCGTGAGCCACCACGCCCAGCCGTCTCCTTCAACTTTAAGGTTTTATTATCCTCCCCATCCCCTTTCCACCCTGACATAGCAGCCTCAAGCCAATGCAAGATATCATGAAATCTATGTCTCCTCTCATGCAAATCCACAGCAAAGAACAGTGGTGTGGAAATGCTGCCTGGTGATCTTCCACCCCTCCTTATATGAGGAGCCTAATTGTTGCACACCTAGGACTCAAACACCTCCCGGTGGCTTAAGATCTACACAAAGCCTAAGTAGTTAAGAGTTCGCTGGGGCCAGGTGTGGTGGGTCACGCCTATAATTTCAGCACTTTGGGAGGCCAAGGTGGGCAGATTACTGGAGCCCAGGAGTTTGAGACCAGCCTGGACATGGCAAAACCCCATCTCAACCAAAAAAATAATAATACAATTAGCTGGGTGTGATGTTGCACACCTGTAGTCCCAGCTACTTGGGAGGCTGAGGTGGGAGGACTGCTTGAGCCCAGAAGGTTGAGGCTGCAGCAAGCCATGATTGCACCACTGCACGCTAGCCTGGGTGACAGAGCCAGACCCTGTCTCAAAAAAAAAAAAGAGTGAGCTGGATCTGGGTTCAAAGCCCAGCTTTTACAGTAGGGCTATTAACTGTGTGACCTTGGGCTAATTAAATTCTCTGGGCTCCTACTATCAACATTATTCTGTGAGCCACTATTGCTGAGCATGAAAGACCATCCAAAAAGCACTTTGCCTTCACTCAGAATTGTTTCAGAACAGCCAAGTTCTCTGTGGCAATGTGGGCTGCTCCAGACACATGAAGAAGAAAAGAAAAAGGAACTGGAAAGAATGCAATGGAAAGGTCAAATATGAAAAATTATCAGCACCCTTTATGATTATCCTATGCTTTTACTATTTACGTATTTATTGGAGACAAGGTCTTGCTCTGTTGTCCAGGCTGGAGTACAGTGGCACGACTGTAGCTCACTACAGCCTCAAACTCCTGGGCTCACGTGATCCTTCTGCCTCAGCCTCCCGAGTAGCTAGGACTACAGGCATGTGCCACCATATCTGGCTTTTTTATTTTTACTTTTTTGGTAGAGGCAGGGTCTCACTATGTTGCTCAGGCAGATCTCAAACTCCTGGCCTTAAGCAATCGTCCCATCTTGGCCTCCCAAAGTGCTGGGGTTACAGGCATGAGCCACCACACCTAGCTTATGCTTTTCTTCCAAGCATCTTCAAAGCACATTACACATTATTATATTGTTTAGGCCATCCTCACGGAACTTACAGTCTAATGAAAGATGGTAAAATACTTACGCAGATAAAACTGCGACTACAATAAATGTTGGGAAGGAAAAGTGCAGATTAGGTGACAGTGAGTAAAAGACCCAGGAACTGGTCAAGAAGGTCCAGAACAGCTTCTGGGAGGAAGGTAAGCTTGAACTGAGATTGACAGTACGGTTAAAAAGTCAGTAACTAGGCGGCGCGGTGGCTCACGTCTGTAATTCCAGCAATTTGGGAGGCCAAGGCAGGCAGATCACTTGAGGTCAGGAGTTTGAAACCAGCCTGACCAGCATGGAGAAACCCCGTCTCTACTAAAGATACAAAAATTAGCCAGGTGTGGTGGCACATGCCTGTAATCCCAGCTACTTGGGAGCCTGAGGCAGAAGAATCGCTTGAACCCGGGAGGTGGAGGCTGTGGTGAGCTGAGATCGCACCATTGCACGCCAGCCTGGGCAACAAGAGCGAAACACTGTCTCAAAAAAAAAAAAAAAAAAAGAAAAGAAAAAAAAAAGTAACTAGGAAGAGGACAGGGAAGAACATCGCAGGCAGAGAAAACGCTACAAGCAAAGCCCTTTTGGCTAGAAGGAGATGGTAGAAGTAGTAGATAGGAAAGTTAGGTAGGTGGGGACCACTCTGTACAGGGAGGTAACAAGATCATACTTGCATTTTAAAGATATCATCTTCCTGGCAATGTTTTCATTTGCACAAAACTCCATGGCTAAAACAAAACCCCAGAAAGCTAGAAATGTACAACTTGTCAAAAAGGAACTTTGGTGCATAATGAATGCGCTTACGCGAGGCCTTTCACCTCGGGAATGACCGTGGTAGTGGCTACTAGGAGCCCCATCTATTACAGGTATGTGCCTTCAGCCCCGGTGCCACAGTGACCAGCTCTGAGAGACAAGGCACACATGGTTACCAAACAGAAAACAAAGGCATAAAGAAGAGACAAGCAAGACCAACACCAAACTGGAAAAAACATTTTTACACTGGAAAGGATAAACAGTATGCCTTTTGCACATATGCAAAAAATTATCTCCTCTCTTTGGTGGCAGTATAAACTGTGGGACTAACAACATTTTCCTCAACAGTTTCCACATCTTACAGTTGCTATTCTTAGCTGAGCCACTGTAAAGGTCAATTTAATCAGCGTAAAAACTTTCTAAGTGCCAGCATAAAAAGACACACTGGGCAGTAATGTTTCCCCAGGCATGGTTTTAATCTGCCAATTTATGGGTCTGGAAAACTCTGCTAGCAACTGGCTAATGGCAACAGCGTCATGTCCTTAGGAAAACACTTTAAAGTTTAAGAGTGAAAAATAAGAATTGAAGTCCTTCCTGGGATGCTAAAGCACAGGACACCAAATATCTTGGCTGCTGGATATGAATTAATTTGGAGCATCACCTCTGGCTTTCCCTGCAGGAAGAACTAAATCTTTTTTTGTTTGTTTAAATAGAGACAGGGTCTCCTCATGTTGCCCAGGCTGGTCTTGAACTCCTGGGCTCAAGGGATCCTCCCACCTCGGCCTCCCAAAGTGCTGGGATTACAGGTGTGAGCCACCGTGCCTGGCCAAGAACTAATTCCTAATGGAAATGTTCAGTTCTCCAAATCATTTAACACATATGTATTGACCCCCTTCCCCCAACCATGTGCCAGGCACTATGTGGGATGCTATAGCTATAGCAATAAGCAAGAGATTCGGGGGGTGGGAGGGGAGAGTTTCCGCTTCTGGCAATATAGCTGGGTAGGTAACTAAAAATTATTCTGCTATAAAACCCTGGCTATACAACAATCACTTTTAATTACAAAGCTGAACTTGCAAGAAAGCAAGGAGGATCACCTGGGACCAAAAACGACAGCGGGAACTAGAAACCACAGTAGTAAATGAGATCAGGCCTTTCCAGTTGACCTAGAAAGTGGGGTAGTTTGTTGATCTTGGGCCCACCTGAAACAGGGAATTGGAACTGAGAACCAGTACAAAGCTGGCGCCCTCAGAGGGGGAGAACAGATTAGAAAAAACATTAGCCCACTGGCACATAGTGACAATAAAAACTCTGAAGTGGGAGGAAAACAGTATCTCCTCTAATAATGTGTGATCACAGATTATTTCAGATTTGAATTGTACTACTACATGGTCTGAGGATCCCCAAGCCAAAAATTTAACACAAAAAGTAGTCCCAGGCTGGCAATAAACCTGCAACATCTGGCAGAAATACAAAACTGAACAGATCTACCCTCAGCCACGGCACAAAGGATTCCTACACATAAAGTTCTGTTGGCCAGGCGCGGTGGCTCACGCTTGTAATTCCAGGACTTTGGGAGGCTGAGGCGGGCGGATGACGAGGTCAGGAATTCGAGACCAGCCTGGCCAACATAGTGAAATCCTGTCTCTAATAAAAATACAAAAAAATTAGCTGGGCGTGGTGGCGGGCGCCTGTAATCCCAGCTACTCCGGACGCTGAGGCAGGAGAATTGCTTGAACCCGGGAGGCAGAGGTTGCAGTGAGCCGAGATTGCACCATTGTACTCCAGCCTGGGCGACAGTGAGAGACTGTCTCAAAAATAAAAATAAAAATAAAGTTCTGTTGAAGATAAGCTCACAATCCAAAATATAAAAATGTATGCAAAACTAATCCATTACAAACAAGATGACAAATTCAACAAATAGCAGGATAAGACCCCCTGAAAAAAAGTCCCTATAAGATACAAGCATATCTCAAATGATTAAAGCCAAAAAGAAAGAATTAAAAACACAAGAAAAGAACACTACCAAACAAGAAATAGTAACAGGCAGATAAAACTTGTAGAAAAATAGTTATTGAAAGAAAAAACTCAACAGATGGGTCACACAGAGAGGAGACCAAGTTAAAGAGGAAATTGATGAACTAGAGAACAGATCTGAGAAAATTACCATCAAAGTGCTTCTACAAGAGAAAACATGGAAATGAAAAATGAGAAAGAAGCTTGAGAAGAAAAGAATGGAGGAGAGGAAATATTTAAAGGGATAACTAAAAATTTTCTATATAAGACTGATTAAAGATACAAAATTTCGGCCGGGCGTGGTGGCTCATGCCTATAATCCCAGCACTTTGGGAGGCCAAGTTGGGCAGATCATGAGGTCAGGAGATCGAGACCATCCTGGCTAACACTGTGAAACCCCATCTCTACTAAAAATACAATTAGCTGGGCGTGGTGGCGGGCGCCTGTAGTCCCAGCTACTCGGGAGGCTGAGGCAGGAAAATCGCTTGAACCTGAGAGGCGGGGGTTGCAGTGAGCCGAGATCATGCCACTGCACTCCAGCCTGGGTGACAGAGTGAGACTGTCAAAAAAAAAAAAAAAAAGATACAAAATTTCCAGATAATAAGAAGCCCACACCTAGGTACACTGTATGAAACTGCAGAGTGACAAAGGCAAAAAGATTTTTAAATATGTTCCAGTTGGGAAGACGGACAATTAACAAGCAAAATTATAATTTCACTAGCAGTAATAAGCTCCATGAGGATAATAAAACACGATAATGAGACAAAGAGTTTTAGATAGGGTGGTCAGGAAAGGCCACTCTGAGTAGGTGACATCTGAGTAGAGCCCTGACTGCTGAAAAAGAGCCAGCTTAACCAGACCGGTGAGAACAGTGTTCCAGGAAGAAGAAATATCAAATCCACGCAAAAACACCAGGGCAGAAACAAGCTTGGTGTGCTCAAGGAAGAGAAAGAAGACTAGTGTAGCTGAGTACAGTGATCTCAGGGAAAGCAGTGTGAAAGGGGAGCTAAGAATTCAGCTGAGGTCAGATCTCATAGGCTTTGTATAACAATTAAAATAATCTCCAGGCTGGGTGCAGTGGCTCATGCCTGTAATCCCAGCACTTTGGGAGGCTGAGGCAGGTGGATCACCTGAGGTTACGAATTCGAGACCAGCCTGGCCAACATGGCGAAAACCCATCGCTATTAAAAATATTTAAAAAATTAGCCATGCGTGGTTGTGCGCACCTGTAGTCCCAGCTACTCAGGAGGCTGAGGCACAAGAATCACTTGAACCCAGGCGGTGGAGGTTGCAGCAAACCGAGATTGTGCCACTGCACTCCAGCCTGAGCAACAGAGCAAGACTCCGTCTCAGTAAAAAATAAATAATAAAATAAAATAAAATAATCTCCAAAGTACCACAGTTTATGAATTCATTGTTGGCTTTGGCTAGTCCCTCCCTTAGGTTATGGTGGAGACTTGAATAAATATATAAATATTTTTGCAACTCTCATACTTATTCTTTACCTTGAGCCTTTATTTATCCCCCCCAGCCAGGTTGTGGCTGCTCTTGCAGAGTAAGCAACAAAACAAACTTTCCTTCCATTCTTGAACCAGGAATGGCTTTCTAGAAAGGAGACCAAAGTCTAGCACTGCATATCTACTAGGAAAAAGTTCTAAATGATTTTGGTAATGCTCTGTAGCTAAAGGATAACGCAGTTTTCATAAAGCAGACATTTGAAATGGCTAAATAAGACAGCAAACAACTTTAACTTAGAATCAGCTATTTTTGTTCTATCCTAGATAGAATCTTCAAGTTCTGAAAATGCAGCACTTTCAAGCCCAGGTCCTTAGAAACATATTTGTAGGTGGTAAGGAGGCAAAGCTTCATGTATTCACCTATATTTTTACCTATATTTTTACAATTAGAAAGTTAAGATCAGCCAGGTGTGGTGGCTCATGCCTGTAATCCCAGCACTTTGGGAGGCCGAAACAGGCGGATCATGAGATCAGGAGATCAAGACCATCCTGGCTAACACTGTGAAACCCCGTCTCTACTAAAAAATGCAAAAAATTAGCCGGGCGTGGTAGCTACTCGGGAGGCTGAGGCAGGAGAATGGCATGAACCCAGGAGGCAGAGGTTGCAGTGAGCCGAGATCGCACCACTGCACTCCAGCCTGGGTGACAGAGTGAGACTGTCTCAAAAAAAAAAAAAGAAAGAAAGAAAGTTAAGATCACGTTCTCCCTGATAGTATTGGTTTTGTTTTTTTTTTCCTGAGGCAGGGTCTCTGTCACTCAGGCTAGAGTACAGTGGCACGATCTCGGCTCACTGCAACCACCACCTCCCAGGTTCCAGTGATTCTCCTGCCTCAGCCTCCCGAGTAGCTGGGACATCAGGCGTGCACCACCACGCCCAGCTAATTTTTTGTATTATTAATAGAGACAGGGTTTCACCATATTGGCCAGGCTGGTCTCGCACGCCTGACCTCAGGTGATCCGCCCACCTCGGCCTCCCAAAGTGCTGGGATTACAGGCGTGAGCCACCGTGCCTGACCACTATTGGTTTTTTAGACTGTTCAAAGACCTGAGGGAAATAAAGAGAACTGTTCAAGGGCACACATTTTCAAATTGGGTAGAAGGAGAGTACAGAAGGGCTGAGGATGAAGAAAGTAAGCTCAAGAAGGGGGATGATGCAGCAGGAGTCCTGGCCTATTGCTTCCCATGTGTTAGTCTAGTCTCCCCTCTCTTTTTTTTCCCCCTCTGGAAACAGGGTCTCACTCTGTCACCAAGGCTAGAGTGTAGTGGCACGATCATAGCTCACTGCAGCCTCAACTTCCCAGGCTCAAGCAATCCTCCCACCTCAGCCTCCCAATTAGCTAGGACCACAGGCATACGCCACCACACCCAGCTAATTTTTTTTATTGGTTGTAGAGACAGGATCTCACTACGTTGCTCAGGCTGGTCTCAAACTCTGGGCTCAAGTGATTCTCCTGCCTCAGCCTCCAACAGTGCTGGGATTTCAGTCGGGAGCCACTGTGCCCAGTCTAATCTCCCTTTCTTTGATGGTGGGGTTGTCATGTACTACTTTCGTATCCTTTCTAGTATATACCACACCTGACAATTATTCCATAAGCTTTGGCTAAAAGAGCTTACTCAATTCCATCCTTCCCCATAAAGGGCAAGCCACTGCTAAGAAGTTAACCAAGACTTTGTCTTGCATGCAATGGGACACTAGGAATGGATTTTTATGCTGTTTGGCTGAATTCAGTAGTTTTCCAAAAGAACAAATAGCCTGGGCTACATGGGTAGGTTCCCCTAACCAAGCCAGTAAATCTTCTGATAAGGTTCAGCCTCATCCCTCAGATCTGATAGTGTGGTTTACTCCTTAAGGGCTCTGGACTCCAGCTCCCTGGGCTTAAGAGGACCCAGTCCCCCATGCTTTAGCTATAGAGTACCCTAAAGAGTAAAGCCAAAGACTGGAGCTTGTGACCAATGTAAGAAAAGCCTAGGATCAAAAGAGATGGCTGCTGCTTCAAGATGAGCCCACAGTGTCATGGTCCCCAAAGGGGAGTCCCAGGGGTAGTAGTGGGGACAATAGAGGTCCACTGACTTCAACCCACAGGGCATCCTGGAACAATCTGGTCTGGTCCCTCCCAAAGACTAACACTAGTCAAGAATCTGAGGAAGGGCAACACAGTGAATCAGGACAATAAGGGCATCTTATAAATAAGTGAATTTGCCCCCACATAACAATGAACATGCTTAGACAACAAATGCAACAAAATAGGGATGTGTTTCCCAAAAGTGTGGTCCATGGGCCCCAGATCATCTGAAATATTTGTCAAGAATGTAGATAGACTGAGACCCTCTAGGGGCAGGGACTGAAAATCCGCCTTTTAAAACATGCTCCCCTGGTTATGTTTATGTATATTCAAGCTTGAGAACCACTGCCCTGGATCTAAAAAGAACATACAATAAACAGTTCCTGCTCTCTAAACATGAAATAGACTCATATTCGTTTTCTAGAATCCCAAACGTGTCCCAACACAGTTACCCACAAGAGTACCTACATAGAATCAAGGCACATTATTTATACTCTCTATGCCTCATTCCATTAAAACATATAATAGATCATACACATAAATTTTAAAAAGAAGTGACATGTTAGCTACGCTCCCATCCACACCAGTACTGTTACTGCCAAAGCTGCACTGCAACTACATCCTCATTAAACAGCCCCCAAACAGAGCAGCCAGCAAAAAAATTAAAATCCATTTCCTGTGTTGCTATTAGGAACCTGAATAACAAATTCAGAAAAAGCTACTTGACCCTGGTAGGAAAATCCCACAGCAAAAATCGGAAGTTGCAACATATCCCATGGTTTTATTAAGGTCTACTTGTCAATGTCCCAGGGCATGCAGGCCTGTGGAGTCTGGCAGGCTACAGAGGCACTGGACCCTGGTTCATGGACCACTCTTTCACCCCTGGACACTTAGAAGGAAAAGCAGTCCCCAGGAATTCCTCATCACTGGCCTCTTCTGCTACAGAGTAAGTCCATTGAGAAGCATGGCTTCTTTAGCAAGGGCTGGTGCAGAGAGCTGAGGGCTGAAATAGCAGGTAGCATGCAGCGGAGCAGGTGAGTAGCAGGTGGCACTCAGGCAGAGCAGAGGGGCAGTTTAGCCTACTGTCATCCACTCACAGTTGGTGCCATGAAGTAGGTCCTTTTCTTCCCACAGTTGTATCACTGCCTCTCCCCTCTTAAAAGTGGGGATTGCACTAGTGGCCCTTAAGCCCCAGTGGACCCACTAATGAGTTCTATGCCTACATGGCACCGTTGTTTTTCAACTTTTAAAAAGTGGGCTGAGGCTGGGCGCAGTGGCTCACGCCTGTAATCCCAGCACTTTGGGAGGCCGAGCTAGGTGGATCATGAGATCAGGAGTTCGAGACCATCCTGGCTAACACGGTGAAACCCCATCCCTACTAAAAATACAAAAAATTAGCTGGGCGTGGTGGCAGGCGCCTGTAGTCCCAACATCTCGGGAGGCTGAGGCAGGAGAATGGCATGAACCTGGGAGGTGGAGCTTGCAGTGAGCCGAAATCGCACTACTGCACTCCAGCCTGGGTGGACAACAAGATCGAAACTCTGTCTCAAAAAAAAAAAAAAAAAAGTGGGCTGGTGCCTGGCGCAGTGGCTCACGCCTGTAATCCCAGCACTTTGGGAGGCTGTGGTGGGCAGATTACCTGAGGTCAGGAGTTCAAGATCTGCCCGGCTACCATGGTGAAACCCTGTCTCTACAAAATACAAAATTTAGCCGGGCATGATGGCGGGTGCCTGTAATCCCAGCTACCTGGGATGCTGAGGCGGAAGAATCACTTGAACCTGGAGGCGGAGGTTGCAGTGACCTGAGATCGTGCCATTGCACTCCAGCCCAGGTAACAGAGCAAGACTCTGTCCCCGCCCTAAAAAAAAAAAAAAAAGAAAAAAAAGTGGGCTGGGTGCAGTGGGTCAGGCCTACAATCCCAGCACTTTGGGAGGCTGAAGTGGGAGGACTGCTTGAGCCCAGGAGTTTGAGACCAGCCTGGGCAAAAAAGCGTGACCTCATCTCTATTAAAAATTTAAAAAATTCGCCGGGCGCGGTGGCTCACGCCTGTAATCCCAGCACTTTGGGAGGCCAAGGTGGGCAGATCACGAGATCAGGAGGTCGAGACCATCCTGGCTAACACGGTGAAACCCCGTCTCTACTAAAAATACAAAAAATTAGCCGGGTGTGGTGGCGGGCGCCTGTAGTCCCAGCTACTTGGGAGGCTGGGGCAGGAGAAAGGCGTGAACCCAGGAGGCAGAGCTTGCAGTGAGCCAAGATTGTGCCACTGCACTCCAGCCTGGGCGACAGAGCAAGACTCTGTCTCAAAAAAAAAAAAAAAAAAAAAAGAAACAAGAACTTTTGGAACTCTGAGAGCTTGGACTTTAAGATTAAAATAGACTTCAGTGATGTAGAAAACCTTGGGGGAGTGGGGGTGTTAGTATGTTACTAATGATAGATTACAATAAACCCAACCCACAGCAATAGGTACCTGGCTTGAAATATGGGCTGCTGCTAAAATAACTATGCCTGCTTTTTCTTTAAGTTGTATGTACAAAGTCATTTGGGTACCACTGAGATCCTCTCCTCCTGGGGGGTAGTAATCCCGGTTATTTGAGTAAGGGATGAAACGTCAGTTCCATCCGACTTTTCAGATGGACTTGGTCATATCCATATTTCAGATGGGCTTGGTCATATCTACTGGCCCACAAAAAATGACTCTGTACCTGTCATTAATAAGACAGAGTACCTAGTGATTAAAGGAACAACCAATGTGAAAATTCTAAATTTCTGGGCAGATAATGAACACACACTGCTTAGAAGGCAGCAGGAAAGCTCTACCTATTTCCCCTTTATTAAAACAATATGGTACTTCTTCCCTCAGTCCTGTGACTCCTGCTTCCCAAGCAGAGTGGACTACTATGAGTCTGTGGTTTCTACCCCAAGGTTTCTCCACCTTAGCCCTACTGACATTTGGAGTCAGGTAATTATTTGTCATACGGGACTGAACTGTACATTGTAGGATGTTTAGCAACATCCCTGGCCTCTATTAACTAGATATGCCAGTAGCAACTTCCTACTCCCCTAGCTGTGACAGCTAACCATGTCTGGACACTGCCAAATATCCCCTATGGGGGAAGGGCAAAACTGTCCCAGTTTAGAGCCCCTGTTTTAGCCAAACTGCAGCACAATATTTTGTACAGAACCGTGTTTTAGCCAGTCTTGTTCTCCGAGTGCCTCACAGACTCCCTGCCACCACCCCGCTCTAAATTCCCCGTGGGCAGGACTGATGTCAGTCTCACAAGCATACCTACCCTGGCCAAAAACCCTTCACAAAGTCCTGAACCTAGCGACCGCTGAGTCAAGTAACCATAGGAGCTGGTCATCCCTCGTGCCTCTTAGCTACATGGTACAAGCAGCAGCATGAAGGGGTCCTTCAAAGCCTAAGGCAAGGCTGTGGGGGTGTGATTTTCACATGACCAGTGCGAGAATGAACCGTGGCTCTCTGGCTGTGGCTCTCTCATCCTGGTTTACAGTAACCCAGCACAAGCCGAGCCTGGCCCATGAATCTGGAACCTTACACAGAGACGCAGGAATGACTGTATGTTCTATTTGTGCTGGCGGTCCGCCCCAGCCTGTCCTAACCTCCCACGGCACTCCAGAACCACACCCAGAGGGGTGGGAGATCACAGGTATTCAAACCACTGCCTGCCTGGTGGGTAACCAGGGATTTCACACCCTCGATGGAAACCACAAGATCAATTGGACAGTATTTGAAACCACATCGAGACCGTGCATCACAGTTGGGAGATCCTTAAGTCTTGTGTGTTAAGCAAGAAAACCAAACAATAATAAATACTCTGGCCTCCTTGATGCAATGCCAGAGGAAACCGAAGTCTTATGTGCAACACAGTCCCGGCAAACCCTCAGCCACTTTCAGGAAAAGAAGTCAGTATGTCACACTCCAGCCATTCCCAAAGCCAAGTCTCCTTCCCTGCACTGCCCCTCCCCTCACAGGATTTTATCACCATTTCCAGCAACCAGCAATAGAAGCCTCTTGTGAGGTCTGGGGTTCAAGTTCAGGTGAGCTCTGCCCAGAGAAACAATGGCTACAGAGGGGCACAGAAATGGCTCAGGCAGGTCCATTCTCAGGGCTCTTTCAACCCACTGTTGCTACAAATTAGCAAGAAATAAGAGTCAAGAAGCCCTAGAGAGGAAGAGGTAAGAAACTAGTATCTTACTAGTGCTAAGGAATTAGGGCAGAAGAAGGGATTTCAAAGCATTTTTTTAAATAGCCCCAAAGTATTCTGTTTTCCTGGACTAAAATTTACCTCTTCATGGAAAAGGGGTGGGAGGGGGCGGGTCAAACTCATGGGCTATCACTGGAGGAAGTGACTGTTTTCTTTGGCTCCATCCTGGATAATGTTTCAAAATCAGCAGGCACAGTCCTCTTTTCCACTAAGTTACTGTCCAGTACACTTTCTCTTTGCTCTGATAACAGAGATGCAATGAAAAACAAGCCACGTTCCTCAAAAAAAAAAAAAAAAAAAAAAAAGCAGCTTCTTTCAACAGAGATGGTTGGGGGTTCAAAAATTAACCCGAGGCCAGGCACAGTTGCTCACACCTGTAATCCCAGCACTTTGACAGGCCGTGGCAGGTGCATCACCTGAGGTCAGGAGTTTCAGACCAACCTGGCCAACATGGTGAAACTCCATCTTTCCTAAAAATAGAAAAATTAGCTGGGCATGGTGGCAGGTGCTACCAGCTACTTGGGAGGCTGAGGCACGAGAATTCCTTGAACCTGGGAGGCAGAAGTTGTAGTAAGCCAAGATGGCGCCACTGCACTCCAGTCTGGGTGACAGAGCAAGAGCGAGACTCCATCCCTCCCCCCACCCCCCCCAAAAAAAATTAACCTGAAAGGGCTTGCGTAAGCACCACCTTTCTCACCTGTGGTGACAGTAGGGAAATGAGGTGTTCTGTGGAGCTGTCACAAGACTTTCACAAATCAGTTTAGATAAGGATTCTGGCTTCAACTTTTGGTAGCACAAACAAGTGTCACCTTGGTGTTTGCTGCTATATACAGCTAGTTTCCTTCCAAGCAAGATCTTGCTTAATTTGTCCTCAACCTGGTGGAAAGAGGTTGGGCCCGAGGGTAACAGCAACTGGTAGTCAACATTCGGTCCTCTGCTGTGCACAGAGCAGGCAGGGAGGAGGAGGCCTGCAGTGGACTGTGGATATGGGTACCAAGCCAGAGCAACGGGCAGGGGCAGACAGACACCAAGAAGACTTGTACTCCAGGCCCCTCCTGCCACACATTAGCCCTGGGTTCTGGAACAGATAACTTCTCCCTGGGTTTCAGTTTCCTTACAGCAAAAAGGAGATAAGACCTCCTCCCTCATGGGTGGCCGCTGTGGTGAAATAATAAATACCCCAAGTCAATGCTGGCTAACATTCAGCAGTTGAGGGGTTAAATTGGAAGCCGGCAATTCCCCCCCTTCCCTCTCCACAGTCATGGCTCCACCCTGCAGCTTTAGCTGGCTATCACACAGCCTTTCCACTGCTCTCCTTGTGAGACTCTAAAGCCACTTCCTATGCCCAGGGAGTAAGTACCATGCAACATTCTAGTTGCCTTGTCACATTCGGCATCAGCCCAGGGACCAGCTCACCCTTTCAAAAATACAAACAGCCCCTTGGGCCAGGAGTTGCCCCCTGTGCCTCTTTCCATGACAAATTCCAACCTGGAAAAGGGACCCTAAGAGGGCTTTGATGGGTATTATTCATTTCCAGTATCAGGGATCATCCCATCTCACTGGTGTGGACAACTTGGAGGACAATGGGTCTTTCCCACTGAGAAAGGCAATATTCCAAGGTGCAAGATGTAAAATTAGTGTCTTAATGGATCTAGCCTGCATTCCATCAACTAGAACTTACCACCCACTGGTCCTTCCACACACCTAGCACCTATAGTGCAACAACTGATACTACTGGATTGGACTGTGGGAAGGGCCACCTGCAGAAGGGTTGCCTCTTCACACCTCTGAACTGCGGCATTCTATTCTTTTCTAGTGTCATTTGCTACCACCTGCAGAATGTCCTCATTACCTGTGCACTTATTCTACTTTCCCTAGCTGACTGTAAACCCCTTGAGGGCAGGGATGGAGTTTATACCTCTTTGTATCCACAACATGCTTTGGGTAGAACAGGTGCACAGGACTTTTCAGATGCTGAGTGTTGCTCCTAAGAAACCTTCGACATTACCCAATCAATATCTTCTGGATAAACATGAAATAGAATTCGTTCAAATCATGACTAAGAACATTCTGTTGCAATACTGTTCTCCGAAAATTAGTAATCCCTTTGTTAGGTACACATAATGGAATTTCTCTTAACCAGAAAACCTATTTTCTGATCTTGTCAGATAATAAAGGGATAGCATGCCTAATTGTTTGTTATATCTAAAATTTGGTATATAGTGCCATACCCAAAAAGTTCACCAGGTGACTATCTTCTTCTGAGCTCTGGCTCATCTAAGCACAAAAAGCATTTTTTTTAGTCAACACTGTAGCTTCCATGAGCTGTCTAACTGTCCCTTGCATGAAAGAACTAATAAATCCTACAGTTTATCTGCCCTTTACAGACACTGAAATCATGCCATGCTCATTATTAGAAAGAAGGGCCCTGAGGTCTTCCTCCTTCTTGGTACCCATAAAAGACACCCATACCTGGTGAACTAAGGTCCTTATCTTGCCCCAGGCAAATTCAATGCCAAGACTCAAGAGATGAATGACAGCTTCCCTTGTCATCTGCAGAAGAAAACAAAAACAACTCTCCCAACCTGATCTGTCCGGAATGCTCTTTCCCCAACTCACATGTCTGGTAAACTCTCCTCCTCATCCTTCAAGAGTCAGATCAGATATCGGCTTCTCAGGAAAGCCTCTCCTAGCCTGATTCAGATACCTGCCCCCACGCTCTGCTCTCCCAGTCCCTGGGCGTTCCTCTGTTGTAGTCTCAGCATGCTGGCTTGTAATTATTTCCATGCCGCCCAGCTCTGGAGGACAGTCTCTCAAAGTGTGGCCGGAAACAACCGGGATCAGAAACACCTGGGGAACTTCACAGAAATGCATATTCTGGGGCCCTGGCCCAGACATAAAGAATCTACATTTTTTTTGGCCGGGCCTGGTGGCTCATGTCTATAATCCCAGCACTTTGGGAGGCCGAGGCGAGCGGACCACTTGAGGTCAGGAGTTTGAGATCAGCCTGGCCAGCCATGGTGAAACCCCATCTCTATTAAAAATACCCAAAAAATTAGCTGGGCGTGGTGGCACATGCCTGTAGTCCCAGCTACCTGGGAGGCTGAGGCAGGAGAATGGCTTGAAACCGGAAGGCAGAGGTTGCAGTGAGCTGAGATCGCACCATTGCACTCCAGCCTGGGTGACAAGAACGAGACTCAACAAGAATGATTTTTTTTTTTGAAATGGAGTCTCGCTCTTGTCGCCCATGCTGGAGTGCAATGGTGGGGCCTCTCGGCTCACTGCAACCTTCCCCTCCCGGGTTTAAGCGATTCTCCTGCCTCAGCCTCCTGAAAAGCTGGGATTAAGGGGTAAGCAGCATTTTATCTCCTACCTAGGCAGGCTAGAAAGAAACATGCCCCAAGGAGAACAATGCATTAATCATACTCTACTCTCAGACATTGAGCCGCACAGTCTAGGTAGTGAGAAAAATCCAGGATTTGGGAAAGACTCAAGTTAAAAAACAGCAACAAAAATCTTCAATTACCCTTTCTCTAGACAATTGAGCAATGCTGGGCAAATGGCTTAACTTCTCTAAGCCTCAGCATGCACCTCTGTACAAACAGAATAATCCTACCACATAAGACACAGGATTAAGGGGAAAAAACAATCATATGGATTAAGGGAAAAAAATAAATCAAAGTGCATACATATGTACGATAAAGATGAATTTTATGTGTGTGTGTGTGCATTATGTGTCATTTTTTCTTAAACAGAATTATCACCAAGTGATCTTTAGAAGGCTACATGGCTCCAATAAAGAACATAGTTACACTGTCTGACAGAAAATACTAGAAATATACAAAATATGTAACCAAAACTACTCCAAGATTGTACAGGCAACATTTGAGTCACAGAAGCCTAGGGCAGGAAGGGCCTTCGGAGGTCTTCTAAATTCTGCCTTCCACCAGGCAACTGTTCAGACACAAGAGCTAAAGGTTCACCTGCTGTTGATCCTCTCAGATCCTTCCCAAAACAACCATCCCAACCCTTCACTCTCCTTGAAGAGTTTAATGCTACCCACTGCTTCATTCTCTCACTACATGTCCAAGTAACTGGACACAAGCCCTCGCCCTCTTGCCACCTCAGTATATAAGATTAACAGTGTCTCGGTAGAGTAAGAGGTGGCCTCCCAGCTGTACGTCACTGCACAATGGCAGTCACTGACTACAGATGCAAGAGCTCACTCCCCTGGCTGTGGGCTCCTGCCCAGCACACCTGGCTCCTGTCAAGGTATCAGTCCCTTCGCTTCTCGTTTCCTGCACCCCTGCAGTGTTGCATCCTTTGGGAATGAGTAGATCAAAGTAAGAGTTATGTCTACTCTCTACCAGCCCAGGTGCTAACGTTCACATACATTCTTTCGTGGAATCCCTGTGTGACCTCAGAGATGAGGTTCAGAACAGTTAAGGGCCTGCCCAAGACCTCAGGGAAGCTGGGATATGAACGCAGGTCTTTCCAGCTCCCAGCCCACTCTTTCCACTCTGTTAGGCAGTTTTCACCCTACCAGCCTGCTGACACAGCATGAGACGCTTCATCCAGCTTCATCCTATTTCCAACACTGCTTGAAATCCTCTCCAGGGCTCACTCTGCCCATAGGTTAAAAGGACAGCCTTTCTGGCCAGGCACAGTGGCTCACGCCTGTAATCCTAGCACTTCGGGAGGCTGAGGTGGCCGGATCACCGGAGGTCAGGAGTTCGAGACCAGTCAGACCAACATGGCGAAACCCCGTCTCTACTAAAAATACAAAACTTAGCCGGGTATAGTGGCACATGCCTGTAATCCCAGCTACTCAGGAGGCTGAGGCAGGAGAATCGCTTGAACCCAGGAGACAGAAGTTGCAGTGAGCTAACGCCACTACACTCCAGCCTGGGCAACAGAGTGAGACTCCATCTCAAAAAAAAAAAAAAAAAAAAAAAAAAGGACAGCCTTTCTTGTGGGGGCAGAAGGGATGTTCAGAGTGGTCACCTCTCTGCCCATCAGCTGTGTCAACGCAACACTCTGAAGATAACAAGAGCTGTAATGGAATGTTTGGGGCTTTTCAGAGGAGCTTCCTTTGAACAGAACTGTAGGCAACTCAAGGGAGAGTTGTCCACCTAGCACTTTTCTCAGAGTGAGGGCAACCAGTGGTCCCTAGCAGCTCCCCTCTAGGGCTTCTGCTGTGAGCTCATCTGTGGCTTTTCCTCACCCAGGAACAGGCAGCAGAGGGTGTGTGCTCCCTCCCCACCCCTTATGGCCAGCAGCTGCTGGTTACAGTTACACATTCCGATACAGACATGCCTCTCAGACGAAGAGGGGGTGGGGGTGTCTGACTCTCAGAAGCCCTGGAACAAATAGTTGGCAACAGCTGTGTTCTCAGCAGACAGCAGTTGGTGGCTTGCTACTGTTCTCTCATTCCACACTGCTTTACCGGCTGGAATGAATGCAGTGCTCCCACTTCAAAGGGCGGCTCACCGAGCAATCAAGTCTCTGCCACAGGGGTCTTTTTGAAAAACTGGTCAGTAAGGCCAAAATGGGGTCAATTCCACACCCCTTCCCCTGAGGCGTCGGGAACGTCCCTCAGCTGCACAGCCCCAGGCACATGCTTGAAAGGAAGAAAGCCTTTCCTTTAAAAGAAGAACGGAGCCCTCACCCCACCCCCAACACAGAGTCCCTTCAGAACCAGAGGACTGTGAGGAAATCTCCACTAACTAGCCAAATCAAAATGGAGAAGGAATAAAAGGGGTTTGGAGCAAGAATCGCACTCTGCCTCTCCCCTTCCCCAGCCCCATTCTTCAGCTGTTTCTCCGTGAAGTTTCCAAAGCAGTTTTACAGTGTCTGATGGAAAATCAGAACTGGTCAGCCCTAGAGAAACCTCGGGGACGTAGAGGGTTAAGAACACGGTGGCTCTGAAAGTAAGGAGCAACTAGCAAACAAGAAGGGAGACTGGAAAGTTCTGTGTGGGAGCTGGCCTGGTCTAACTGAGAGGCATTTGCTAAAATATTCCCTCCACCCAAAGCAGTAGTACAATAAACAAGCTCCCACCCCTTCTTCCCTTCCAAACCCGATCCGTGCAGAAACAATTACCTGTCTAAGACCCAAAAGGAAAGGCATCCTGCAAGAGCATCGTCCACACTAACGTTGGAACAAAGGGCTCTTAAAAGTTAAGGTCTTGGAATGAGCATTGCCCCTGGTGGGCCTGTGTGTGCGGTGGTCCTGGTTCACCGGCCTTCTTTAGCAAAGCAGACAAAGTAAACAGAGTCCTGGGACCGAGCAGGCACACTGTCTCCTGCTCTCCTCGCTACTCCCCCTGCCTGGCTCTGGCCCACCCCCACCTTCTCGTGACATATCTCAGACGCAGCAAAGCCGAAGCTGTCTGCCAAGGGGGAAATGACATCAGTTCAGGCGCAGCAGAAAAAACTTCAGACAGCTGCACTGGAATACTGAGGAGGATGTGCTGCAGACCCGCGATGCCCAGCCCTGGACCCACCTAGAGCCAGAGCCCACTGTGGGAGGATGGTGGGGGCTGCAGATGGGAGCAGGCTGCTGCAACCCCTTGGCTCTAAGCAGGCTGGGGGGTACATAAATCAAGTCTCTAAAGCTGAAAACAGGAACACTGCTCTGAATAAGGACTGACTTTGTAGCTCCTAGAGTATTGTTTCTCCTCCCTGGGAAAGAAAATCAAGTCCAGTGTCTGTCAGTTTCACAGAAACTTTTCCACCCCCACCCCTGCCAGAGTCGGTGCTCAGTAAATAATAGGACATGAAGCCTGGCTGTCCCAACTTTCTCTAGGGAATGAGGCAATTCGCAGCGGGGGCTTGGAGAGGCACCTTTTCCCCAGCTAAGGTACGACACGCTACCTTGGACACTGACCTTTCGAGCCCTCGCTTCCACCGGAGAGTTTATATTTCATAAACAAACTGCGCAAGTACAGGTGCCAACATCTTTCCTCACTTGTCTTATAAAAGGTACAACAAGTCCCACCGCAGCCTCCAAGTTGCCAGAAAGGCAGATCATCTATATTTAAACCAACTCTTGGTTCAGAAAAGTTCACCGCCTTAGGTTTGTCGTGCTTTCTTCACTAAGTTCAGCTCAGGGAGACAAGAGTTCTCTAACGCAAGCTTTGCACAAGCAAGGGCCCTGGGGATGGTGTCCTGCTCTGACTTTCCCTAGTCGGTGGTGTAAGCCAAATCCCTTCTGGCTACCCTCCCTGAAACAGGAGGTCACAGCAGCTCTCCCTCGGCCTGAATCCTCTACCAAAGACAACACTTGCACAGCACAAAAGGTCCATGTTTGGGTTCGGATTTCCAGAAATGACTCAAGGAGAACAATCTTCAGAGGAGCTTTATAAATCGAAAGTTACTTTTTTTTTTTTTTTTTTTTTTTTGAGATAGGGTCTCACTCTGTTACCCAGGCTGGAGTACAGTGGTGTGATGATCTTGGCTCACTGCAACCTCTGCCTTCCGAGCTCAAGCGATCCTCCCACCTCAGCCTCCCAAGGAGCTGGTACCACAGGCACGTGCTACCATGCGCAGCTAATTTTTGTTTTTTTGTGTAGAGATGGGGTTTCGCCATGTTGCCCAGGCTGGTCTTGAACTCCTGGGCTCAAGTGATCTGCCCACCTTAGCCTCCTAAAGTGCTGGGATTACAAAAAGTTACTTTTCAATAACTTCCTCAGCTACAAATTAATTACACTGTCCAGGACTCAAAGCAAGTATATTTCATCTTTCCTTTCATTTTCTGCAACAATTTTCTTTCATGATACTTATCCAAGGCCTCCATGGTAGTGGCACTGTGCTGGGCATGATCCATGTAAGTCAGAAATGATTCTTGCAAATTAGTACCTATAACCCCCAACCTAGGACAATAAATTAGGAGCACATGACACGTACAGCACAGTGAGGTGCCAAAAGCACTGTTTGATCATTAGAATCCAGCCAGACACACAACGTGTTTACCGCAGGTCCCCAATGATGGTCAAGGTCACATTGACTTTCCTGACAAGAAAATGAATGTGCCAAACTGGCTGAACCATTTCCTTGAGACTCACTGAAAGAATGGATCACAGCTTCATTGCTAGAGGAAAAGGTGGCTGATGTGTAAAAGAAGTGGCTCCTGCTGCTGCCGGTGTTTGGGGACTGGGAAGCCATTCTTCAGCACATACATATTCTCAAGACATGGTCAGTCTATCCCAGGCCTTGTCACCACTCTCACAACCAGGCCAAACTGCCATACAGACAAGGCTGGACATCAAGGCACAGCCGCCCAGGGAACAGCAATGAGGCTGCTTTCAACCCCTTCCTTTCACTTCCTCGGTTCCCTGGCAACCACTGAGAACCACAAAACATACGCAGCACTAACTTTGGCAATCAAACTGATGGAAACAGCATCCTCATCCCCTCATGGGCAATGTAATCTGCACTGATCTAACAAGACAGACTGGCACCTGAAATTCTCCAGAAAGAGTGCCATGGCATAAGTGTACCATTCATTCACTCACTCCACGCTCACTGAATGCCTACAGTGTGCCAGGCATTGTTTTAGGCACTGGGGATGCCACTATGACCAAAACACACAATAAACCTTGCTCTAATGGGCTATGAAGTGTTCCATATTTTTCTTCCTTCCTTTTTTTTTTTTGTTTTGTTTTTTTAAGAGATAGGGTTTTGTTCTGTCACCCTAGGCTCAAGTGATCCTCCTGCCTCATCCTCCCAAAAAGCTGGCACTACAGGCACACGCCACCACGCCACCACACTCAGCTAAGTTTTTTTAATTTTTATTTTTTGTAGAGACAGGGTCTCACTATGTTGTCCAGGCTTGAACTCTTGTCCTCAAGTGATCCTCCTGCCTCAGCCTTTCAAAGTGTTAAGATTACAGGCATGAGCCACTAAGCTTGGCCCCATAATTCTAAATAATATTCATCAGTGATGATCTCAGAAGTGGAATTGCAACAAAATTACTAGAAATCCAAAAAAAAACTTGTAAAAATACAACCTAAATGATCAAAATTGCATTATAGACTTCCTGATTTCCTAATGAATCATCCTTTTATGATGCTACCCAAGACAGTGTTTCTAATCAGCATTCGTCTATTTTTATCTTCTCACAGATTATAAATTCTTGTGTGCAAGGCAGCATTTAACCCAAGGCATTACACCTAGTACAATACAATATATTCTAAAAAAGTGACTGCTGACAACAGCTTCTTTCTATCAACTTCTTGCCTACAGCCCCTCACTAACGTTCACTAAGCGCTGATATCTGAGGGGTGAGGAGAAAAAGAGATTGAGTTGGCAAATTCAGGCATTCCCAGGAAAGTGAGTTCACTTTCTGCCATGTTATACAAATATTACTACAACCTAGTGACAAAGGAGTCAGCTTTGCCATTTGAAAAGCAAGATGATCATTAACAATTTCTGCTAGCCTGAAAAAATGGGTTCTCCTATGTACGTGATCCAGCCTCATACATGATGAGCCAAAGGTAGGGTAAATCCTTCTTCAAATGACTTTAGTCATCCGCCTGCCAATGCAGAATTAAATTCAATGCTGAATTCACCAACTTAAAAAAAAAAAAAAAAAGGAAGTCATACTAAATTAGAATTAAGCAGGATTATGTTGTCAAAATGTTGCAGGTTGGCTGGGCACCATGGCTCACGCCTGTAATCCTAGTACTTTGGGAGGCTGAGGTGGGCAGATTGCTTGAGCCCAGGAGTTCAAAACCAGCTTGGGCAACATGGCAAAACCCCATCTCTACAGAAAATACAAAAATTAGCTGGGCATGGTGGCACATGCCTGTTGTCTCAGCTACTCGGGAAGCTGAGGTGGGAGGGACACTTGAGCCCAGGAGGGAGAGGTTGCAGTGAGCCAAGATCACACCACTGCACTCCAGCCTGAGCGACAGAACGAGACTCTGTCTCAAAAAAAAAAAAAAAAAAAAAAAAAAAAAGGGCCGGGCATGGCTCATGCTTGTAATCCCAGCACTTTGGGAGGCCAAGGCAGGCAGATCACCTGAGGTCAGGAGTTCCAGACCAGCCTGACCGACATGGGGAAACCCCATCTCTACTAAAAATAGAAAAATTAGCTAAGCATGGTGACACATACCTGTAGTCCCAGCTACTTGAGAGACTGAAGCAGGAGAATCACTTGAACCTGGGAGATGGAGGCTGCAGTGAGCTGAGATCATGCCACTGCACTCCAGCCTGGGCGACAGAGCGAGACTGTCTCAAAAAAAAAAAAAAAAAAAAAAAGGCCGGGCGCAGTGGCTTACGCTTGTAATCCCAGCACTTTAGGAGGCAGAGGCGGGTGGATCACGAAGTCGGGAGATCAAGACCATCCTGGCTAACATGGTGAAACCCCGTCTCTACTAAAAATACAAAAAATTAACCAGCGTGGTGGCGGGCGCCTGTAGTTCCAGCTACTTGGGAGCTGAGGCAGGAGAATGGAGTGAACCCGGGAGGCAGAGCTTGCAGTGAGCTGAGATTGTGCCACTGCACTCCAGCCTGGGCGACAGAGCGAGACTCCGTCTCAAGAAAAAAAAAAAAATGTTGCAGATTAACAACTACTTATGGCCCCAAGCAGCATCTGAGATATCCTTCTACCGAGGCAGTCTCCTCCTCTGCAATTCAGAGAACCCCCAGAGATAGTACTGCTGGAAATACTACCCTTTGGATTCAGATTAACTTTTTTTTTTTTTTCTTGAGACAGAGTCTCACTCTGTCAACCAGGCTGGAGTGTGGTGGCACGATCTTGGCTCACTGCAACCTCTGCCTCCCAGGTTCAAGCGATCCCCCTGCCTCAGACTCCCAAGTAGCTGGGACTACAAGTGTGCGCCACCACTCCCAGCTAATTTTTGTCTTTTTATTAGAGATGGGGTTTCACCATGTTGGCCAGGCTGGTCTCGAACTCCTGACCTCAACCAAAGTGCTGGGATTACAGGCATGAGCCACCATGTCTGGCCTCAGATTAACTTTTTAAATTTTTATTTAAAATTTTTTCTGTCATTATAGATGAGGGCTTCCTATGTTGCCCAGGCTGGTCTCGAACGCTTCACCTCGCCTCCTTATGAGCCAGGACATCAGGACTGAGCCACCGTGCCTCCCTAAAATTTTATTTTAAATAGGGAGTCTTGCTATGTTACCCAAGCTGGTCTCGAATCCCTGGCCTCAAGCAATCTTCCCACCTCAGCATCCTCAAATGCTGACATCACAGGCACGAACCACTGTGCCGTACCGGATTAATTTAAGACATACTGCAAAAACATACATGCTCACAGCTACCTGAATTCATTCTTTTACTGTAGAAAATTTGTTTAAGTATCTTTTGGCAACATTTTTGTAGGCAGTCTATATATTTATAATCTTTAAATTCTGGGGTGGGGTAGGGGAGAGATAATCATTTGTTCAACCCTGACCATGAGCCAGACTCCATGCTAAGTATCTCACAGCCACAACAACCCTATGATGTGGCTATTACCATCCCTATTACTCAGTTACAGAAATGGAGGCAAATGGGGTTTATGTAACTTGCCCAAGGTCACACAGCTGGCTGTGAGACAGCAAGGATTTGAGTGAAGACTCTGGCTCCACAGGCTCTTTCCTTTATGAACACACAGGCGTCAGCTATTAGAATATCAGAAGTTACAAACAAGGAAAAAACAAACAGCAAAAACCAGAACTGAGGGTCAGGTGAATGTTAAGCAGACAGGCAGGTCCCTGGTCAGCGCTCTGGAACCCTGTTTATGAGACTGCCATGCACACTGGATATGATGGTGGTGTTCTGGAGTGTGAAGTCAGGGTCCTAGGGTCCTTCTGACCCACTTTGGAAAGCAAGGTTCTATGAGGTCAAAGACTGGGAAAGCCCTAAAGTTCTCATCTGTTCCTAATGCACAACAGATCCACACACAAGGAATAGGCTGGAGACCTTCCTAGGACATGGCTCTTGGGAACCTGGTGAGCTGTTCCCACACCTTTGCCATCTGGTCAACTGAGGCTGACGGCGACTAGGGCTGAAGGTCTAGGGGTATCTTATTTTACAATCAAGGGATCTGAAGAAAGAGAGTTTGTCAGAACAGGACAGTAACTGCCAGGCTTCTAGGGTAGGAGATAATCTCCAGGCGTAAGGCCATTTTATTTCCAGGAGCTTTGAGCAGAGGCTGCTGGGCAGACACAGAATGTCTAAGATAAGAGATCTTTCTTATCTTTCTCCGGTTTGGGCACGCACCCATTTAAATGCCTCAGAGTTCTAACTCAAGAAAGGAGAGAATGAATACTAACTCAAACCTCAAACCAACATGAGTGTCACAACAAAAGTTAAACTGAGACATCTTCATGTCATGGGTGTGAGGCTAGGCATTAACAAAAGAATCCTGAAGTAATAATTTTGGGGAATGCAAGGGGATAAATCCCAAACCCAGAACTCTGCCAGGCAGAAACACTATAGGTTGCTTAACTGCTAGAAACCAAGAACACTAGCTTTATCTATGTCCTGGGGCTGGACAAAGGCAGGCATGTAGCAGGCCTGCTGAGGCAAGAAAACACACACCTCTCCTGCTTCTGGGCAGGACAAGGCGTTTTACAAGTCACAGAGCTTATCTCTTCCACAAGGTATCTATAAAAACCCATGGTGCTTTCCTACTACTGAGTCTTTCAGGAAAGAGAGTTAGGTAAACGGTTCTTAACTGCAGTATGTAATCCTTTGCTAAACATCAAATCATGTATTTCAGAGAGGGAAGATTCCAACAGATGGTGACATCTCATATTTTACACAGTGACGTTAGGTAACTCGTTCAAGGACACACACCTAATAGGCAGTGCAGCCAGAATCTCAACCAGGTCTGTATGACTCCAAAATGGCTTGGACACATATGCAGATAGGATTTTGATATTAATCGTCACTTCCCCCTTACTTGTGACCTGATATTTACAGTTGCATCCAGTCCACCCAGGATGTGCTGTGGGGATAACAAAGATGTACTGTTGGATGAATCAGTCTTGCCCTGGAGGATTTATTTAGTTAGTTACACAGAAACAAACATACGCACTCTATGATAAACATGGTGAGGCGAGGGACAAACACAGTCACACAAGAGGAGCTCAAAGAAGAGATGCTGGATGATCCTCTCAGCTTCCAGTAAAAAAAAAAAAAAGAAAGAAAAAAGAAAACAAAGAAGGGATGCTGTTGAGGGACAGAATGGCCAAAGAAGGTTTTTGTTTTCAAAGAAAATTTTATCAAGAGCTGAACACAGTGGTTCCCCAACACTTCAGGAGGCTGATGTGGGATGATCACTTGAGGCCAGGATTTCAAGACCAGCCTGAGCAACATAGGGAGACCCTGTTTCTACAAAAATTAAGAAATTAGCCAGGCATGGCGGCGTACACCTTGTAGGTTCAGCTACTCAGTAGGCTGAGGCAGGAGGATCACTTGAGCCCAAGAAGTTGAGGTTGTAGTGAGCTGTGATTATACCACTGCACTCTAGCCTGGGTATCAGAGTGAGACCTTTTCTCTTGAAAAACAAACGAGGCCAAGCGCAATGGCTCAAGCCTGTAATCTCAGCACTTTGGGAGGCTGAGGCAGGTGGATCACGAGGTCAGGAGATCAAGACCATCCTGGCTAACACGGTGAAACCCCGTCTCTACTAAAAAATACAAAAAATTAGCCGGGCGTGGTGGCAGGCACCTGTAGTCCCAGCTACTTGGGAGGCTGAGGCAGGAGAATGGCATGAACCCGGGAGGTGGAGCTTTCAGTGAGCCGAGATCACACCACTGCACTCCAGCCTGGGGGACAGAGCGAGACTCTGTCTCAAAAAAAAAAAAAAACTGGCCGGGCGCGGTGGCTCACGCCTGTAATCCCAGCACTTTGGGAGGCCGAGGCGGGTGGATCATGAGGTCAGGAGATCGAGACCATCCTGGCTAACAAGGTGAAACCCCGTCTCTACTAAAAATACAAAAAAAAATTAGCCGGGCGCGGTGGCGGGCGCCTGTAGTCACAGCTACTGGGGAGGCTGAGGCAGGAGAATGGCGTTGAACCCGGGAAGCGGAGCTTGCAGTGAGCCGAGATTGCGCCACTGCAGTCCGCAGTCCAGCCTGGGCGACAGAGCGAGACTCCGTCTCAAAAAAAAAAAAAAAAAAAAAAAAACAAAAAACTAATGCCAGGCGCAATGGCTCAAGCACTTTAGGAAGCCAAGGTGGGTGGAACATCTGAGATCAGGAGTTCAAGACCAGCCTGGCAAACATGGCAAAACCAGCCTCTACTAAAAATATAAAAATTAGCCGGGCATGGTGGCACATGCCTGTAAACTCAGCTACTTGGGAGGCTGAGGCAGGAGAACGAATCGCTTGAACCCAGGAGGCGGAGGTTGCAGTGAGCCGAGATCATGCCAATGCATGTCAGCCTGGGCAACAGAGCAAGAATTCGTCTCAAAAAGCAAACAAACTAAAAAACCCCAAAGAGATGGATACTGAAATAATACGTAGGGTTTCAGTGGATAAAATGAGCACACTACGCAGAGCAGAGCATGAATAAAAGTATGGAAACAAGGACGCATGGGGCATACGTCCAAAGGCAGAAAAAGATGACGCAAAGATTAGTTGGGGGTAGAATGTCAAGGCCCTACACATGTACACATCTAATGAGTGAGTATCTTTGACCAGCACAGTTTTTCTTTCTGATGATTACAGTAGCAGCATGAATATCAAATATAGGAATTTCTATTTTAGTGGAGTATTTTAGGCCCTCATTTTGCTTGTTTGATATTTACTACTAAAATATGGTCAATCTTGGAGTTGATTTTGTTTTATTGCAGAGGTTGGGGGAGGTGGAAGGAAGATACAGATGAGAACTTTGGGGCTTTCCCAGTCATTGACCTCAACCTCACAGAATCCTGCTCTCGGTCTCCAAAGTGGGCCAGAAAGAGTCCTAGGTTCCTGACTCCACCCCATGTCATTGGTGCAGCCTCAGTCTTTTATTTTTTTTGAGAGACAGGGTCTCATTATGTTGCCCTGGCTGGGGTGCAGTGGCTACTTACAGGGGCCATCATAATACACTGCAGCCTCAAAATCCTGGGTTCAAGTGAGCCTCCCACCTCAGGCTCCTGAGTAACTGGGACTACAGGCATGTGCCACTGCACCCAGCTTTAAATGGAAAGAAATAAAAGTAGCAGAAGCTGAAACTGGTTTGCAACAGCTTCCTAAGGTTTCTGCCTCTTGCCTCCCCACCCCCCAAACAAGAAAATCATTTTGTTGTTGACAATCACTGCAGAAATATTTATTACTTTCGTAGGCTGCACAACAATTCGCTGCCATCTCCAGAATGTGCAGGGGTCTCTGAAACTCAACACTGTCAGTGGGCCTTCACCAATAGTTAATGGGCTCTCACTGGATCTGCAACTTGAGCTTCATCAAGTACAAAGTAGCCTTGTTTGTTTTCATATCAAAATGCTAGGTTCGTGTTTTTCCTACCCTGGAAACAGTTTAACCCCAACCATACTGGCAAGTAGCCAAGAATTACATGAAAATCAGCAGGCTGCAGCTCATAGCTATCTCCAGATACATTTCATGCCTCCTCACAATTGCTCTCCAAACCAAAGATCGGAATAAGAACAAAAGGAGGGATGTAGATCACACCAACTACATGAAACACACTCAGATGAAATTTGTTTTTTGCTTTTTTTTTTTTTGAGACAGAGTCTCGCTCTGTCGCTCAGGCTGGAGTGCAGAGGCGCAATCTCGGCTCACTGCAACCTCCGCCTCCTGAGTTCAAGCAATTCTCCTGCTCAGCCTCCCAAGTAGCTAGGACTACAGGCTCGTGCCACCATGCCCAGCTAATTTTTGTATTTTCAATAGAGACATGGTTTCACCATGTTGGCCAGGCCGGCTTTTTGTTTTTGAGACAGGATCTTGCTCTGTCACCCAAGCTGGACTGCAGTGGTGCGATCATGGCTCACTGTAGCCTCCAACCTCGCAGGCACAAGCAATCCTCCCACCTCAGCCTCCCAAGTAGCTGAGACTACAGGCGTTTACTACAATGCCCAACTTATTTTTTTTCCTTTTTTTTTTTTTTTTTTTTTGAGACAGAGTTTCGCTCTTGTTGCCCAGGCTGGAGTGCAATGGTGCGATCTCAGCTAACTGCAACCTCCGCCTCCCGGGTTCAAGAAATTCTCCTACCTCAGCTTCCTGAGTAGCTGAGATTACAGGCATGCGCACCATGCCCAGCTAATTTTTGTATTTTTAGTAGAGATGGGGTTTTTCCATGTTGGTCAGGCTGGTCTCAAACTCCCGACCTGAGGTGATCCGCCTGCCTCGGCCTCCCAAAGTGCTGGGATTACAGATGTGAGCCACTGCACCTGGCCCTGGCTAATTTTTTTTAATCTTTATAGAGGCAGGGTCTTCCTATGTTGCCAAGGCTGGTCTCGAACTCCTAGGTTCAAGTGATCCTCCTGCCTCGGCCAGATGTAATTTGGAAAGAGAACCATTAGGAAAATTAAGCTTCCAGGTCTCCACCAATCTGATTTCATCTTTCACTGTTATTTAAACTTTGGGTGAGATAAAGAGAGACATGGTCTATATTAAGTGGGAATGTGGGTACAATGGTGGCTGACCCAAGAAAAAGGCTAACAGCAAGGTCATTTTATGACAGACATCTCAACTCTCTCTGAGTCCTTAGAAGCAGTTCTGGGTGCTCTAAGCATTCTCACTGTCCAGAAAGCAATCATCTTGGTTGTGCTTTTATAGGAAAATCCACTCACTTCTTACATGCAACTCATAAACTCAACAAAGCCATTTCACACTTTATGTTTTAGATATTTCTTCTCAGCCCTACCTTCTCCTCTAAAGTAAGCAACTTAGGGGTAAGATGTGAAACGTTCACTTCCATATCCCTCACAGGACCAAGCACGATGCCTTGCACAAAGCAGGCCCTCAAGAAAAGATCGTCACATGAATGAAGAGATAAAGACGTGACTAAAGAGAGGATCCTGGCTGGGTGTGGTGGCACATGCCTGTAATGCCAGCACTTTGGGAGGCCAAGGAGGGTGGATCACTTGAGCCCAGGAGTTCGAGACCAGTCTGGCAACATGGCAAAACTCCATCTCCACAAAAAAAATACAAAAATTAGTCGGGCGTGATGGCACATGACTGTAGTCCTAGTTGCTGGGGAGGGTGAGGTAGGAGGATCAACTGAGTGTCCAGGGAGGTTGAGGCTGCAGTGAGCTGTGATCACACCACTGCACTCCAGCCTGTGCAAGATCCTGTCTGGAAAAAAAAAGGATCATAAAAATGAAGCTAAAATATAGCTGAATCCCTAAACATTAGTGCTGGTAACACCTGCCTGGTCATAGAAACCTGACAAACAGCTAAGAGGTCAGAAGAGCACCTGCATGTTCTCCAAGCTCATGAAGTCTGATGCGGCAAAGCCTCCGTGTGTCTCATTATCTGTACATCTCTCATTTCTCAGCTGAGGAATTTAAAGCACTTCAATCATCTCAAAAGCAAAATTCCCTTTCTCAAAGCAGAGCTGGGCCATGGTCTAACTCCCTAGCAATCGTTTTTGGATTTGGAGAAATAGAAGGAAGCTGCTCCTGGTTTTGTCTCTAGGTCATGAGATACCTCCATTAGCAACACCTGGAAGTTGTCTCTTTTGCATAAAGAATTGTGAAAGTTAATAAGGTCTGGCTGGAAGCACAGCTCATGGCACCGTGCCTTTCCTCATTTCCTGGATCTTACATAAATCAAATATTATGTCCTCTCTCCTTAGGCTATTTGGTAACCAAATCTACTCCAGGTCTAAGATTTCATGGTTAAAAACACCAGAAGAAAACATTAGGACAATTTATCCCTCCAATAAGTTGTAGAGGGTGGGGAAGCTCCTGGAACAAATATGTCCACACCCCAAGTAAAATGATGACTAAAGGTGGTGAAACCAGAGAGGGCATCATACCAGATGCAGGGGACGCTGAACCCTTTGTCATATAATGGCCGCCCACAGCCAGGCCTGAAACCCTGCACTTCCAGGCCACAGAGAGTGAGGTGACACAGGATGACAGCAGCAAGTAAACCTACTTCAAAAACACCTTCATCCAGAGTCTAAATCATGAGGAAAGCACTGGACCAAAGCAGAAGAAATGGTCAGACGTGCCTAAAGCTTAGGGGGAAAGTACCTCTGAGAAAGCATCCATGCCCCATCACAGCACAGCCATTGGCCCTCCCAGAAAAGCTAATGTTGTTGTTCTTATTTGAGAGACTCAAGAAACAAAGCTTTTCCAAGGCCTTGGACTGTGCTCAAAATTGCAGAAAAGGTGGACCTCACCAGTGAGAGGCACCATAAGTCATCATCCTTCTTCTTGCAGAGAACTCAGGGTTTTAAGGAAGCTCAGCAAACTTCAAGAAAATACAGAGAAGGCCGGGCGTGGTGGCTCACACCTGTAATCTCAGCATTTTGGGAGGCCGAGGCAGGCGGATCACCTGAGGTCAGGAGTTTGAGACCGACCTCGCCAACATGGTGAAACCATGTCTTTACCAAAAATACGAAAATTAGCCGGGCGTGGTGGCGCACACCTATAGTCCCAGCTACTTGGGAGGCTGAGGCATGAGAATTGCTGGAATCTGGGAGGCAGAGGTTGCAGTGAGTCGAGATCGCGCCACTGCACTCCAGCCTGGATGACAGAGCGAGACTCTGTCTCAAAAAAACAGAAAGAAAATTCAACAAAATCAGAATTCAAGGTTGATAAACAACTTACCCATCCATTTTAGCTGCTCCTTCTATCAGCTGGAATACAGCTGGTAACAGGATATTGCTATCCCTGCTTCCCAGATGAATATACTGGAGGTCTGAAAATGTAAAGTGACCTTGGATTGGACTAAGGGTTTCTGGCTGAAGGGACAGAGGTCTTCCCATGGGACTCCAGTGAAGAATGCCCAGGGGGAGACTTTCCTTTAAACTAAATTGTTCCAGGTCTCTTGCATTCCAGACCTGGCCATGCTAGCACCTAGTCTCATTACTCTGGGCGAATGACTTAATCTCTCTGAGCCTTCCTTACTTCTATCAGCAGTGCACAGAGACCCCTCCCAGGCCAGCCATTTCTGTGATAAGAGGCCCATGTAATCAAAGTCTACCATCTCGTTTGTGGAGTCACAATGTATAAGCTTACGGTTAAGCCTCGGAACAGTCACACAGTTGAGTCTGCTCAACCCCAAATCTCCTATATTTTGAGCAGCACAGACTCTCTAACTGAACATCTGTTCACAGTATCGTTATCTCTCCAGTGTCTTTCAGTCTCCAAATTCTTTTTTTTTTTTTTTTTTTTGAGACAAAAGTTTCACTCTGTCACCCAGGCTGGAGTGCAATGGTGCGATGATCTCAGCTCACTGCAGCCTCTGCCTCCCAGTCTCAAGTGATCCTCCCACCTCAGCTTCCGAAGTAGCTGGGACAACAGGCATGAGCCACACCACCCAGCTAATTTTTGTATTTTTGTAGAGACAGGGTTTGACCATCTTGCCCAGGCTGGTCTCAAACTCCTGGGCTCAAGTGATCCTTCCACCTTGGCCACCCAAAGCACTGGGATTACAAGCGTGAGCCACTGCACCCAGCCTCAGTCTCTAAATTCTATGTTCCATTTCTCCCTCAGCAGCCTTGCTCACCTGCCCTGAAACCCCCAGTACTGTACCGGAAGGGTAGGCATAGTCAGCCAAACACAGGATAGGGACCAACAGCTTGCATCCCCGAAGAGCTGGAAGAGGAGAAGATATGCTGGCAGGGTCTCTTCATTTTTCCACGTTTCTCTGAACATTTATGCAATCTCAGATAAGAGTAGGATTTTCCCCAAAATTCTCTCTTCACTAAAAATTGAGGGCAAACGTCGTAAGTTAATCTTTCACTTTATCCACTAAGCAAAGGTTGGAAATGGATGTGTGTGTCAAAGAAAATGAAAGACCAAGTTTTGCAGGGTGGAAGAAAGGTTATGGTTAAAACGCCACTACTAGACCTGTTCAAGTAAGACTGAGAATGCTGGGATTGGAAGAGCACTTTTGATTCTCATGGGATTAAGGGTACTGTTGGGAGTAACATTTTTTCAAGTAGAGGAACTTCCTGAGGGCTAATTACTTAAGAAAACTGAAGAACTGTCATAATTAGCTGAATTTTGTAGTAATATTTTTATTCTTAGATCTTATTTAAATTCTCAAGTGCAAGATCCTATCCTACAACATTAAGGGATTATTGTCAAGTTTTCTGGGTATGCTATGGGATGACTAATGTTGAGGAACATTGTTATCTTTCAGAGATTCATTTTTTATTTATTTTTACTTCTTCATTTTTTGAGACAGGGTCACCCAGGCTGGAGTGGTGCGACCACTAAAAGATGGCCAGCTGTAGCGGCTCCTGTCTGTAATCTTAGCACTTTGGGAAGCTGAGGTGGGAAGAATGCTTGAGGCCAGGAGTTCTAGACCAACGTAAGCAACATAGGGAGACTCCGCCTCTATAAAAAAATTGTTTTAAAAATTAGCTAGATGTGGTGGCACACACTTGCAGTCCCAGCTACTGGAGAGGTTAAGGTAGGGGGATTGCTTGAGCTCAGGAGTTTGAGGCTACAGTGAGCTGTGATCACGCCACTGCACTCCAGCCTGGGCAACAGCAAGACACTGTCCCTAAAAAATTAAACATTAAAGGCCTGGCACAGTGGCTCACACTTATAATCCCAGCACTTTCGGAGGCCGAGGTGGGTGGATCACCTGAAATCTGGAGTTCGAGACAAGCCTGGCCAACATGGTGAAACCCCATCTCTACTAAAAATACAAAAAATTAGGCCGAGGTGGGTGTATCACGAGATCAGGAAATTGAGACCATCCTGGCTAACACAGTTAAACCCTGTCTCCACTAAAAATACAAAAAATTAGCTGGGCATGGTGGAAGGTGCCTGTAATCCCAGCTACTCAGAAGGCTGAGGCAGGAGACTCACTTGAACCTGGGAGGCGGAGGTTGCAATGAGCCAAGATTGTACCATTGCACTCCAGCCTGGGCAACAAGAGTGAAACTCCGTCTCAAAAAAAGAAAAAATTAAACATAAAAAAATTTAAGGCTGAGTGTAGTGGCTCACGCCTGTAATCCCAGCACTTTGGGAGGCCGAGGCAGGCAGATTGCCTGAGGTCAGGAGTTCCAGACCAGCCTGATCAACACAGGAAAACCCCATCTCTACTAAAAATACAAAAATTAGCCAGGCATGGTGGTAGGTGCCTGTAATCCCAGCTACTTGAGAGGCTGAGGCAGGAGAATCACTGGAACCCAGGAGGTAGAGGCTGCAGTGAGCCAAGATCGCGCCACTGCACTCCAGCCTGGGCAGCAGAGTGAGACTCCGTCTCAAAAAAAAGAAAAGAAAAGAAAAAAAAAAAAAAAAACAGCCTGGCCAACATGGTGAAACCCTGTCTCTACCAAAAAACACAAAAAATTAAAAAATAAAAAAAAATTAGCCAGGTGTGGTGGCACACACTTGTATTCCCAGCTACTAAGGAAGCTGAGGAAGGAGAATCACTTGAACTCGGGAGGCAGAGGTTGCAATGAGCCGAGATTGTGCCACTGCACTCCAGCCCAGATGACAGAGACTCCATCTCAAAAAAAAGTGGGGGCAAAACAGAACGGGAGAAAACATTTGCAATTTATATATTGGATAAAAGATTCATATAGATGTCCTAACTGTGTGACTGTTCAGAAGCTGAACTGTAAGCATATGCACTAAGACTCCCCAAACGAGCGGGGAGCCTTCTCTGACCACATGGGCCTCTTATCACAGAATGGCTGGCCTCAGAGCAGTCTCTGGGCAATGCTGATGGAAATAAGGAAGACTCGGCCAGGCACGGTGGCTCACGCCTGTAATCCCAGCACTTTTGGAGGCTGAGGCAGGCGATCACCTGAGCTCAGGAGTTCGAGACTAGCCTGACCAACATAGAGAAACCCCGTCTCTACTAACAATACAAAATTAGCAGGGCGTGGTGGTGCATGCCCGTAATCCCAGCTACTCGGAAGGCTGAGGCAGGAGAATCGCTTGAACCCGGGAGGCGGAGGTTGAGTTGAGCCAAGATCGTGCCATTGCACTCCAGCCTGGGCTACAAGAGCAAAACTCCACCTCAAAAAAAAAAAAAAAAAGAAAGAAAGAAAGAAAGAAAGAAACAAGGAAGGCTCAGAGAGGTTAAGTGGCCCAGGGTCACAAGACTAGGCAGGAACATAGCCAGGTCTGGAAATGCCAGAGCCCTGACCGAGCCCAGTTTAAAAGAAAATCTCACCCTGGGCATCACTCACTGGGAAGAGCTCTGGCCCCCGAGTCAGATAAGGGTAAATGGACAAAGGATTGAATAGAAATTTCTCCAAGGAAGATACACAAATGGCCAATAAGAACAGGAAAAATATTTGATATTACTAGTCATTAGGGAAATGCAAATCAAAATCACAATGAGAAACTACTTCACACCCACTAGCATGGCTGTAATTAAAAAGGCAGACCATAACAAGTGTTGGAGAAATTGAAACTCTCATACATTGCTGGTGGGGGTGTAAAATGGTGCAGCTGCTTCAGAAAAGTCTGGAAGTCTCTCAAAAAGTTAAACATAGCATTACCAAATAACCCAGCAATTCCACTACTAGGTATATACCCAAGATAATTAAAAACAAGTCCACATAAAAACTTGTACATCAAGTCAGGCAGAGTGGCATGTGCCTGTAGTTGCAGCTACTCAGGAGGCTGAGGCAGGAGGATTCGCTTGAGCCTGGGAGTTGGAGGCTGTAGTGAGCTATGATCTTTCCTGTGAATAGCTTACTCCCCAGCCTGGGCAATATAGTAAGACCCCCATCTCTACAACAAACAAACAAAAAAACTTGTACACCAACGTTCACAGCAGCATTATTCATAATAGTCCCAAACTGGAAACAGCTCAAATGTTCATCAATTGATGAATAAATAAAATGGAGTATATCTATAAAATGGAGTATTAATTTGTAGGCAAAGAGTACCCAGGTGCCAAGGCAAGAGACTGAAGGCACAAACTATTTCAGTATAATAAAGAAAACAGAATAAGAATAGTCATAATACAAATTAGATACAGAGATGATCATGGACAATTATCAATCATTATTATAAACATTATTAATCATTAGCTTTTAATGTTACTTTTTGTTGCATTACTAATATAACCTAGGAATAACCGGCAGGTATAGGGTCAGGTGCTGAAGGGACATTGTGAGAAGTGACCTAGAAGGCAAGAGGTGAGCCTTCTGTCATGCCCGCATAAGGGCCGCTTGAGGGCTCCTTGGTCAAGCGGTAACGCCAGTGTCTGGGAAGGCACCCGTTACTTAGCAGACCGCGAAAGGGAGTCTCCTTTCCTTGGAGGAGTCAGGGAACACTCTGCTCCACCAGCTTCTTGTGGAAGGCTGGATATTATCCAGGCCTGCCCACAGTCATCCGGAGTCCTAAACCCCTCCCTGTGGTGCTGTGCTTCAGTGGTCACGCTCCTTGTCCACTTTCATGCTCCTCCCGTACTCCTGGTTCCTCTTTGAAGTTCGTAGTAGATAGCGGTAGAAGAAATAGTGAAAGTCTTAAAGTCTTTGATCTTTTCTTTGTAAGTGCAGAGAAGAAAACGCTGACGTATGCTGCCTTCTCTCTCTGCTCTGGCTACCTAAAAGGAAGGGCCCCCTATCCTGTAAGCACGTGACCTGCTTCACCTTGTCAACCACTTAGAAGACTGACCCTCCTTACCCTGCCCCCTTGTCTTGTATGCAATAAATCTCAGCAAGCCCAGCTGCTCGGGGCCACTACCGGTCTCTGCATCTTGATGGTAGTGGTCCCCCAGGCCCAGCTGCTTTCTCTTTATCTCTTTGTCTTGTGTCTTTATTTATTACAATCTCTCGTCTCCGCACACAGGGAGAACACCCGCTAAGCCCCATAGGGCTGGACCTACATTAATTGACCATAAAAAGGTATGAAGTATTGATACATGCTACAACATGGATGAACCTTGAAAACATGCTAAGTAAAGAAAACCAGTCATAAAAGACCACATGGTGTATGGTTCCATTCATATGAAATGTCCAGAATAGATAAATCCATAAAAACAGGAAGTAGATGAGTGGTTGCCAGGGACTGGAGGGAAGAAAATAAGGGGAATGAATGCTAATGGCTATAAGGCTTCTTTTTGGAGTGATGAAAATAGTCTAAAATTAAGATAGCGGTGATGGTGGCTCACCTTGTGGATATATTAAAAACCACTTAATTAATACCCTTGAAAATGGTGAATGTTATGGTCTGTGAATTAGATCTTAATAAAACTGTTACTAAAAAAAAAAAGGGCTGTGCATGGTGGCTCACGCCTGTAATCCCAGTACTTTGGGAGGCCGAGGCGGGTGGATCACATGAGGTCAGGAGTTCGAGACCAGTCTGGCCAACATGGGGAAACCCCGTCTCTACTAAAAATACAAAAATTAGCCAGGCGTGGTAGCGGGCGCCTGTAGTCCAGCTACTCAGGAGGCTGAGGCAGGGGAATTGCCTGAACCTGGGAAGCGGAGGTTACAGTGAGCCGAGATCGTGCCATTGCACTTCAGCCTGGGTGACAGAGTGAGACTCTGTCTCAAAAAAAAAAAAAAAAGGGGGGGGGGGAGGGCAGGTACAGTGGCTCATGCTGTAATCCCAGCACTTTGGGAGGCCGAGGCAGGAGGATCACTGGAGGTCAGGAGTTCAAGACCAGCTTGGTCAACACAGTGAAACCCAGTCTGTACTAAAAATACAAATATTAGCTGGGCATAATGGTGCACGCCTATAGTCCCAGCTACTAAGGAGGCTAAGGTGGGATGATCGCTAGAACTCAGGAGGTCAGGCTGCCATGAACTATGATCATGCCACTGCACTCCAGCCTGGGTGACACAGGGAGAGCTTGTATCAACAAAAAAAAAAAAAAAAAAAAAAAGGCTCAGAAACCATCTTCCCCTGAGAACAGGAAGTGCCAAATGGAGGTTGGGGACAGAAGTTAAGGATCCCCCTCACTGCAGCACAGTACTGTGTATGAGAGCAGACAGAGCCACATGTGGTCTAGCCCTGTGGTCAAGATGGGTGACGACCCCCATACTTGACAAACAGTGCCCATCCGCCTTGGCGGTGACCCCATCACTCTTCTCACTCAAGGGCACGATGATGTGCAAACAAGAATAATAGTATCGCTGGGTGCGGTGACTTGTGCCTGTAATCCCAGCTACTTGGGATGCTGAGGCAGAAGCACTTGAGGCCAGGAATTCAAGACCAGCCTGGGGAACATAGCAAGACCCTGTCTCTATAAAAAATTTAAAAATTGGGCTGGGTGTGGTGGCTCACATCTGTAATCCCAGCACTTTGAGAGGCTAAGATGGATGGATCATTGAGGACAGGAGTTTGAGACCAGCCTGACCAACATGGCAAAACCTTGTCTCTATTAAAAACACAAAAAAATTAGCTAGGTGTGGTGGCAAACGTTGGTAATCCCAGCTACTCATGGGGCTGAGGCCCGAGAATTGTTTAAACCCAGGAGGCAGAGACTGCAGTGAATTGAGATTGTGCCACTGCACTCCAGCCTGGGCAACAGATCGAGACTCTGTCTCAAAGATACAGAGACTCGCTCTGTTGCCCAGGCTGGTCTCGAACTCCTGGGCTCAAGCGATCTGCCCACCTCAGTCTCCCAAAGTACTGGGATTACAGGCGTGAGCCAGTGGACCCGGCCTGCAGATCCTATTGATGCGAATGTAAACTGATACAACCATACCGGAGAACAACGTGGCACTATCTACTCCAGCCTTTAAATGTGCATACCCTATAACCACACAATCCTCAGTTCCACTTTTAGGAATCTAGCACAATTGCAAAAAGAAATAAGTACAACAATGTTCAACGTAGCACTGTGTGAAATGGCAAAAACTCCATTAACAATGGAGAAGTGTTTAAATAAATCACGGTATAAAGCAACAGAATACAGGTATTTTAAGAAATCAGAGGAGTATCTACAATATGGAAATTAGTCCACAGTATATTAAGGTTAAAAAAAAATGCATCTTGTGAAATGCTACATTACAAATGATCCCTTCCCCCCACCACCCCCCTGAGACAGAGTCTTGCTCTGTCACCCAGGCTGGAGTATGGAGGCACGATCTTGGCTCACTGCAACCTCTGCTTCCCGGGTTCAAGTGATTCTCCTGCCTCAGCCTCTTCAGTAGCTAGGACTACAGCCATGCGCCACCATGCCTGGCTAACTTTTGTACTTTTAGTAGAGACGAGGTTTCACATGTTGGCCAGGCTGGTCTCGAACTCCTGACCTCGTGATCCACCCGCCTTGGCCTCCCAAAGTGCTGGGATTACAGGCATGAGCCACCACGCACGGCCACATTTTTGTTTTTAAAACAAATAAAGAACCCTACCCATACCAAACAATGTTATGGTTCTCTATATATAGACTATATATAGATATATGGTTGTCTATATCTAGCCACTGCACTCTAGCCTGAGCCATAGGCCATCTTGGCTCGCTGCAAGCTCTGCCTCCCGGGTTCATGCCATTCTCCTGCCTCAGCCTCCCGAGTAGCTGGGACTACAGGCACCCACCACCACGCCCGGCTAATTTTTTGTATTTTTAGTAGAGACGGGGTTTCACCATGTTAGCCAGGATGGTCTCGATCTCCTGACCTCGTGATCCACCTGCCTTGGCCTCCCAAAGTGCTGGAATTACAGGCATGAGCCACCGCGCCCGGCCAACATTTTAAAATCTATTATTTAACATTGTTATGAGCACGTGTTGTTTTTGTGTCATTTAAAAAGAATGTAGGCTGGGCACAGTGGCTCACACCTGTAATCCCAGCACTCTGGGAGGCCAAGACAGGCAGATCACTTGAGCTCAGGAGTTCAAGACCAGCCTGGCCAACATGGTGAAATCCCGATCTCTAATAAAAATACAAAAATTAGCCAGGCATAGTAGTGTGTGCCTGTAATCCCAGGTACTCAGGGAGCTGAGGCAGGAGAATCACTTGTACCCAGGAGGCGGAGGTTGCAGTAAGCCAAGATTGTACCACTGCACTCCAGCCTGGGCAATGGAGCAAAACTCCATCTCAAATAAAAAGTAATAGTCCTAGCTACTCAGGAGGCTAAGGCAGAAGGAACACTTGAGGCCAGGGATTCAAAGCTGCCGTGCACTATGACTATGCCTGGGAATCACCACTGTACTCCAACCTGGGCAACATAGCAAGACCCTACCTCTACAAAAAATAAAACAAGGCCAGGTGCGGTGGCTCACACCTGTAATCCCAGCACTTTGGGAAGCTGAGGCGGGTGGATCACAAGGTCAGGGGTTCAAGACCAGCCTGGCCAACATGGTGAAACCCGTCTCTAGTTAAAATACAAAAATTAGCTGGGCATGGTGGTGCGCACCTGTAATCCCAACTACTGGGGAGGCTGAGGCAGGAGAATGGCTTGAACCCAGGAGGCGGAGGTTGCAGTGAGCCAAGGTCGTGCCAATGCACTCCAGCCTGGGCGACAGAGCGAGACTTCATCTCAAAAAAAAAAGGTGAAAGGTATTTTAAAGCTGGGTGACAGACCAAGATTCCATCTCAAAAAATAAATAAATAAATAAATAAATAAATAAAACAAAATTAGCTGGACACTGTAGTGTGTGCCTGTAGTCCTAGCTACTTGGGAGGCAGAGGCAGGAGAATCGCTTTAGCCCAGGAGTTCGAAGCTGCAGTGAGCTATGATTGCGCCACTGTACTCCAGCCTGGGCAGCATAGCGAGACCCTGACGCTAAAAAACAAAAACAAAAAATGTAAAAAGGGGCCTGCCGCGGTGTCTCATGCCTGTAAGCCCAGCACTTTGGGAGGTCGAGGCAGGTGGATTACGTCAGGAGTTCGAGACCAGCCTGGCCAACATAGTGAAACCCCATCTCTTCTAAAATACAAAAATTAGCCAGGCATGGTGGCACATGCCTGTAGTCCCAGCCACTCGGGAGGCTGAGGCAGGAGAATCGCTTGAACCTGGGAGGCGGAGGTTGCAGTGAGCTGAGATCGCACCGCTGCACTCCAGCTTGGGCAACAGAGCAAGACTTCATCTCCAAAAAAAAGGTGAAAGGTATTTTAAAGCTCAAAGAAAAGCAGCAATCAGCTCTAAGGAAGAAAAATGGAAAGTCAGCCATAGTGCCAAATCATACTGGGGTAGGTTTTATGCTCCTTACCCCCTCCCAAATGTAGCAAAGGGATTTGCAAAACTTAAAGACAAATTATCCAGGGAAAAAGAAAGGAGTAAGCAGGATGAACTCACACTATTCAATTCTGTATTTAAGTTCCAAAGAGTTACAATATTCCAACATCCTGGTGTAGAAAGCCAAATAGTAATTTCTTCTCCCAAATGAACTACTAAGAGAGAAAAATATTTAAATCTGATCAATAAACTAAGCTGTGGTTTTTTCCCTTGTTGTTTCTGTGTTTGATGAAACTGTCAGGTGGAATTTTAAATGAGGAAAATAAATTAGGAAATGGCAAACCAAAAAGTAACATGTAGAATTTTGAAAAATACGAATATTTTCTCCATGAATGCATGCCTCTGATCTGAAAGAATGTGTAATAAAAGTGTTACAACATAACATTTGTCTTGCTAGATATTTAAAAATCAAAACAGACATGTTTTTGTAACTCTCCATTCTAGGACCCACCCTTCCAAGCCACAGATATTCTTGTAACATCTTACATTTATTTTTACCTCTTCCAAAAATGTTTAAGTTAAATTATTTTAAACACCTGAGATCTTGAATCAAAACTTAGCTTTGGCACTGTGAAGACGACAGCACCAGGAGCAGAAGAAAAACAACTCCTCTGATTTCCCACAGAAGAAAGTGTGGAAAGGAGAAAACCAAAAGTAAATAAATCAGAGCTATGGGAATGTAACTGAGTAAGCAAGCATATCCCAAAAACCCAGACCATGCAAGACGGGTGATCTGCAAGTCTGAGAGGATGACCTACTTAATCCCCAGATCAGGAAAGCTCAGAATTGTATCAACAAGCCTTAAAATTCAATAGGATGGGATTTGTTTCCCCCTTCTTGACCTCCCAGGTTGCAATGTTCTGGATTTACTTGTGTTTCTTTGTGGTTTCCACATAGCATGCAGTTTTCAGGCCAGACTTTGCTCCACCTAGTGGAACTGAAAAGGATGTTTCAAAAGGGAGGTGCCCACAGACCAGACCTCAGCCTGTCTACTGTATGCCACCAAGGAGAGAAGCCACCAAGACCCTCTGTTGCTGTAGCGTGTGCCTGTAGTCCTAGCTACTTGAGAGGCGGAGGCAGGATAATCCATCACTCAGTGGCTGCTCTTACTGGCTGTGCAGTTACAGTGGGATCAGCGGCCCCAGTGGTGTCCATGAATGGGGTAGTAGGAGCAAGGAACCAACCCAAGCCATTCTACCACCTGGAACCTGATGATCTCCCAAGTGTTAGTCCTAATAGCTGATGGCAGGAAAGCAAGAGGTCCTCTCAAGGGTATGGGTGGACAGGCATTCAAAAGACAGGTGAAGTTTTGAATCCAAAGCCATGCAAGATACCCATGACAACAACAAAGACCCGACGGCTCAAACATCCACAGATGAGCTGCCTCTTGGGGGCCTGAAAAGAGGACTCTCCTCAAGACACAGCCACCCTGAGGTCCAGGACACTTAGCTTCTCTTGTGACAGACCCTGAGAACACCTAATGATTTCCACAGGCTAAGCGTGCGTGAGAGCAAACCAACATTCCTGAGGCCGAAAATCAGAGTAGAGCCAGGACTTGGAATGGGGAAAGGAAAAAGTTCTAAGAACATGACTCAGTTCAGATTGGTTGCAGGACTATGGAGGACACAGAAAATAACTGACCATCAGGCTTTCACTGGGAGCAAAGCAAATCATGTTCTTAAAATAAAACCACAGAGCAGATCAAAGCAAGAGGAAAGAAAGTTCAAGATGGGGTAAATAAGGGAGGCTCACCTGCTTACTGAATCACAAATCAAAAAAACGTGTTTTCAAAATGTTTGATGTTGGCTGACAAGACAGAGCTGACTGACCACATACATCAACAAACCTGAAAGGCAGTGAGATTCGGCATATCAAAGCTTCAAGTCCCACCGAAAACTCGCTGTCCAAGGTTATTTCATACACTTCACAATGCTATGTTGTTCTTGCAAGAAAGCTGACCCCAAGCTCTGCAATAATGAACAGGACCTGGTAAGGCCACAGCAGGTCCCACTAAGCCAGGATTTCTCCACCTCGGGACCACTGACATTCTGGGCTGGAAAAGTCTTTGTCGTGGGGGGCTGTCCTGAGCATTCCAGGATGCTAAGCAGCATCCCTGGCCTCCACTCACTAGATACCAGTGGCACTCCCAAGCTGTGACAGTGACTAATGTCCTCTGGAAGGACAAAATTCTCCCCAAACCTAAATTCAGACATAGAACAGAATAAAGAAAGTCACTTGCAAAATCTCCAGATCTCAGTTCCTGAAGTTAGTCTGGGAGTTGACACTAACTTACAAACCATAATACACTCTGAGGACTGCCAACAGCAATAATGGTGATAATTATTATTATACTTATTAATCATTGAATATATTCCAAGAGCTTTACATATATTATGTCTTTTCACCTCATGACAACCCCATACTAGTACAATTCCCATTTTATAGATGAGGAAGCTGAGGCACAAAGAGGTTATGTAACTTGCTCAAGGACAGTATCAAATTTGGAACTCAGGTGGTCTGACCCCAGAGCTCATGACATGACCACTAGGTTTGACTGTACCAAATCCCTACTCTGGAAAGTTGTTAGATCAGTATCCTCCAATATGTAGTCACTATCTACATACAGCTATTTAGTTTAAATTATTTTAAGTAAATATCACATTGGCCAGGTGTGGTGGCTCACACCTGTAATCCCAACACTTTGAGAGGCCAAGGCGAGCAGATCGCTTGTGCCCAGGAGTTCAAGACCAGCCTGGCCAACGTGGTGAAACTCCATCTCTACAAAAAATACAAAAATTAACTGGGTGTGGGTGCGCACCTGTAGCTCCAGCTACTAGGAGGGCTGAGATAGGAGGTTTGCTTGAGGTGGAGATTGCAGTGAGCTGAGATTGCACCACTGCACTTCAGCCTGGGCAACAGAGGGAGATCGTGTCTCAAAAAAAAAAAAAGGAAAGAAAAAAGAAAACCTTGATTGGGCGCAGTGGCACACACCTGTAATCTCAGCACTTTGGGAGGCCAAGTCGGGCAGATCGCCTGAGGTCAGGAGTTCGAGAACAGCCTGGCCAACATGGCAAAACCCCATCTCTACTAAAAAATACAAAAGTTAGCTAGGCATGGTGGTGCATACCTGTAGTCCCAGCTACTCAGGAGGCTGAGACAGGAGAATCACTTGAACCCAGGAGGCAGAGGTTGCAGTGAGCCAAGATCACACCACTGCACTCCAGCCTGGGTGACAGAGTGAGACTCTGTCTCAAAAAAAGAAAGGAAAACCTTATGGTAAGTGAAATAAGCCACAAAAGACCACATAGTGTACCATTCACTTTATATGAAATGTCTAGAACAGGCAAATCCATAGGAATGGCAAGTAGATCAGTGGTCACTAAGGGATGGAAGAAAAGGGGCTAGAAAGGGAAGTGACTGCTAATGGCTATGGGGTTTCTTTCTGGGGTAAAGAAAATATGCTAAAATTGGGCCGGGCGTGGTGGCTCACACCTGTAATTCTAGAACTTTGGGAGGCTGAGGCGGGCGGATCACAAGGTCAGGAGATCGAGACCATCCTGGCTAACACAGTGAAACCCCATCTGTACTAAAAATACAAAAAATTAGCCAGGTGTGGTGGTGGGCACCTGTAGTCCCAGCTACTCAGGAGGCTGAGGCAGGAGAAGCGCTTGAACTCTGGAGGCGGAGTTTGCACTCCAACCTGGGCGACGGAGCAAGACACCGTTTCAAAAGAAAAAAAAAAAGAAAATATGCTAAAATTAGCACTGATAGTCACAAATTCTGTGACTATACTGAAACACCAATTTATGTATACTTTAAAAGGGTGAATTTTTTTGGCATGTAAATTACCTCAATAAAGTTTTTTTTTCTTTTTTTGAGACAGGGTCTCACTCTATCGCCCAGACTGGAGTGCAGTGGCGTGATCTAGGCTCGCTGCAGCCTCTGCCTATGGGGCTCAAGCGATTCTCCTGCCTCAGCCTCCTGAGTAGCTGGGATTACAGGTGCACGCTAATTTTTCTATTTTTGGTAGAGATGAGGTTTCACCATGTTGGCCACGCTGGTCTAGAACTCCTGACCTCAAATGATCCACCCGCCTCAGCCTCCCAAAGTGCTGGGATTACAGGTGTGAACCACTGCGCCTGACCTGATTATATCTCAATAAAGTTGATATAAAAAATTAAATATGGGCAGCCAGGCGTGGTCGCTAACGCCTGTAATCCCAACACTTTGAGAGGCCAAGGCGGGCAGATCATCTGAGGTCAGGAGTTCGAGACCAGCCTGGCCAACATGGTGAAACCCCGTATCTACAAAAAAAATACAAAAAAAATTACCCAGGCATGGTGGCAGTGCTTGTAATCCCAGCTATTTGGGAGGCTGAGGCATGAGAATCCCTTGAACCCGGGAGTCAGAGGTGGCAGTGAGCCAAGACTGCACCATTGCACTCCAGCCTGGGCAACAAGAATGAAACTCCATCTCAAAAAATAAATAAATAAATAAATAAATATGGAGGGCCAGGAACAGTGGCTCACGCCTGCAATCCCAGCACTTTGGGAGGCTGAGGCAGGAAAATCACTTGAGCCAAGGAGTTCAAGACCAGACTGGGCAATATAGTGAGACTTCTGCTCTATAAAAAAATTTTTTTAATTAAAAAAAATTAGGCCAGGCATGGTGGCTCACGCCTGTAATCCAAACACTTTGGGAGGCCAAGGTGGAAGGATCACTTGAGCCCAAGGAGTTCTAGACCCACCTGGGCAACATGGTGAGACACTCATCTCTACTTAAAAAAAAATTTTTTTTATTAGAGAGAAAAAAAAAAGAAAAAAAATTAAATATAGGGCCAGGTGTGGTGGCATGCACCAACAATCCTAGCTCCTTGGGAGGCTGAGGCAGAAGGATCGCTTGAGCCCAGGAGTTCAAAGCTGCAGTGAGCTACGACTACACCACTGCATTCCAGCGACAGAAACCCTATGGGCAACAGAGCAAGATTCTGTCTCTAAAAAATAAAAATATGTAAATAAACAAATATGTTTCAAAATTAAATATGTTTCAAAATTCAGTTCCTCAGTTATCCTAGCCACATTTCAAATGCTCAGCAGCCACCTGGCTAAGTGGCTACTGAATTGGACGGCACAGAGAGAGATCATTTCCAGCATCACAGAAGGTTCTACTGGATGGTGCAGCCTTAGATGAATGGATGAAAGGCCTCCTGACCATGTGACAACAGCCTCTCTTTCGAGCCTCCCCCACTTCCACACTCCTCTACACATCCACACACAAAGCTTCTGCCACAGAGTACATGTCACCTCCAAACACACTCTCCATTTTCATTCTTCCACACTGGAATCCATTTTTCCCCTTCCTGGTCCATACTCTACCCATGCTTATCAACCTTTAAAGTCCTGAACAAATGCTTTTTCCTTAATGAAGTTCTTCTTAGCACCCCATCTTCCTCTTGCCCTAGCAGAATCAGTTGTGCTGACAGTCCTTTGTTTGTACTTCCATTTCAGCAAAACCTCTGGATTACAATTCACTGTGTGCGCTATCTGTCCTTGCCACAAGATTTCCAGCTCCTGGGGAACAGGGATTCCATACTCATTTGATGGTTCCCAGGGCCTAGCAATAATAGCCTGCTGCAAAGAGTAGACATTTCAGTAAATGTCCATTCTTTGATGCCTACTGAATTCCACTGAAAGAGTTTGCAGAAACTCAAGGTGCTGATTTTACACTTTGGTACATCAAACGCACTAAGCAGGTGAGGTAAAAGGGATTAGAATCTGGAAGTCTCGAATCCCACTATTGTATAAGGAGGAATGATGGTGATGGCATTGAAATACCATTTGTAAGAAAGGAGAATGGAGTAGGGCTTCCAGACTGAAAACTGGGAATGGAGGTGAGTAAAGGTAAGGTGGGAACCAAAGGGTATACCATTGAGGGTGAGGTGGGAAAAAATAGCAGGAACTGAGGCCCCCATCCAGCTCAAAGTTTTTTTTTGTTTGTTTGGTTTTTTTTTTTTGAGACGGAGTCTCGCTCTGTTGCCCAGGCTGGAGAGTGCAGTGGCGCGACCTCGGCTCACTGCAAGCTCCGCCTCCCAGGTTCACGCCATTCTCCTGCCTCAGCCTCCCGAGTAGCTGGGACTACAGGTGCCCACCACCATGCCCAGCTAATTTTTTGTATTTTTAGTAGAGACGGGGTTTCACTGTGTTAGCCAGGATGGTCTCAATCTCCTGATCTCGTGATCCGCCTGCCTCGGCCTCCCAAAGTGCTGGGATTACAGGTGTGAGCCACCGTGCCAGGCCCAGCTCAAAGTTTTAAGCCTGGCAAAGGAAAGGTAAGGACTGCATCTCTAGAGATTTGTCCCTAAACCACTGGCTGAGTTACCCTATTAAAAAAAGACATTTCTACCAAAACTTTGTTTTAAATAACATAGTCAAATATTCTGTTTAGGCTGGGCAGAGTGGCTCATGCCTGTAATCCCAACACTCTGGGAGGCTGAGATGGGCAGATCGCTTGAGCCCAGGAGTTTGCGACCGGCCTGGGCAACATGGCGAAACCCCATCTCTACAGAAAAATACAAAAATTAGCAGGGCGTGGTGGCATGCACCTGTAGTCCCAGTTACTCAGGAGGCTGAGGTGGGAGGCTCGTTTGAGCCTGGGAGGTCGAGGCTGCAGTGATCCAAGATCACATCACACCACTACACTCCAGCCTGGGCAACAGAGTGAGATCCTGTCTCAAAAACAAAACAAAAACAACAACAACAAAAACAAACATTCTGGTTAAATCTAAACAACCAAAAGAAACTCTATGTATCTCAATGATAATTTAACTGGAGGAAACAAACGCCAAGGCTGTCGGAGCCTTACTATTTGGAGCATCTACTGTTTTCTCATTCTTTTTTTTTTTTTTTTTTTTTTGAGACGGAGTCTCGCTCTGTCACCAGGCTAGAGTGCAGTGGCATGATCTTGGCTCACCACAACCTCTACCTCCCACGTTCAAGCGATTCTTCTGCCTCAGCCTCCCGAGTAGCTGAGACTACAGGTGTGCCACCATGCCTGGCTAATTTTTGTATTTTTAGTAGAGACAGGGTTTCACCATGTTGGCCAGAATGGTCTTGATCTCCTGACCTTGTGATCTGCCTGCCTTGGCCTCCCAAAGTGCTGGGATTACAGGGGTGAGCCACCATGCCCAGCCTTTTTCATTCTTTATAGATTTAAGGATTCACGTCTGTGAGTTGTAATGTCATAACCTGTAGGAGAGTTAAGTCTAAGTTCCTAACCACAGAATGAACTAGCTGATGAACTTTCCAGGGCCTGCCTGCATAAACAAGAAATGGCTGTTTCAGTGCAGAGCTGGTAACAGGGAAAGCAAGTTGCCTAGTATCATTTATTTCTGATGGTAAATGTGTATGTAAAAAAAAGATTGTGCATGTAAAAAAAAGATTGTATTGTAAGTAGATCAATTTTGTGGGAGAAATGCAATAAGGTACCAATACCATTATTCGATACAGAATGAGTATAGTAAGTCCTCCTGAATTCAAAGTTAGCTGGACTTCATTGTTGAATTAAGGACCATGGGTACTTAAAGTATGCCCTGTGCCAAAATGGCCTTGGGATTTTTTTTTCCTTACTGATTTGTACAAGCAACCCCTTCCCCCACCCCCCCCAAAAAAACCCAAAAAAATACACTGACTAAATTGCGGTGGATTCAGAGTTAATAATTATATAGTAACTTGCATTCCGAAGGTTAAAATTCAAAACAGAAATCTCACTATAGATATCTAGTACTCCCAGACAGAAAGAGACAGGAGTATAAGGTGGGGGATGGAATTGTATAGGGAGCGTCAGGAGTGAGGGTATGTGGGGGCTGGTTAGGAAGAGGGCCACTGCTCATTACGAAAACTTTCCCTTCTCTGCAGGAATTGTAACCGTGTAACAGCTGTTGGTCAGTGATAGCATTCATCCAAATGGAACAAAGTACAAAAGACACCTGTCCCCAAAATTAAGTATTAGAAGTGCCACAGATATAAGAAAGCAGCCTGTGGTTTGCAAACTGCAATTAGAATATAACATTAACAATCCCCTTCCACATGTTCACAACACCTCCCAGGCTCCACGACCTGGTAGGAACCTCCACTTTCCATCATCCCCGTTGCTGAAAAAGTGGATCTAGTTCCTATCTTTGACCAGCCCATCTCCAAAGGCTCTGACATTCCTAAACCAAACCTCTACCGATGTTATTTATTGGTTACTGGGGACAGCCTTTTCGAGATACTTACAGAAACAGACATGTGCAAAGGAAAAGTAAATTCTGTATTTACTATATTCTATATTTTGTTGTCAATACCTATACTTAACTTTACTGGTCCTGAGGGCTATAACATTTCTAGTAAACAAAAAAAATATATTTCTTCTGCCAGTTTATGATTTCCACTGGAAAAACAACCCCAACAAAGGCTAAAACAGAAGGGTCCCAACCCTCGAAAAGGGAATACACTGGGCTAGAAAATGAGCTACATTCCTTTCACATGGTATTTCTAGTATACACAAACATATCCTGAGGAAAAATTAGACACTTCAATGCATAAATAAATTGTGGTTTACAGATAACAGAATGTTACTTGGTCATGAACAGGAATGAAGTACTAGTACATGCTACGATGTGGATGGGCCTTATAAACATTACGCTAAGTGAAAGGAGCCAGGCACAAAGACCACATATTGTAGGATCCCGTTTATATAAAATATCCAGAATAGATAAATCCATAGAGACTGAAAGCAGACGGGTGGTTGCCAGGGGCTGGGGGAAAAGGGAGACAGAGAGTAACTGCTTAGTAGGGACGAGGTTTTCTATTGGGGTGATGAAAATGTTTTGGAACTAGATAGAGGTGGTAGTTGCACAACATTGTAAGTGTACTAAATGCCACTGAATTGTTCACTTTAAAATGGTTTTTGTCATGTGAATTTCAACTTATTTTTTAATCAGTATTTTAAAATAGAGGATAATGGGCAAAACAAGATGTATTTGTGAAAAGGCAGCCCTAAAACTCCTAGGGAAAAGATAAGTATTTTTGCTGGCACTCAGTTTCTGCTCTTGTTCACAACACAAGTTCAAGCGCTAAGTTGTATAAACTTTGCCACTACGCTATGCGTCTATGTGTGTATGCCTTTCTGAAAAAACGGGGAAAAGAACAGAAAGTGAAGAAAAAAGAATCATAAAGCTTTGCCACATGCAAGGAAGGAGGGGTGATTGCCCCCACTGCACCCCACCCAACTTGGCACCAGGAGTAACGCTCCCATTAGGGTTTTGAAATGCCAGCTGGAGCTGGAATCAGCACAAGCAAGCTTCTCTGCCTGGATAAAGAGCAAGCCACCCAGCAAGAAAAGCTAGGGTGCTCCATTTGCTGCCCATATTGGCATCAGAACCACCCTCTGGTCAAAAGCCCTGAGCTGGCTCAGATCAGCATCCGTGACTTGCTCTCCCAGGCCAGCCAGCCTAACAGCAAGAGCTTGTTACAGCTCAAGTGTGCTCCTCCTCCTGAGGGGTTCCACTCTGTTTCATCCCACCTGCCTTCTGAGAGTCCTCCCTCCAACCAAGTGCGCCATGGCTTACAGATTTTAAAATGGGGCCAAGTCTCTCCCAGGAACATAGTAATTTTTTTTAAACGTACTAAGATGCCCTCGGAACTTTCCCCAGTCCATCCTTAAAGAAATATCCTCAGGATCCCCTCCCTCACAGGCCAACTCAATAGCCTGTGTACCCCTACACACACAGACGTACATACTGCATTACTGCCTGGGACACCTGCTCCACAGAGGGACACGAATAAGGCCCACATCCTCAGCTTGGCACCGCTATCCAGCCACAGTCACCCCAGCCCACCTAACCAACCTGCCGTCTCAAACGCCCCTCACTCGCTTGGCATCATGCCTCTGCCACCTCCTTGACACCAAAACTGTCACAGGTGTCCCTCAGCTAAATACCGACGCCCCTTTAGATCCTGTCCACGCCAGGCATAGACGCCCCTCTCGGGACCCCTCAACTCTTGGCAACAACACTCCTTCAGACCCCTCCAGCCAGGCCTCGACGACCCCCAGGACCCAACATGGCCCAGACGCCCCCTCCCCCTTACCTGCGGGGGTTCAGCCCTGGCTGACAAGGGGCTGGGCAGCGCCTGGAGGAGCAGGAGCGCCATGCCACCCAGGAGCCTTCTCCTCTCCATCCCCCTCCTGCTCCTGCTCCTCCGCCACGGCGCCGCCACCTCCCTCCTCCTCCTCCCTCTCCTCCTCTACCCTCTTCTTCCTTCTTCCCTTCTTTTCCTGTTTGACGCTCCCCTCCCGCTTCCGGCTCTGCTCCACCCCGCCCCGCGCAAAACACCCTCCCAGACACGCGAGAGACTCTCCAGTTCCAGCGCTTCATTGGCCTTTGCCCTTTGTCCATTGATCAATGTAGCTGTCGATCAAATATAAGTCCCGCCTTCCCCTGAAGACGAAGCGATGCAGCCAATAAAAAGTAGGAGGAAGCCGGACCATCTTGAATGCTGCGAAGAAGTGTAAAATTCGTCCCAACCCGCAGAGAGTGGCGGAAGCAGCTTCATAAGGGGGCGGGGCCACCCAGGTGGATGGAAAAGTCTATTTCTGATGTAGCCATCTTGAGTGTGGCGGAAGTACTAGTTTTCCAGTTTTCCACATCAAAAAAAGAAAAAAGGTTTAATGTTTCTCAAGGGTGTTGGAAAATAAATTATTCCTGAAAGGTAACCAGGCGCTCCTGAAGAGGAAAACAATTGCAATGTAAAAATATTTTAATGTCTTTTGTCTTGAAGCACAGCACTATTACCAGGATGCCTCTCTTGGTCTCAACTGCCCAAATAGCAGCTTAGGTCCGTTTGAATTCCCTAGAAGATAGTACCTTTATCTGAGGCATAGTGCTTCGTCACCCCAAGTTCGACGGACAAAATTCTGGTTCTACTTCACAAATTGCTCTGAAATCCATCATCCATTGCTTCAATCCATGTTCTTCTAGCTAAATACAAATGGCTTCCCTGCTGCCCTGCAAGTTGACAATTCTTCCTCTCAAATTTCCGCCACACACTACAACCATACCACATTAAACCAAATATTACTATATCATGGCCTCTTCTTTTAAATACTTCATCTACCTACAGAATAGAGAGTCCAAACTTCCCAACACGGTCCTCTCTGTGACTTCGTCCCTGTCTACTTCTCTTTATCTCACCTCTCACCACTACATTTTCCCACACATTCCACTCACACTGACCATTGAAGAGATGCCCAGTAACTTCATTTACATATTACAGATACAGTTCCCTGCTTACAAACTCCTAGCCCCATCTCCTTGCTGCTTCTTCTGGATTCTTGTAACACTTATATCTGCGTGCCTGGTTTGCAGTTTTTTGTACAGCATACCAGGTCTTTCTTCTTCTTCTTTTAAAGCCTATAATATCCTGTACAAGGCTCAACCAGAGCTTGATCAATGTTGGTAAAATAGCCAGGTGTGGTGGCTCATGCTTATAATCCTAGCCCTTTGGGAGGCTGAGGCAGGTAGATCCCTTGAGCTCAGGAGTTTGAAACCAGCCTGGGCAACATGGAGAGAACCCTGTCTCTACAAAAATAAAAAAACTAAATTAGCCAAATTAGCCAAGCATGGTGGTGCACACTTGTAGTCCCAGCTACTTGGGAGGCTGAGGTGGGACAATCACCAGAGCTAGGGAGATTGAAGCTGCAATGAGCCTTGATTGTGCCACTGTACTCCAGCCTGGGCAACAGAGTGAGACCCTGTCTCAAAAAAAAAAAAAGGCCAGGTGCGGTGGCTCCTGCCTGTAATCCCAGCACTTTGGGAGGCCGAGGTGGGCGGATCACATGGTCAGGAGTTCGAGCCTGGCCAACATTGTGAAACCCAATCTCTACTAAAAATACAAAAAATTAGCCAGGCGTGGTGGTGCATGCCTGTAGTCCCAGCTACTCAGGAGGCTAAAGCAGAAGAATCGCTTGAACCTGGGAGGCAGAGGTTGCAGTGAGCCAAGACTGTGCCACTGCACTCCACCCTAGGTGACAGAGTGAGACTCTGTCTCAAAAAAAAAAGAAAAAAAAAAGTTGGTAAAATAAATGGACAAAGGAAGACCCATGGCAAATAACACAGTTGACTTTAGCAGTCAATTTCCTCTCAAAAACCTGTCAAAGTGTTTTACAGCCTGGCCCAGTCTAGCCCACATCTGAGCCCAGAGGAAGTTGTTCTTGGCTTAAGTGTTGGAAAAATGGGAAACAGGTAAGAGTTAAGTCAGTCTTCCCTCAGCTTAAGAAAGTCCATAGTTCTGCCTTTATCTTGATCCTGCTTTTCCAAGTACTATAAAAAGTGACACGTATTTTTGCCAATCTCTCGTTTCTTAGAAATTTATCCATTCCACAAGTCAAGCTCCTTAGAGGAGAAGTAAAAATTGAGTACTAGGGAAGGACCAAATTATTTTCATGGCACAAGGTCTCTAATTCCTGGCCTCAAAAAGTTGTAAGTCTTCCACATAAAGGCTAGGTTTCATCATCACTAAGAAACCCCAGGTGGGATGTAGTGGCTCACGCCTGTAATCCCAACACTTTGGGAGGCCAAGGCATGAGGATTGCTTGAGGTCAGGGGTTCAAGACCAACCTGGGAAACATAGTGAGGCCCTCTGTCTACAAAAAATTTAAAAATTAGCTGGGCATGGTGGCATGTACCTGTAGTCAGGAAACCTTTAGGATTCTGGTTCTAGCCAGGATTGAGGAAAAGACCTTGGATCAAAAGGAAGCTTCTATACCTCTTCTTCTTCCCTTCCTCCTCCTCTCCCGAGCAATGGAACCTTTTACCCATGCTATTCTAGCCGAACTCAGGAAAAAGAAGCTACTCGGGAGGCTAAGGCAGGAGGATCACTTGAGTCCAGGAGGCTGAGGAAGCAATGAGTCATGATCATACCATTGCACTCCAGCCTGGGCAAGAAAGTGATACCCTCTTTCTCTCAATAAATAAGAAACCCCAATTCAGTTTGGCAAACACAGGGGATTTTGCCCCAACTTCCCTTTCTCCTTTTACCTGAAAGCTCAAGCTGAGCTATTGGATAGGACAGTCTGGATTAGCACTTCCCACACCAAGGCCTTTTAGTAACCTTAACTGCCTCTTATTCAACATCCCACAGCAGCCAACTCAAAGAAGAGAGATGTTACAAAATGAGACTGAGATGCAGTTTGAGTGACCACTTTTTAGAATGTCCCTGAACATTATAGCCACCACATACCTTCCAGACATTTCCAAAAGAGCAGTTGTCTATAAGAGAACAGGAAATCCAAGAGGCTTGAGGAGCTGAGAAGGAAGGGGAAACATTGTATGTTCTGAAAGAACATCAGTCAGGAGTTGTTTCCAAGCTCTACTGGCTCTGGTAATGTTTCCCTTTTCCTATTTGCTTTTGGAAATAAAGCCAGGTCTCCTGTCCTAAAGAAGCTAGCTCAAAGACAGACTTTTCTGTTCAGACACCAGCTAAAATCAAATTGCATATGCTACAACATGGATGAACCTTGAAAACATTATCCTAAGGAAAGAAACCAGACACAGAGGGCCACATACTGCATTACTCCACTTACATGAAATGTTCAGAATACGCAAATCTCTAAAGACAGGAAGTGAATTGTGAGGCGCTGGCAGGTAGGGAGAATGTGGAGTGACTGCCAATGGGTATGGGGTTTCTTTTGGGGCTAAGAAAAATGTTCTGAGACCAGATGCAGTGGCTCATGTGTGTAATTCCAACACTTTGGAAGGCTGAGGGAGGAGGATCACTTGAGGCCATGAGTTCGAGACCAGCCTGGGGCAACATAGTGAGACCTCATCAAAAAAATCAAATTAGCCTGTGGTCCCAGCTACCCCAGAGGCTGAGGCAGGAGGATTACTTGAGCTCAGGAGGTTGAGGCTGCAATGAGCAGTGATTGCACTACTGCACTCCAACCAGGGTAACAGAGTGAGATCCTGTCTCAAAATAATTCTGGAATTAGTGGTGATGCTTGTACAACTTTGTGACTACATTAAAAACCACTGAATTGTACACTTTAAAAGGACTAAGTTTATGGTATGTGAGTTATATTTTAACTTTTTTAAACGGGGAGAAAAATCAAGTTGCAGTGAATTCCTTGGCCTCGGGGAGGAGGCCCTTTCCCCTTAGAGCAGTGCTCCTCCACGTATGGTGCCAAGACCAACAGAATCAGCATCACCGGGCAATGACTAGAAATGCACGTTCTCAGGCTCCAGCCCAGAGTGACAGAATCTGGCAATGGATCCTGCAATCTGTGCTTTAACAAGCCTGCCAGCTAATTCTGATGTGTTTTCTTTTTTTTTTTTGAGACGGAGTCGCCCAGGTTGGAGTGCAGTGGCGCAATCTTGGCTCACCACAACCTCCACCTCCCAGGTTCAAGTGATTCTCCAGTCTCAGCCCCCCGAGTAGCTGGGATTACAGGTGTATGCCACCACACCCAGCAAATTTTTTGTATTTTTAGTAGAGATCGGGTTTCACCATGTTGATCAGGCTGGTCTCGAACTCCTGACCTCAGGTGATCCACCTGCCTCGGCCTCCCAAAGTGTGGGGATTACAGGCATGAGCCACTGCGCCCGGTTGATGCATGTGCTTAAGAACCACTGCTCCAGGGCAGGGGAAACTTTTTGTGTCAAGGATCAGACAGTAAATATTTTAGGCTTTGTATGCCACATAGGTAGGGTCTCTGTCATTCCTGTTGTTCCCTTTTACAACTCTTTAAAAATGTAAAAACATTCTTAGCTTCCAATTGCACAAAAACAGGTGGCAGGTGGATTTGGCCCCTTGAGCCATAGCTTGCCAACTCTTGCTCTAGGGCAACACAGCTCCCATTCTGGGAGATCTGGAGCTTCCTGTGGAGACAGGTGGATTTCCCCTTTAATGAGGGAAATAAACAACAGCCTCCAGGCATCAGACAAGTTCCCCTTATATAGTAGTTGTGATACCTTCTGACATGCCAAGGCCAAAGTAAGGCCAGATCCTGCTTTCCATTCAGGCTTCATTAACTTAGTTTACAGTTTGTGTGTATGTGTGCCTGTGTGCTCTTTCAACAAATTTATTCAATTCACAGTGATATCTGTTGGACAGAGTCAGCAATCCTACCAGACAAAACTCATACACACATTGATTCCAGATGAGAAACAACAGTCCCCCAAGGAGCTTGAGAAATCACCTAGGGCAGCCAAGCTGGGGAAGGGAAGTGGCTGTGCATTGCTGTGTGTCCTTTAAGGCTCTTTGGTCCTGGTTGATTTCCTCTTAGAAGGTTCCAAATAAAACTTCCCTTTCCTATTCAGTACACACCAGTCTTTCTTTGGTGTTTAACCTAATGGGCTGAGGAAGGGAGGCAGCCAGGAAATTATACCCATTAAAGTGTGTGGTTAATGCCTATATATATCATTTTTACTCACAGTTAGTGGACTTATCTTTTAAAACAGAGGTATGTGGCAGTGGGGTAAGAGAACTTCCCTTATTATAGAGAAGATTCCAAGAATAGGTTCAGACATGATTTGAAGAACCATGTAACTCTGCTGCCTTGCACGGTCCCCTTTTTAGCACTAATAACTCCTAAGTGTCTGATAATTTCAAGGTTAGCAGCACTCCCAAAGAAGCTGTCCGGGCTGGGTGTGGTGGCTCATGCCTGTAATCCCAGCAATTTCAGAGGCTGAGGCGGGCGGATCACCTGAGGTCAGGAGTTCGAGACCAGTCTGGCCAGCATGGTGAAACCCCGTCTCCACTAAAATACAAAAATTAGCCAGGCGTGGTGGCAGGTGCCCTGTAATCCCAGCTACTTGAGAGGCTGAGGCAGGAGAATCGCTTGAATCCAGGAGGCAGAGTTTGCAGTGAGCCGAGATCGCGCCACTGCATTCCAGCCTGGGCGACAGAGCAAGACTCCATCTTGAAAAAAAAAAAAAAGAAGCTGCCTGACCAGGGGGCAACGAGGAGGAGGATGTGGAAGGGTGATGAGCCCCAAGGGGACAGAGTCCTTTCCCCCTTCTTTTTCCTGAGTTCAGCTAGAATTACATGGGTAAAAGTTTCCATTGCTTGGGAGAGGAGGAAGCGAAGAAGAAAGAGGTATAGAAGCTTCCTTTTGATCCAAGGTCTTTTCCTCAACCCTGGCTGGAACCAGAATCCTAAAGGTTTCCTAACTTTTCCAAATGATTTGCTTGGATGTCTCCTCCCTGAGAGGGCCTCAGCTTCTGGTCTCCAGGGGACAGGGGTTGAGGAAGCAGCTAGAAGACATTGGCCTTTGCTACCCTTTTTCACTTTTTTCCCCTGAGGTCCAATCAACCAGTACCAGGGTGTAAGTATGAGGCATTCATTGTCCCACCCCCCAATCTACCCTGGCCTTCAGGCCTTGTTGGCAAAGGGGAAGGAGGACACAAGTGTGCACGTAGCTAAGGAGGAGCTGGTGAATATGGGAATAGACTGGTCCTTGCTGAAGTGGGGCATTTAGAGACCCTTATTGAAGTAGACATAAGGCTCAAGTTCTCCATACTTGGCCTTGATAGTGTCTTGGAGCTTCGGTTCCAGATAGGAAACTGGCAATTCACTGAAAAGAGAGAAGTGGATTATGAGCATGCCACCAGGAACAAGCAGTAAGTTACCCTCAGATGAATATCACCTCCAAGAAGCCCTCCTGATTTTTCCATCTAGGATTATTATTGGCCTCTGTATACCACAATGTTGCTTTACCATTACGCAGGCCTGACTTCATTCTCCTTGGGCTATGGTTCTTCGTTTCAACTTCCATCTTCTCCACAAGATTACAAACACAGTGCTTGGGACACAAGAGATGTCTAGCAGATGACCATGGAAGTAGTATTGAACTAGAGTACTGAGGAAGGGGAGACTGGAATTGTCTGGGTATATATTCAAGCTACACTTGTCTCCTGGGGTCAGTCACCCTCCACCCCCTAGTCTGATGTATCCCTTCCCTTTTCCATCATCCCTTCTCCCTGCTTCCTCCTTCTTGGACACACAAAGGAAATAGAGGGGTTTCGGTTGTCAGCCCTCTGCCTGTCCCTTTATTTATTTATTTATTTATTTACTTATTTATTGAGATGGAGTTTCACTCTTGTTGCCCAGGCTGGAGTGCAGTGGTGCAATCTCGGCTCACCGCAACCTCCACTTCCCAGGTTCAAGCAATTCTCCTGCTTCAGCTTCCCAAGTAGCTGGGATTACAGGCATGCACCACCACACCCAGATAATTTTGTATTTTTAGTAGAGACGGGGTTTCTCCATGTTGGTCAGGCTGGTCTTGAACTCTCGACCTCAGGTGATCTGCCCACCTCGGCCTCCCAAAGTGCTGGGGTTACAGGCGTGAGCCACCACGACCAGCCCCCTTATTTAATGTTAACGACCAACGGGGAACGGTGGCTCACGCCTGTAATCCCAATACTTTGGGAGGCTGAGGCGGGCAGATCACCTGAGGTCAGGATTTCAAGACCAACCATGGCCAACATGGTGAAACCCCATCTCTACTAAAAATACAAAATGAGGCCAGGCGCGGTGGCTCACGCCTGTAGTGCCAGCACTTTGGGAGGCTGAGGCGGGCGGATCACAAGGTGAGGAGATTGAGACCATCCTGGCCAACATGGTGAAACCCCGTCTCTACTAAAAATACAAAAATTAGCTGTGCGTGGTGGCACGTGCCTATAATCCCAGCTACTCGTGAGGCTGAGGCAGGAGAATCGTTCAGGGAGTCGGAGGTTGCAGTGAGCCGAGACTGCACCTCTGCACCCCAGCCTGGCGACGGAGTGAAACTCCATCTCAAAAAAAAAAAAAAAAATGAGCTGGGCATGGTGGCAGGCACCTGTAATCCCAGCTACTCTGGAGGCTGAGGCAGGAGAATCACTTGAACTGGGAGGCGGAGGCTGTGGTGAGCCGAGATCGTGCCACTGCACTCCAGCCTAGACAACAAGAGTGAAACTCCATCTCAAAAAAAAGAAAAAAAAAAAAGTTAAAAACCAGATCCAGCCAGAGGAGAGCTTCCTAATAACCCAGCTGGCAGGAAGAGAAAGTCTGTTGTTGCTCCCCCACCTTCTCTTCAAGGCAGTGCTTGCTCCACTGGGAGGGAGCAACCTTATTCCTGTCCCTGGCTTCTCCTGCCCCTCGCAGATCTGTTTTCGTTTGTCAGAATTCACCAGGGTTAAGAGGCCCAGCCTTTAGGCTGATGGACACTTGTCCTCAGACAGGTGCTGCCCTTCCTGCCCCTTCCCTGTCTCCTTCTGGACAGCAGGCAGATCAGGGAGCGCGCTGGCAGCATGGTCAATTAAACCAAGTAAGGAATGAACAGCAGATACCATTTCTGTGGGAAAAGCCCACACGCCACTGGCACCATGAAGATGAGGCTGCAAGAAAGGAGAAACCAAAGCATCAGGGGACATCTCCCCACAGGCCCGTCCATCCCCCATCCCCAAGGGAAAGGAGCAATGCCCAGGCACCTGGCCTGCCTTCCCAGCTGGCACCATATCCTCTCCCTCCAACCCTCCTCCTGTTCCCGCAGTGCGAGGATACTCATTCTGGCAGGGGGATAAAACCAGTACCCTCCTGACCCCCATCACTCATTCCCACCCTTACTGCATTGTTCAAGCAGAGGAAGAAGACAATGAAGTAAACAGGGACTGTGAGCAGCAGGCCTAAGGAGCACAGGCACTGCTGGCATCGAGCGAAAGGAGCGACGAGGAGGGAGAGGAGAAACTTGGAGGGGGAGGAGCAACATGGAGGGGGAAGAGCGACATGGAGGGGAGGAGCATCATGGAGGGAGAGGAGGGACATGGAGGGGGAGGAGCGACATGGAGGGACAGGAGCAACTTGGAGGAACAGCATGGAGGGTGGGGAGCGACTTGGAGAGGGAAGAATGACTTGGAGGTTGAGGAGCAACTTGGATGGGGAGGAGCGACTTGAAGGGGGAGGAGTGACTTGGAGGGAAGGAACTACTTGGAGTAGGAAGAACTACTTGGACAGGGAGGAGCAACATGGAGAGGGAGAAGGACATGGAGGGGAGGAGCAACATGGAGAGGGAGGAAGGACACAGAGGGGAGGAGGGATGAGGAGGGAGAGGAGCAACTTGGAGGGGGAGGATTGACTTGTATCGGGAGGAGTGACCAGGATGGGGAGGGGCACTTTGGAGTGGGGGAGGGGCACTATGGAGGGGGAGGAGTGAGTCTGTGGATTCTGAGACCTGCTTCTTTATTGGTTGAACACCTGGGCTGTCAGAGCACAGTGAAAGGCAGTTTCTCCAGCTTCACTGTGCATATAACTTCAGGAGCTTATTAAAATGCCAGGTGCCAACTGAGGGGGTCTGGGGAAGGACTTCAGAGTCTTTACTTCTAACAAGTTATCAGAGGATGCCAACGATGCTGGCATGGACCAGGGTTTGGGAGGCAAGGTCTTACAGGACGCGGGACTCTGACAGACCTGGGTTGGTATCCCAGTTTTACCACTTACTAGCTGTGCCATCTTGGACAAGTTACCTCAGAGACACAGAGGGAGGACAACCTACTTTTTAGGGCTACTGCAGACCACTTTGCAGTGCCTACTTTGCAGGGTTACTGTGAGGATTCAATGAGATATGTATGTAAAGCACCCAGCCCATGGTAACTACTCAATTAGCAGAAGTTGGTATAGCATAATGTTAGACTGTTGATCAAATCTCAGCTCCAGCAGTTACCAGCTATATACCCTTGGGCAAGTTTCTTACTCTGTCTAAGTCTCAGTTTCTTCATTTGTAAAAGGAGATGATAATAATATGTAGATTTCTAAGGCTGGGAGAATTAAGTGAAATTATAGATATGAAACACTGGGTTCAGTGGGGACACAGAGAAAATATACAGTCAGTGTTAGCTGTTAGTGATGCTGTCATTAGTCTCGTGGCCCTGAAATGCATGGTGAACGCTAGGACATCTCCAGTTAATGGCAGATACCTAAGAACCCTGACGTGACTGGTGGCATTTCCCTCCTGTGTGAGTCTGGGACACATGACAGTCCCAGCCAAAGCTATGTCTCCTCGTTCTTATCTCTTCTGTAAAACTGCTCCAGACAGCCAGGCGCAGTGGCTCATGCCTATAATCCCAGCAATTTGGGAGGCCGAGGCAGGTGGATCACTTGAGGTCAGGAGTTCGAGACCAGCCTGGCCAACATGATGAAATACAAAAATTAGCAAGGCATCATGGTGCGTGCCTGTAATCCCAGCTACTCAGGAGGCTGAGGCAGGAGCATTGCTTGAACCTGGGAGGTGGAGGTTGCAGCGAGCTGAGGCTGCGCCATTGCACTCCAGACTGGGCGACAGAGCGAGACTCCATCTCAAAAAAAAAAAAGCAAAAAACAAAAAAATTGCTCCAGACTTAAGGTCAAAGGAGAGACCCTGGGATGGGAGGGCACCTCAGCACTGGACTTCCTACATGGACACGTGCATAAAGTCTAGCCAGCCTGATGCCCTCACAAAAGATGGGGTGAGAGCTTTCCAGATGGACCACAGGTATTCTGAGCTTGACCACTTTTAAAGTCAGGTAAAGGAGTACACGTTCTCCAACACGGGCTAGACAAGACGACACATCTTGAGTGCTCCAGCCACGCAGAACCCAAATCATCAAAATATGATACTTACAAGCACCCGCTCAGCATGACCTGCAATGGGGCGTGCAGGACCTTGACTTTCTGTATAAAAACAAATAAAAGACAGATCCACATGGTACTTCTATGCCTTAAGGTGAACCCCAACCCTGCTCTGCCATGGATCAGCCAGCTAGAAAAGCCCACAGGTGGCTGGGCGCAGTGGCTCATGCCTGTAATCCCAGCACTTTGGGAGACCGAGATGGGCAGATCACAAGGTCAGGAGATCGAGACCATCCTGGCTAACACAGTGAAAACCCGTCTCTACTAAAAATACAAAAAAAATAGCTGGGCGTGGTGGCAGGCACCTGTAGTCCCAGCTGCTCGGGAGGCTGAGGCAGGAGAATGGCATGAACCCAGGAAGCGGAGCTTGCAGTGAGCCAAGATCGCGCCACTGCACTCCAGCCTGGGCGACAGAGCGAGACTCCATCTCAAAAGAAAAAAGAAAAACCCACAGGCAAGGACCCCCTGGCCCTTAAAGAAGGCCTTGTTCTCTGCAGACCAGGTAAGGAAACTGGCCATGGTATATCTAAACAGGAGGTCAGTGGAGATTGGTGTGGGCTTGAGTGAGATGACAGCATGGTAGCTAAAGGGAAGGATGGGTGGGGGAGGGCAGGTCAGGTATCCCTAGGGACAGATGTGGCTGGACGCACTCTGGGCAGGGAAAATGCCAAAGCAAACCCTACATACCTGCATGAAGTGCAATTTCTCAAGCCTTTCCATGATGACTGGCAGCAAGACTGGAAGAGACCAGGGAGAAGCTGAGGGGAGGGCTGGGAGGCTCTCCCCAGGACTCCTTCTGAAGTCAGACCAGGAACCAAGTGGTTCCCTCTCCTTCAGCAGAAGCTCCAGAAAATACTTACCACTAGGCAGAACAGAAGAGCAAGTAGGCATGACCACCCCCAAACTTTCTCCCCAAAGTCCTGGCAGAACAGTGCTTCCCAAGCTTCTCAACCTGCACACTTGCAATATCAGGAAAACATGTGCTGCTAGGTCCAAAGCTACCTTCTCAAAACTCAAAAATGTATTTGTACGTTCGTGCAAACAAATTTTGCAATACACCCACTGCTGGAAGCAAACCAAAGCAGGGAATTTATTTTCTCTATCACTCTCCCTAGCACCCCACACTGTGTCTAACATTAAACACAAGGGCTTGACAAGTATTAATAAAATGAAAATAACTTTCTACCCCAAACCTTGGATGAACTGATGTTCTAGGAACTAGTGTGGTTCTTCTAGGCTTACAGCAATCAAGCAAAGCAGTTTGAGAAGCATGGCTGTAGAAGGTGGGCCCCACCTCCCACCCAAAAGCTGAGTGTGGCTGAGACCTCCACCCTGTGTCACAGGCTTCCCCAGGATGGAAGGGCTTCCCCATCTTACTCATCCCAGGAGCTGACATGGTGATCCGAGAAATAACTACTTGGGTGATGCCTATGGCCGCAGCTCTCTGAGGGCAGAAAATAGTAAGTTGTCAGAAATGATGTATCCAGTGTACATGTGCTGCACCAGGGGGCTGGGTCAGCATCATGGCCAAGTCTGAGATGGTAAAGGGGAAGGGAAGGACCCTCCAGTTGCTGAGTGACCTCACTTTATCCCCTCCCACCTAGCCAGGTTTTTATGGACCAGAAATGATGGAGAAAAGAGAGAAGGGGCCTGTTCTGAACAGAGAAACATGGGGAAAATTTGATAGGGAGTGAGGATGGAGCCAGAAAAGGCTTCTCAATCCTATATTGGTGCCTACTCTGACCACTAAGGAGGGGACAGGGTATGAGAGGGAATTCCCTCCTCCCACCCCAAAGGGAGGCCTCTGCTCACCCGGGAATGACCAATCTCATTTTCATTCCTGTCCTTCACGCAGATTCCCTTTATGAGCTCCCTAAACACAGACAGGAGTTAATGGACTTGGGAAAGGGGTGATGGAAGCCTGCCAGCCACATGACATGCCAGGGGACCAAGGCCAGGCCACTTAAGCTCCAGGAAGCCACCTCCTGTAGCCTGGGCCTTTGACCTTCCTTCTGCACTCCAATAAGCAGTATCTTAGGAGTGATCTAGGGCAGTGGCTGAGAGCGGTGGCCCTGGGCCCGGACTGTCTGGGTTGAGTCCTGAAACTGCAGGGGATGTGTGTGACCTTGAGCACAGTCTTTAACCCTCCCAAAGCCTCAGTTTTGCTTATCTGCAAAATGGGGATCATCCTGGCACCCACTTTACAGGACCTGGTAAGGATTAAATGAGATAATGGCTATGAAATACTTGGTCCAGCACCTGACACACAGTGTGATCACTCCACAAACAGTAGCTACTCTAGCTATTCCTTTTTTTTTTTTTTTTTTTTTTGAGACAATCGCACTCTGTCACCCAGGCTGGAGTGTAGTGGCATGATCTTGGCTCACTGCAACCTCCATCTCCTGGGTTCAAGCGATTCTCCTGCCTCAACCTCCCCAGTAGCTAGAATTACAGGCATGCGCCACCATGCCCGGCTAATTTTTGTTTTTGTTTTTTGGTTTTTTTTTTGTGATGGAGTCTCACTCTGTCACCCAGGCTGGAGTGCAGTGGTGCGATCTTGGCTCACTACAAGCTCCGCCTCCCGGGTTCACAACATTCTCCTGCCTCAGCCTCCCAAGTTGCCGGGACTACAGGCACCCGCCACCATACCTGGCTAATTTTTTGTATTTTTTAGTAGAGACGGGGTTTCACCGTGTTAGCCAGGATGGTCTCGATCTCCTGACCTCGTGATCCGCCCACCTCAGCCTCCCAAAGTGCTGGGATTACAGGCGTGAGCTACCACGCCTGGCCCTAATTTTTGTATTTTTAGTAGAGATGGGGTTTTGCCATGTTGGCCAGGCTGGTCTCAAACTCCTGGCCTCAGGTGATCCTCCTGCCTCAGCATCCCAAAGTGCTGGGATTACAGGCGTGAGCCACCGCACCCAGCCCACCCCAGCTGTTCTTCTCAGGCCAGTTCTTGACAGCACTCAACTCAAGCCCCGGTAGGTGGCAGGGACTCATTCTCCTGTTAGGAAAGGGCCACTGGATGGGGAAGGAAAGATGAATGGAGCAGCATGTGTGCACAACTATTCTGGTAGTGCTTCCTCTACAAAGACTAGTGTGAACATTTTCCATTTGTTGGTAGTCCCAAGAAAATGTGGCTTGTAGATATTGATGATGATGACAATGGTAGAAATAACAGTGAACACTTATGTAGCATCTCTTATGTTCCAGGTGCTATTTTGAGTGCTTTACATATATTACATCATTAAAACCTCATAACAGAGATTTCTCTAGTCAAGAAATAAGAACTGTGAGACACAATGAGTTTCTCCTTTACCTTTTCTCCTGAAAAGCTTAGAGTTGGGTGCCTGGAAAACTTCTGTCTACTCCTCTGGCTTCTTTCAAAGCTTCTGGGTTCTATGCTATCTTTAGACACCTCAGCCTGCTACATTTCATTCTGTATGCCATCCCCAGGGCTTGGGAAGTAGGAGGAGTTCACAATTTTAACACAGGTCCAAAAGGACATGATCCAGTGTAAAACTCCACAGGTCCACCCTGTCTTTCCCATCCCACATCACCCAGGAGAGGACTCCCACGGGACTCAACACACGGCCTAACCCAAAGTCACCCACCACTCCCGGGGCCATCACCATGGGAGCTGCCAATCCCAGGGCCCTTCAGAGGCTCAGCCCAGCAGCCCTCCCCATGCCCACCGCAGTCCCCAGAAGCCACCCACTGCTTTGGTTTCTTGCCCCTTTTCTGCTAATCTTGTGGTTTGTAGGGAGAAAAAGGGGCCTTTACTCACTGCTGTCGCATCATGGGGATATTGACACAGTTAGCCGCAGCCACAGCGGCAAAGGGCACCCAGCGGCCCACCAAGGGCGGCGCTTTCTGTTGGGGGAAGAGAACAGTAGGAGTTGTTCAGAAGCGCTGGAAGATGGGAGGGGAGGGGGCTGAACGACTAGAATACAAAAAAGAAAACTAGGCCTTGCTACCGCCACACATCCAGACACCCAGTCTGGGAACCCCAAACTCCCTCAAAGGCCCAAGAAGAACCAACCTGGGGACGGCCCTGGTGTATTTCTCATCACTTGGCCAGCCGGGCTCTGGCCATTCCCAACTCACCCAGCCTGGGGAACTGTCCCTGGGGGAAGGACGTTTTCCCTAGGACTCTGCTGCCCCCGCGTGGCCACCATGCTGCAGCGGCCCCAGACCATACCTTTGTCAACATGTTCATGCCCACAGCCGTGGCCACAGCAGTGGTTGTGGCTGTGAAGTAGGAAAGGGCCATCTGCCTGGGGGAGGAGAGAGATGCTTGGGAGTGGGGCCCCTGCCGGCTGAGGGCCAAACCACGGGCTTCAGGGAGAAAGTCGGCTGGCGAGGCTTCGTGCGTGAAAACCGCACAGGATCTGTCCCCAGCCTTATCTTGTGACCCTCTCCCCCTCACTCACAGTGCTCCAGCCCCCTTGGTCTTCTTTCAGTACTGTGAACATGCCAAGTTCCTCCCTGCCTCGGAGCCTCTGCACACGGCTGCTCCCTATGCGGGGAGGTGTTCCCTGGGCTCTTGGGTCATTCATCCCTCATCCTTCAGGACAGTTGAAATGTCGTCTTCACAGATGGGACTGCTCTAAGTGGCCTAACTACACAGACACCGCTCTGCTGTTCTCTGCCTTGCAACCCTGGTTTTCTGGGTGGTTTTTTTTGTTTGTTTTGAGACTGATCTTAGGCAATCTGCCTGCCTCAGCCTCCCAAAGCGCTAGGATTACAGGTGAGAACCACCGTGCCTGGCCCAACCACATGTCTTAACAATGTATCCCAGCATCTAGAACCATGCACATCCCCAGCACATAAGACACACTCAAGAAGAAATATTTAGAGAATGAATGAATAAACACATTTGGAATTGGTCTAGGAAGAAGATCCACCCCTACTCAGCTTGAGAAAATATTTCCAAACCCTGGGAAAGGGTGACTTGGTCACCTGCTCAGTGCAGGTGCTACCCAGGAAGGACTGACAGCCCAGAACCCTTTAGAAAAGCTGTTCGTGGGGAGACACGAGGACAGCCTGGGGTTCAGGTCTCCTACCTGACTGATGTGGGGGAAGCCGCATTCCTGTTGGTGTAGTTGACTAAGGCATTGAAGGACTGGTTCACCCACTGCCAGAAGATCACCGCCGGCATCGTCCTACCAGTGAGGAAGGCCAGGAGAGGCAGAGAGAAGTCAGATGGCAGGGAGTCCTGAGGGTATGCCAGTCAAAGCACATGATCTGCAGGTCCCCACACTGTTCCCATACTAGTTTTTTATTTTTATTTTTTTGAGACGGAGTCTCACTCTGTCACCCAGGCTGGAGTGCAGTGGTACGATCTCAGCTCACTGCAACCTCCGCCTCCCAGGTTCAAGCAATTCTCCTGTCTCAGCCTCCCAAGTGGCTGGGACTACAGGCACACACCACCACGCCTGGCTAATTTTTGTATTTTTAGTAGAGACGGGGTTTCACCATATTGGTCAGGCTGGTCTTGAACTCTTGACCTCAAGTAATCCACCCGCCTTGGCTTCCCAAAGTGCTGGGATTACAGACATGAGCCACCGTGCCCAGCTTGTTCCCATACTGTTTTATGCACCTGGGCTTCTGCGCAGGCTGGCCCCTCTGCCTCAAATATCTCCCCCTCCTCCTTCCATACATGGCCAACCCTGCCCTGTTGAGAGGGATCACTTCCTCCATGGAACCTTCCCGACCCTTTCCCTGCCCCTCCTGAGACAGAGTAAGTCACTCCATGCTCCTGCTCCCACAACCCCATGTTCTTCCTCCAACCTACCACTTACCAAGCTGTACTGTAACTGTTTACTTCTTGGTCTCCTCAACAAAACTGGGAGCTCCTTGACGGGAGGTTACTGAAGCCTTCACATTCCCAACACCCGGCCCAAAGCCCAGCTCAATAGCTGAACCAATCAATGCGTGGGGTGGGGGACGCAGGGGAGGAAGGAAGAGGTAGGAAGAAGAGTCACATGTCCAGCAGCTACAGAGGCAGTCTATTCTCTCCCCAACCAAGCCAAGAAAGGGACTTCCTATTGTTTTGTTTGGGTGTTACATAATTAAAATCATTGTGGAATAAGTACTTTTTAAAGAGGGAATTGGGGTAGCTTATTTGTTGAGGGTTCTACACAGGACTGCCTCAGTTAAAATCCAGGCACCCATATTTCCTGCCTGTTTAAACCTGGACAAGTTCTTCAGCTTCTCTAGAACTCTAGTTCTTCATCTATAAAATGGAAATAATAGTACCTATAGTGTAGGGTTGTTGCGAGGGTTAAATGAAGCAATACGAGCAAAGAATGTAGCATAGTGCCTGGTATCTGGTAAGTGACCAATCAAGAGAACTATTATTATTATCATAGTATGGCTCCCTGACCAGCAGATCCAGGCAGCTGTACCTCCCACGGCCCTGCCCCCAGGTCCCACCTGTAGAACTGGAGCATGAAGCCCGTGATGATCATGCCGCCAGGAAGCTGGAAAGACATGCGCCCGATGACATTCATCTTCTCCCCAGTGTCGGGGTGGAAGGCCGAGTCATACAGCTTCTTGGCATACAGCAGCTGCTCCACTTGGGTGCCTGGGGGCACAACCCCCATCCTGCCACCCAAGGACAGCAGGCAGTCACCATCCTGCCTGATCAATGTCTCCCAGTCTCCCCACTCTCACTTCTTCCAGCCCCCAGCCCTGAGATTTCTGCCTATTCCTTCACCTTCGGTTTCCACCTCCTCCCAAGAGGACCCCATCAATGTTACCCTACTACTTCCAGCCCCTTCCCCGACCCCTCACCTGCTCTTCTCCACCATCACCTTGGCCCAGTCCAGCTCCCGCTCAGATACAAAGACAGTGCGGGGGTCCGTGATGTTTAGGAAGTGCTTCACTCTCCCCAGGAAGGTGCGCTGGTCCCAACGGGGGGCATCGATGTTAAAGCCAGACAGGTCAGCCTCCATCTTGCTCACACATAAAACTGTGGACCTAAGGGACAAAGGAAGAAGATGACTGTCCCCTAAATCAAAGCCCACCACAGAGGACCTGAGCACGTCCCACTGTTGCAGACTGCCTGCTCTCACCAGCTACTGGGCATCGTCTGACTCAGCTTGGGAGGGCCCAAGTGAATGGTCATCAGATTGAGCAACTGGGCACCAACATGTGTTTCCTGAGGGCCTGCTGGTGGCCAGCTCTGTGCTTGACCATACAGCAGGAGGGACTGGAAAAGGGGACAATACAGTGCCTGTGCTTGGAGAGCTCTGGGAACAAAAGCCCACCCATTAAATAGTATAATACCCCCAGGTGTTTCTGGCAGGGGAGATGGGAAAAGTAGCCATTTTGAAAAACAGCCAGCTGGGTGCAGTGGCTCATGCCTGTAATCCCAGTACTTTGGGAGGCCGAGGCAGGGGGATCATGAGGTCAGGAGTTTGAGACCAGCCTGGCCAACATGGTGAAACCCCATCTCTACTAAAAATACAAAAATGAGCCGGGCGCAGTGCCAGGCACCTGTAATCCCAGCTACTCAGGAGGCTGAGGCAGAAAAATTGCTTGAACCCAGGAGGCAGAGGTTGCAGTGAGCTGAGATCACACCACTGCACTCCAGCCTGAGCCTGGGTGACAGAGCAAGACTCCATCTTGGGGGGAAAAACAAAACAAAACAAACAAACAAAAAAACACCCAAAGCCCTTTATACTTCTTTTTTTTATTTAATTTTACTTTTTTTTTGAGACAGGGTCTCATTCTCTCACCCAGGCTGGGATGCAGTGGTGTGATCATGGTTCAATGCAACTATTACCTCCCAGGTCAGCCTCCTGAGTAACTGGGACTACAGGCACATACCACCACCCTGGCTAATTTTTGTATTTTTTTGTAGAGATGGCACCTCGCTATGTTGCCCAGGCTGGTTTCAAACTCCTAGGTTCAAGCAATCCTTCTGCCTCGGCCTCCCAAAGTGCTGGGATTACAGGTGTGAGCTGCCGCATCTGGCCTGTTTTATTATTTAGAGACAGAGTCTCATTATTTTATCCAGGCTGGAGTGAATGGTAATTGACAGGCATGATTATAGCTCACTGCAACCTCGAACTCCTGGGCTCAAGCAATCCTCCAACCTCAGCCTCCCAAGTAGCTGGGACTACAGGCATGCACTATCATGCCCAGCCCTTTTATTCTTCTCAACAAGGTCTACCCTTGAGGGAAACTATTTTACCAGAGCCTAACCATCTTGGGTTGTACCAGAACTTAAGTGACTTGGGGAAAGAGAACTCCAGCCACCTCTTGCCTTCCTGCCTCACCTAAAGAGGACAAGGGGAGGCTGAGAAGCTCTTGTGAAGGTTCAGGGGCACAGGCTCCCCAGAAGACTGAGACCTCATCACAGGACTGTAGATCCTCCACTCCCTCACCTCACCACTGCACCAGCAGGGCTCCTGTATCATTACAAGGATTATAACAAAAAGAGTAACAAGTCTTAGGCCCTATTTAAGAAGTCTCTAGAGACCCATAGACAGCAAGGGAGATAAGAACAAGGACACCAGAAGAAAATTTAGCCTTTTATACCTATAGCTACAGCAAACAGTAAACATAGCCTAGATAAACAAAACCTCACCCCTCAGTTCCTCTCACAGGGTACATCATGTCCAGCTTTCAGTGAAAAATTACAAGGCATACTAAAAAGAAAAAAAAAAAAAACGCAGTTTGAAGAAACAGGCCAAGTATCAGAATCAGATTTAGATATGAGATTTTAGAATTATCAGACCAGGAATTTTAAATAACTATGGTTAAAATTAATTAATTAATTAATTACAACGATGGTTAATATTCTAAGGACTCTGAAGGGAAAAGTGGACAACAGACAAGAACAGACAAATAACATAAGCAGTGATGGAAAATCTTTTTTTTTTTGAGACGGAGTCTTGCTCTGCCACCAGGCTGGAGTACAATGGCACGATCTCGGCTCACTTCAACCTCTGCCTCCCGTGTTCAAGTGGTTCTCCTGCCTCAGCCTCCCAAGTAGCTGAGACTACAGGCGTGCACCACCATGCCCAGCTATTTTTTGTATTTTTAGTAGAGATGGGGTTTCACCATGTTAGCCAGGATGGTCTCGATCTCCTGACCTCGTGATCCGCCCACCTCGGCCTCCCAAAGTGCTGGGATTACAGGCGTGAGCCACCACGTCCAGCCGGAAACTCTTAAGAAAGAATCAAAAGGAAATGTTGGAAATCAAAAATACTGTAACAAAGATGAAGAAAGTCTTGGATGGACTCATCAGTAGACTGGACATGGCCAGGGAAAGAATCAGTGAGCCTGAACACGTGTCAGTAGAAATTGTCCAAATGCAAAAGGCCCATCCATGGCAGACTGGATAAAGAAAATGTGGTATATGTACACCATGGAATACTATGCAGCCACAAAAAAGAACGAGATCACGTCCTTTGCAGGGACATGGATGAAGATGGAGGCCATTATCCTTAGCAAACTAATGCAGGAACAGAAAACCAAATATCACATTTATAAGTAAGAAAACCAAATATCTCACTTAAAAGTGGGAGCTAAATGATAAGAACACATGGACACAAAAACGGGAGCAACAGACCCCACTGGGGCTCACTTGAGGGTGAAGGGTGGGAGGAGGGAGAGGATCAGAAAAAATAACTAATGGGTACTAAACTTAGTAGCTGGGTGATGAAACAATCTGTACAACCCCAGTGACACAAGTTTACCTATGTAACAAACCTGCACGTGTACCCCTGAATCTAAAGTAAAAGTTAAAACAAAAAAAAGAAACAAATAATATTAATGCAATTATACTAATAGAAGGGCTTGGACTCAGATCCTCCATACACAAATTCTGTCTCTCATTGAGAAACACTGAGTCTGTGGTGGTAGGGATGGTGTGGGAATGTTGGTCTTCCTAGATCATTGGAATTACTATTTGGGGATGCATACCATCTGATTCTGTTAGTCGTTACCCATTTCCACCTATCCCATATCTTACAGAAGAATCATCTCAAGTACTAACTGCTTTATATCCCTTAAAACATTTCTAGTTGGGGCCAGGCGCAGTGGCTCACACCTGTAATCCCAACACTTTGGGAGGCCGAGGCGGTTGGATCACCTGAGGTCGGGAGTTTGAGACCAGCCTGACCAAGACGGTGAAACCCCATCTCTACTAAAAATACAAAAATTAGCCGGGCGCAGTGGCAGGTGCCCGTTATCTCAGCAATTCGGGAGGCTGAGGCAGGAGAATCGCTTGTACCTGGGCAGCAGAGGTTGCAGTGAGCCGAGATCACGCCACTGCACTCAAGCCTGGGTGACAGAGTGAGACTCTGTCAAAAAAAAAAAACAAAACTTTCTAGTCGGCCAGGCATGGTAGCTCACATCTGTAATCTCAGCACTTTGGAGGCCAAGGCCGGTGGACCACCTGAGGTCAAAAGTTTGAGACCAGCCTGGCCAACATGGTGAAACCTCATTTTGTATTTTTTTTTCTACCAAAAAATAGAAAAATTAGCCAGGTGTGGTGGTGCACACCTGCAGTCCCAGCTACTGGGGAGGCTGATGTGGGAGGAATGCTTGAGCCCAGGAGGCGGAGGCTGCAGTGAGCCAAGATCAAGCCACTGCACTCCAGCCTGGGTGACAGAGTAAGACCCTGTCTCAAAAAAAAAAAAAAAAAAAAAAAAGGACTTTCTTGGACAAACAAAACAGGAAATTTGTCACTGGCAGACCTGACTTACAAGATGTTAAAAGAAGTTCTTCTGGTCAGGTGGGATGGTTCACACCTATAATCCCAGCACTTTGGCAGGCCAAGGCAGGAGCATCGCTTGAGCCCAGGAGTTTGAGACCAGTCTGGGCAACAGAGTGAGACCCTGTCTCTATAAAAATTAAAAAAGAAAAAAACATAGCCAGGCGTGGTTGCATGTGCCTGTGGTCCCAGCTACTTGGGAGGCTGAGGTGCGGGGACTGCTTGAGTCTGGGAGGCTAAGGCTAAGCCTGCAGTGAACTGTGATCGTGCCACTGCACTCCAGCCTGCACGACAGAGTGAGACCCTGTCTGGGAAAAAACACTAACAAACAAACAAATAAAAATCTTTATTTCTCTTATTCTGAACTGTTAACAGTTAACAAACAGATACGTTTGTTTAAAACAATAGTAGCAACAATGTATTTGGTGATTACAGTTTATGGATCAGAGAAATCCATGACAGCAGTAATATCAAGGACAGGAGGGGAGAATTGGGAGGACTCCATTCTAAGGTACTTGCACACTCCATGCAGTGGTATAGTGTTATTTGAAAGTGGATTTGGATTAGTCATAAATGTACATTGCAGACTCCTGGGCAACCACTAAAAAGGTTTTCAAAAGAAGTATAATTGATATGCTAAGAGAGGAGAGAAAATGGAGTCATACAAAAAAAGCTGACGCTTTTAAATGTTTGCCTGAAAGCTTCAGGGAGTCATTGAAAGACTTTAAGAAGAAGAGTGACAAGATCAGATATGTAGTTTACTAAGAACAAACTGGGTAGTCATGAGAATAAACAGGATGTGGATGGACCTCACGGGATGCAGGGAGACCAGCTGGACGAGAACCCCAGTAATCCAGGCAAGAAGAGGTAGGGCTCAAATGAACCCACGTGCACTCAGAGGAGAGACCAACAGGAGAGAATCTTTCAAAGAAGCGGAATGTTAAGGTCTGCTAAGCAATAGGTATAAGAGGAACATTTTATCAGTCAAGGTTCAACCAGAGAAGCAGAATCAGTAGATTACAGACAGACAGACAGGTAGATACCAAAACATAACATGGGGCAACATGGAGTTCCTCTAACTCCTGAGCTCAAGCAATCTGCCTGCCTTGGCCTCCCAAAGTGCCAGGATTACAGGTGTGTGCCACTGCACCTGGCTATGACACACACATATACATATTTTATATATTTCTAAAATATATTTGTATACTATAATATATATTTTCTAAATATATAAATTATATAACTATATAAATATATAATTTTTTAAATTTATAGATATAGCAACATATATTTATAATATATAAATTTATATATACATTTATTTATATAGACATGAATTACGTTTAAATATAACATATAAAAATAATATATAAACATAAATAATTCATATAGCTATATAAAATCATATATAAATATATAACTTTATATGTTATAAATATATGTTGATCTATCTATATAGATTTTATAATTTTTTCTTCTTTTTTTAGGCAGGGTCTCAGCTGGTTGCCCAGGGTAGAGTGGAGTGGTGCAATCATAGCTCACTGTAATCTCAAACTCCTGGGCTCAAGGAATCCTCCCATCTCATCCTCCCTAAGTGCTGGGATTACAGGCATGCACCACTCCTGGCCTAAATATATATAATGCTGACGTAATATAATATTGATAAAATATAGAAATTGATTTATCACAAGGAATTAGCGAATTGGCTCACATAACTGTGGCTGTTGGCTAGGCAATCCTGAAGTCAGCAGGGCAGGCGGCCAGCAACAGACCATCCCAGGGGAGAGGGAGCAACGCGGGTAATGGCTCAGAGTCCAGAACCTCAGAGGGGGTTCAGGGGTGTTCTAGCCCTCCTTTAAAGGGCTTCCACCTGATTAGGTCAGGCCACCCAGGATAATCTCCCTTTTGATTAACTTAAAGCCAAACAATTGAGGAATTTAATTAGGTCTGCAAAATCCCCTCACAGCAGCACCTAGATTACTGTTTGTCTGAAGAGCTGGAAGATGGTGTGTGTGTGCTCCTGGGTAGCCACTATAACTGGAATATACCAGAGAGGGAATCCCGGGAGTCTTGCTTAGCTTAGCCAAGTTGACACATGACAAATATCCAGAGTGATACCTAGGGTTTCTGACTTGGGCGATAGGTGCTAACAGGGAGAGCACAGAAAAATTGGCTTTGAGGGAGAAAATATTAATAGTAAGCTTGATTTCTGCATGTTAAGTTTCAAATACCATGGGATTTTTTTTTTTTTTTGAGACAGGGTCTTGCTCTGTTGCCCAGGTGGGAGTACAGTGGTATGATCATGGCTCACTACTCCAGCCTCCACCTCCCAGGCTCAAACGATCCTCTGACCTTAGCCTCTCAAGTAGCTGGGACCACAGGCATGTGCCAACATGCCCGGCTAGTTTTTGTATTTTTTGTAGAGACAGGGTCTCCCTATGTTGCTAGGCTGGTCTCAACTCCTGAGCTCAAGGGATCTACCTGCCTCAGCCTCCCAAAGTGCTGGGATTACAGGAGTGAGCTACCAGCCCCGGTCCTGCCATGGGTTTTTTTTTTTTTTTTTTTTTTTTTTGAGAGGGAGTCTTGCTCTGTCACCCAGACTGGAGTGCAGTGGTGCGATCTCGGCTCACTGCAACGTCCACCTCCTGGGTTCAAGCAATTCTCCTGCCTCAGCCTCCTGAGTAGCTGGGATTACAGGTGCGTGCCACCACACCCAGCTAATTGTTTGTATTTTTAGTAGAGACGCGGTTTCACCGTGTTAGCCAGGATGGTCTCGATCTCCTGACCTCGTGACCCATTACCCGCGTCGGCCTCCCCAAGTGTTGGGATTACAGGCGTGAGCCACCAAGCCCGGCCGGGATTTTCTTAAATGCAATAGGCCTCTTCCTGTCTCAGGTCCTTTCCAAACACAATACTCAAAAGCTAGTCTTTCCTCTCTTCACTAAATAGTACCTATTTGTCCTTTTATTTTTTTGTACAAATAATTTTCAGATTTACTTCTATAGCTTCTACTACTAGGTCATTTTGTTTTTTTCTTGGAAATAGCACCTTAGCTAAGTTAAATAATTCACCTGTGAAGTGAGGTGGTATGTTCATTTTGCTCACGACTGTCACCCCAGTGCCTAGCACAATATTCAAGTATTTGCTGAATAAGAAGTTCATCAGCCTGTGGGTATTCAGGCTTGAAAGGAAACAGAGGTCAGAGCTAGAAGGAAAAAACTGAGTCAGCAGCATCGAGGTGATTTACGATAAAGTTTTCCAGTGAGAACACACAGAATGGGAAGAGGAGAGAGCTGAGGACAAACCCTGAAAAATCAGGACATTTAAGAAGCCAAGGCCGGGCACAGTGGCTCACACCTGTAATCCCAGCACTTTGGGAGGCCGAGGCGGGTGGATCACCTGAGGTCAGGGGTTTGAGACCAGGCTGGCCAAGATGGTGAAACCCCATCTCTAATAAAAAAAAAAAATACAAAAATTAGCTGGGCGTGGTGGCAGGCACCTATCATCCTAGCTATTCAGGAGGCTGAGGCACAAGAATTGATTGAACCCAGGAGGCGGAGGTTGCAGTGAGCCGAGATTGTGCCACTGTACTCCAGCCTGGGCAACAGAGTGAGACTCTGTCTCAAAAAAAAAGAAGCTGAGGCCGGGCACGGTGGCTCATGCCTGTAACCCCAGTGCTTTGGAAGGCTGAGGCGGGCGGATCACGAGGTCAGGAGTTTGAGACCAGCCTGGCTAACATGGTGAAACCCTGTCTCTACTAAAAATACAAAAAATTAGCCGGGCGTGGTGGCAGGCGCCTGTAATCCCAGCTACTTGGGAGGCTGAGGCAGGAGAATCACTTGAACCCGGGAGGTGAAGGTTGCAGCGAGCCGAGATGGCGCCACTGCACTCCATCTTGGCAACATAGCAAGACCCTGTCTCAAAAAAAAAAAAAAAAAAAAAAAAGAAGCCGAGAAAAGGAAGCCCCCAAAGATGGGAAGAACCACCAGAAAGAAGAGAGAAAGGAGGTGG